>NC_000001.11:124133379-124459405 GCF_000001405.40 Homo sapiens | reverse complement strand
GTTTCCTAACTGCTCTATGAAAAGAAAGGTTAAACACTGTGAGTTGAACGAACACATCACAACGCAGTTTGTGGGAATGATTCTGTCTAGTTTTGAAACCAAGATATTTCCTTTTCTGCCGTTGACCTAAAAGAGCTTGAAAACTACACTTGCAAATTGCACAAATAGAGTGTTTCAAATCTGCTCTGTCTAGGGGAACGTTCAACTCTGTGAGTTGAATGCACACAACACAAGGAAGTTACTGGGAATTCTTCTGTCTAGCCTTAAATGAAAAAACCCGTTTCCAACGAAGGCCTCTAAGTGGTCAAAATTTCCACGTGCAGACTTTACAAACAGAGTGTTTCCAAACCGCTGAATGAAAAGAAAAGTTAAACTCTGAGAGTTGAACGCACACATCACGCAGCAGTTTCTGAGAATGATTCTGTCTAGTTTTTATACGAAGATATTTCCTTTTCTGCCTTTGGCCTCAAAGCGCTTGAAATCTCCACTTGCAAATTCCACAAAAAGAGTGTTTCAAATCTGCTCTGGGTAAATGAAAGTTCAACTCTGTGAGTTGAACACACACAACACAAGGAAGTTACTGGGAATTCTTCTGTCTAGCAGAATATGAAGAAATCACGTTTCCAACGAAGGCCTCAAGGAGGTCTGAATATCCACTTGCAGACTTTACAAACAGAGTGTTTCCTAACTGCTCTATGAAAAGAAAGGTTAAACTCTGTGAGTTGAACGCACACATCACAAAGGAGTTTCTGAGAATCATTCTGTCTAGTTTTTATACGAAGATATTTCCTTTTCTACCATTGACCTCAACGCGGCTGAAATCTCCTCTTGCAAATTCCACAAAACGAGTGTTTCAAGTCCGCTCTGTGTAAAGGATCGTTCAACTCTGTGAGTTGAATACACACAACACAAGGAAGTTACTGAGAATTCTTCTGTCTAGCAGAATATGAAGAAATCCCGTTTCCAACGAAGGCCACAAGATGTCAGAATATCCACTTACAGACTTTACAAACAGAGTGTTTCCTAACTGCTCTATGAACAGAAAGGTTAAACTCTGTGAGTTGAACGCACACATCACAAAGGAGTTTCTGAGAATCATTCTGTCTAGTTTTGAAACGAAGATATTTCCTTTTCTGCCATTGACCTTAAAGCGCTTGAAATCTACACTTGCAAATTGCACAAATAGAGTGTTTCAAATCTGCTCTGTCTAAGGGAACGTTCAACTCTGTGAGTTGAATGCACACAACACAAGGAAGTTACTGGGAATTCTTCTGTCTAGCCTTACATGAAAAAAACCCGTTTCCAACGAAGGCCTCTAAGTGGTCAAATTATCGACGTGCAGACTTTACAAACAGAGTGTTTCCAAACTGCTGAATGAAAAGCAAAGTTAAACTCTGAGAGTTGAACGCACACATCGCAGAGCAGTTTCTGAGAATGATTCTGTCTAGTTTTTATACGAAGATATTTCCTTTTCTACCTTTGGCCCCAAAGCGCTTGAAATCTCCACTTGCAAATTCCACAAAAACAGTGTTTCAAATCTGCTCTCTCTAAATGAAAGTTCAACTCTGTCAGTTGAATACACACAACACAAGGAAGTTACTGAGAATTCTTCTGTCTAGCAGAATATGAAGAAATCCCGTTTCCAATGAAGGCCTCAAAGAGGTCTGGATATCCACTTGCAGACTTTACAAACAGAGTGTTTCCTAACTGCTCTATGAAAAGAAAGGTTAAACTCTGTGAGTTGAACGCACACATCACAACGGAGTTTCTGAGAATCATTCTGTCTAGTCTTTATATGAAGATAGTTTCCTTTTCTACCATTGACCTCAAAGCGGCTGAAATCTCCACTTGCAAATTCCACAAAAAGAGTGTTTCAAGTCTGCTCTGTGTAAAGGATCGTTCAACTCTGTGAGTTGAATACACACAACACAAGGAAGTTACTGAGAATTATTCTGTCTAGCAGAATATGAAGATATCCCGTTTCCAACGAAGGCCACAAGATGTCAGAATATCCACTTACAGACTTTACAAACAGAGTGTTTCCTAACTGCTCTATGAACAGAAAGGTTAAACTCTGAAAGTTGAACGAACACATCACAACGCAGTTTGTGGGAATGATTCTGTCTAGTTTTGAAACGAAGATATTTCCTTTTCTGCCATTGACCTTAAAGCGCTTGAAATCTACACTTGCAAATTGCACAAATAGAGTGTTTCAAATCTGCTCTGTCTAAGGGAACGTTCAACTCTGTGAGTTGAATGCACACAACACAAGGAAGTTACTGGGAATTCTTCTGTCTAGCCTTACATGAAAAAAACCCGTTTCCAACGAAGGCCTCTAAGTGGTCAAAATATCCACGTGCAGACTTTACAAACAGAGTGTTTCCAAACCGCTGAATGAAAAGAAAAGTTAAACTCTGAGAGTTGGACGCACACATCACGCAGCAGTTTCTGAGAATGATTCTGTCTGGTTTTTATACGAAGATATTTCCTTTTCTGCCTTTGGCCTCAAAGCGCTTGAAATCTCCACTTGCAAATTCCACAAAAAGAGTGTTTCAAATCTGCTCTGTGTAAATGAAAGTTCAACTCTGTGAGTTGAACACACACAACACAAGGAAGTTACTGGGAATTCTTCTTTCTAGCAGAATATGAAGAAATCCCGTTTCCAACGAAAGCCTCAAGGAGGTCTGAATATCCACTTGCAGACTTTACAAACAGAGTGTTTCCTAACTGCTCTATGAAAAGAAAGGTTAAACTCTGTGAGTTGAACGCACACATCACAAAGGAGGTTCTGAGAATCATTCTGTCTAGTTTCTATAGGAAGATATTTCCTATTCTACCATTGACCTCAAAGCGGCTGAAATCTCCACTTGCAAATTACACAAAAAGAGTGTTTCAAGTCTACTCTGTGTAAAGCATCGTTCAACTCTGTGAGTTGAAAACACACAACACAAGGAAGTTTCTGAGAATTCTTCTGTCTAGCAGAATATGAAGAAATCCCTTTTCAAACGAAGGCCACAAGATGTCAGAATATCCACTTACAGACTTTACAAACAGAGTGTTTCCTAACTGCTCTATGAACAGAAAGGTTAAACTCTGTGAGTTGAACGAACACATCACAACGCAGTTTGTGGGAATGATTCTGTCTAGTTTTAAAACGAAGATATTTCCTTTTCTGCCGTTGACCTTAAAGCGCTTGAAATCTACACTTGCAAATTGCACAAATAGAGTGTTTCAAATCTGCTCTGTCTAAGGGAACGTTCAACTCTGTGAGTTGAATGCACACAACACAAGGAAGTTACTGGGAATTTTTCTGTCTAGCCTTACATGAAAAAATCCAGTTTCCAACGAAGGCCTCTAAGTGGTCAAAATATCCACGTGCAGACTTTACAAACAGAGTGTTTCCAAACCGCTGAATGAAAAGAAAAGGTAAACTCTGAGAGTTGAACTCACACATCACGCAGCAGTTGCTGAGAATGATTCTGTCTAGTTTTTAAACGAAGATATTTCCTTTTCTGCCTTTGGCCCCAAAGCGCTTGAAATCTCCACTTGCAAATTCCACAAAAACAGTGTTTCAAATCTGCTCTCTCTAAATGAAAGTTCAACTCTGTCAGTTGAATACACACAACACAAGGAAGTTACTGAGAATTCTTCTCTCTAGTTTTTATGTGAAGATATTTCCTTTTCCACCACAGGCCTGAAAGCGCTCCAAATGTCCACTTGGAGACTCAACGAAAAGAATGTTTCAAAACTGCTCTATGAAAAGCAATGTTATCCTCTGGGAGTTGAACACAAGCCTCACAAAGGAGTTTTTGAGAATGCTTCTGTCTAGTTTTTATACGAAGATATTTCCTTTTCTACCATTGACCTCAAAGCGGCTGAAATCTCCACTTGCAAATTCCACAAAAAGAGTGTTTCAAATCTGCTCTGTGTAAACCATCGTTCAACTCTGTGAGTTGAATACACACAACACAAGGAAGTTACTGAGAATTCTTCTGTCTAGCAGAATATGAAGAAATCCCGTTTGCAACGAAGGCCACAAGATGTCAGAATATCCACTTACAGAATTTACAAACAGAGTGTTTCCTAACTGCTCTATGAAAAGAAAGGTTAAACTCTGTGAGTTGAACGAACACATCACAACGCAGTTTGTGGGAATGATTCTGTCTAGTTTTTATACGAAGATATTTCCTTTTCTACCATTGACCTAAAAGCGGTTGAAATCACCACTTGCCAATTGCACAAAAAGAGTGTTTCAAATCTGCTCTGTCTAAGGGAACGTTCAACTCTGTGAGTTGAATGTACACAACACAAGGAAGTTACTGGGAATTCTTCTCTCTAGCCTTACAGGAAAAAAACCCGTTTCCAACGAAGGCCTCTAAGTGGTCAAAATATCCACGTGTAGACTTTACAAACAGAGTGTTTCCAAACTGCTGAATGAAAAGAAAAGTTAAACTCTGAGAGTTGAACGCACAGATCGCAGAGCAGTTTCTGAGAATGATTCTGTCTAGTTTTTATACGAAGATATTTCCTTTTCTGCCTTTGGCCTCAAAGCGCTTGAAATCTCCACTTGCAAATTCCACAAAAAGAGTGTTTCAAGTCTGCTCTGTGTAAAGGATCGTTCTACTCTGTGAGTTGAATACACACAACACAAGGAAGTTACTGAGAATTCTTCTGTCTAGCATAATATGAAGAAATCCCGTTTCCAACGAAGGCCTCAAAGGGGTCTGAATATCCACTTGCAGACTTTATAAACAGAGTGTTTACTAACTGCTCTATGAAAAGAAAGGTTAAACTCTGTGAGTTGAGCACACACATCACAAAGGAGTTTCTGAGAATCATTCTGCCTAGTTTTTCTACGAAGATATTTCCTTTTCTACTATTGACCTCAAAGCGGCTGAAATCTCCACTTGCAAATTCCACAAAAAGAGTGTTTCAAGTCTGCTCTGTGTAAAGGATCGTTCAACTCTGTGAGTAGAATACACACAACACAAGGAAGTTACTGAGAATTCTTCTGTCTAGCAGAATATGAAGAAATCCCGTTTCCAACGAAGGCCTCAAAGAGGTCTGAATATCCACTTGCAGACTTTACAAACAGAGTGTTTCCTAACTGCTCTATGAAAAGAAAGGTTAAACTCTGTGAGTTGAACGCACACACCACAAAGGAGTTTCTGAGAATCATTCTGTCTAGTTTTGAAACGAAGATATTTCCTTTTCTGCCATTGACCTTAAAGCGCTTGAAATATCCATTTGCCAATTGCACAAAAAGAGTGTTTCAAATCTGCTCTGTCTGAGGGAACGTTCAACTCTGTGAGTTGAATGTACACAACACAAGGAAGTTACTGGGAATTCTTCTGTCTAGCCTTACATGAAAAAAACCCGTTTCCAACGAAGGTCTCTAAGTGGTCAAATTATCCACGTGCAGACTTTACAAACAGAGTGTTTCCAAACTGCTGAATGAAAAGAAAAGTTAAACTCTGAGAGTTATACGCACACATCGCAGAGCAGTTTCTGAGAATGATTCTGTCTAGTTTTTATACGAAGATATTTCCTTTTCTGCCTTTGGCCCCAAAGCGCTTGAAATCTCCACTTGCAAATTCCACAAAAACAGTGTTACAAATCTGCTCTCTCTAAATGAACGTTCAACTCTGTCAGTTGAATACACACAACACAAGGAAGTTACTGAGAATTCTTCTGTCTAGCATAATATGAAGAAATCCCGTTTCCAACGAAGGCCTCAAAGGGGTCTGAATATCCACTTGCAGACTTTATAAACAGAGTGTTTACTAACTGCTCTATGAAAAGAAAGGTTAAACACTGTGAGTTGAACACACACATCACAAAGGAGTTTCTGAGAATCATTCTGTCTAGTCTTTATACGAAGATATTTCCTTTTCTACCATTGACCTCAAAGCGGCTGAAATCTCCACTTGCAAATTCCACAAAAAGAGTGTTTCAAGTCTGCTCTGTGTAAAGGATCGTTCAACTCTGTGAGTTGAATAGACACAACACAAGGAAGTTACTGAGAACTCTTCTGTCTAGCAGAATATGAAGAAATCCCGTTTCCAACGAAGGCCACAAGATGTCAGAATATCCACTTACAGAATTTACAAACAGACTGTTTCCCAACTGCTCTATGAAAAGAAAGGTTAAACTCTGTGAGTTGAACACACACATCACAATGAAGTTTCTGAGAATCATTCTATCTAGTTTTTATACGAAGATATTTCCTTTTCTACCATTGACCTCAAAGAGGCTGAAATCACCACTTGCCAATTGCACAAAAAGAGTGTTTCAAATCTGCTCTGTCTAAGGGAACGTTCAACTCTGTGAGTTGAATGTACACAACACAAGGAAGTTACTGGGAATTCTTCTGTCTAGCCTTACAGGAAAAAAACCCGTTTCCAACGAAGGCCTCTAAGTGGTCAAAATATCCACGTGCAGACTTTACAAACAGAGTGTTTCCAAACTGCTGAATGAAAAGAAAAGTTAAACTCTGAGAGTTGAACGCACACATCGCAGAGAAGTTTCTGAGAATGATTCTGTATAGTTTTGAAACGAAGATATTTCCTTTTCTGCCTTTGGCCTCAAAGCGCTTGAAATCTCCACTTGCAAATTCCACAAAAAGAGTGTTTCAAATCTGCTCTGTGTAAATGAAAGTTCAACTCTGTGAGTTGAACACACACAACACAAGGAAGTTAGTGGGAATTCTTCTGTCTAGCAGAATATGAAGAAATCCCGTTTCCAACGAAGGCCGCAAAGAGGTCTGAATATCCACTTGCAGTCTTTACAAACAGAGTGTTTCCTAACTGCTCTATGAAAAGAAAGGTTAAACTCTGTGAGTTGAACGCACACATTACAAAGGAGATTCTGAGAATCATTCTGTCTAGTTTTTCTACGAAGATATTTCCTTTTCTGCTATTGACCTCAAAGCGGCTGAAATCTCCACTTGCAAATTCCACAAAGAGAGTGTTTCATGTCTGCTCTGTGTAAAGGATCGTTCAACTCTGTGAGTTGAATACACACAACACAAGGAAGTTACTGAGAATTCTTCTGTCTAGCAGAATATGAAGAAATCCCGTTTCCAACGAAGGCCTCAAGGAGGTCTGAATATCCACTTGCAGACTTTACAAACAGAGTGTTTCCTAACTGCTCTATGAACAGAAAGATTAAACTCTGTGAGTTGAACGCACACATCACAAAGGAGTTTCTGAGAATCCTTATGTCTAGTTTTTATAGGAAGATATTTCCTTTTCTACATTTGACTTCAAAGCGGCTGAAATCTCCACTTGCAAATTCCACAAAAAGAGTGTTACAAGTCTGCTCTGTGTAAAGGATCGTTCAACTCTGTGAGTTGAATACACACAACACAAGGAAGTTACTGAGAATTCTTCTGTCTAGCCTTACAAGAAAAAAACCCGTTTCCAACGAAGGCCTCTAAGTGGTCAAAATATCCACGTGCAGACTTTACAAACAGAGTGTTTTCAAACTGTTGAATGAAAAGAAAAGTTAAACTCTGAGAGTTGAACGCACACATCGCAGAGCAGTTTCTGAGAATGATTCTGTCTAGTTTTCATACGAAGATATTTCCTTTTCTGCCTTTGGCCCCAAAGCGTTTGAAATCTCCACTTGCAAATTCCACAAAAACAGTGTTTCAAATCTGCTCTCTCTAAATGAAAGTTCAACTCTGTCAGTTGAATACACACAACACAAGGAAGTTACTGAGAATTCTTCTGTCTAGCAGAACATGAAGAAATCCCGCTTCCAACGAAGGCCTCAAGGAGGTCTGAATATCCACTTGCAGACTTTACAAACAGAGTGTTTCCTAACTGCCCTATGAAAAGAAAGGTTAAACTCTGTGAGTTGAACGCACACATCACAAAGAAGTTTCTGAGAATCATTCTGTCTAGTTTCTATAGGAAGATATTTCCTATTCTACCATTGACCTCAAAGCGGCTGAAATCTCCACTTGCAAATTCCAGAAAAAGAGTGTTTCAAGTCTGCTCTGTGTAAAGGATCCTGCAACTCTGTGAGTTGAATACACACAACACAAGGAAGTTACTGAGAATTCTTCTGTCTAGCAGAATATGAAGAAATCCCGTTTCCAACGAAGGCCACAAGATGTCAGAATATCCACTTACAGACTTTACAAACAGAGTGTTTCCTAACTGCTCTATGAACAGAAAGGTTAAACTCTGTGAGGTGAACGAACACATCACAACGCAGTTTGTGGGAATGATTCTGTCTAGTTTTGAAACGAAGATATTTCCTTTTCTGCCATTGACCTTAAAGCGCTTGAAATCTACACTTGCAAATTGCACAAATAGAGTGTTTCAAATCTGCTCTGTCTAAGGGAACGTTCAACACTGTGAGTTGAATGCACACAACACAAGGAAGTTACTGGGAATTCTTCTGTCTAGCCTTACATGCAAAAAACCCGTTTCCAACGAAGGCCTCTAAGTGGTCAAAATATCCACGTGCAGACTTTACAAACAGAGTGTTTCCAAACCGCTGAATGAAAAGAAAAGTTAAACTCTGATAGTGGAACGCATACATCACGCAGCAGTTTCTGAGAATGATTCTGTCTAGTTTTTATACGAAGATATTTCCTTTTCTGCCTTTGGCCTCAAAGCGCTTGAAATCTCCATTTGCAAATTCCACAAAAAGAGTGTTTCAAATCTGCTCTGTGTAAATGAAAGTTCAACTCTGTGAGTTGAACAAACACAACACAAGGAAGTTACTGGGAATTCTTCTGTCTAGCATAATATGAAGAAATCCCGTTTCCAACGAAGCCCTCAAGGAGGTCTGAATATCCGCTTGCAGACTTTACAAACAGAGTGTTTCCTAACTGCTCTATGAAAAGAAAGGTTAAACTCTGTGAGTTGAACGCAGACATCACAAAGGAGTTTCTGAGAATCACTCTGTCTAGTTTTTATACGAAGATATTTCCTTTTCTACCATTGACCTCAAAGCGGCTGAAATCTCCACCCTGCCAATTCCACAAAAAGAGTGTTTCAAGTCTACTCTGTGTAAATGATCGTTGAACTCTGTGAGTTGAAAACACACAACACATCGAAGTTTCTGAGAATTCTTCTGCCTAGCAGAATATGAAGAAATCCCGTTTCCAACGAAAGCCTCAAAGATGTCTGAATATCCACTTGCAGACTTTACAAACAGAGTGTTTCCTAACTGCTCTATGAAAAGAAAGGTTAAACTCTGTGAGTTTAACGCACACATCACAAAGCAGTTTCTGAGAATCATTCTGTCTAGTTTTGAAACGAAGATATTTCCTTTTCTGCCATTGACCTTAAAGCGCTTGAAATCTACACTTGCAAATTGCACAAATAGAGTGTTTCAAATCTGCTCTGTCTAAGGGAACGTTCAACTCTGTGAGTTGAATGCACACAACACAAGGAAGTTACTGGGAATTCTTCTGTCTAGCCTTACATGAAAAAAACCCGTTTCCAACGAAGGCCTCTAAGTGGTCAAGTTATCCACGTGCAGACTTTACAAACAGACTGTTTCCAAATTGCTGAATGAAAAGAAAAGTTAAACTCTGAGAGTTGAACGCACACATCGCAGAGCAGTTTCTGAGAATGATTCTGTCTAGTTTTTATACGAAGATATTTCCTTTTCTGCCTTTGGCCTCAAAGCGCTTGAAATCTCCACTTGCAAATTCCACAAAAAGAGTGTTTCAAATCTGTTCTGTGTAAATGAAAGTTCAACTCTGTGAGTTGAACACACACAACACTAGGAAGTTACTGGGAATTCTTCTGTCTAGCAGAATAGGAAGAAATCCCGTTTCCAACGAAGGCCTCAAAGAGGTCTGAATATCCACGTGCAGACTTTTCAAACAGAGTGTTTCCTAACTGCTCTATGAAAAGAAAGGTTAAACTCTGTGAGTTGAACGCACACATCACAAAGGAGTTTCTGAGAATCGTTCTGTCTAGTTTCTATAGGAAGATATTTGCTATTCTACCTTTGACCTCAAAGCGGCTGAAATCTCCACTTGCAAATTCCACAAAAAGAGTGTTTCAAATCTGCTCTCTGTAAAGGATCGTTCAACTCTGTGAGTTGAATACACACAACACAAGGAAGTTACTGAGAATTATTCTGTCTAGCAGAATATGAAGAAATCCCGTTTCCAACGGAGGCCACAAGATGTCAGAATATCCACTTACAGAATTTACCAACAGAGTGTTTCCTAACTGCTCTATGAAAAGAAAGGTTAAACTGTGTGAGTTGAACGAACACATCACAACGCAGTTTGTGGGAATGATTCTGTCTAGTTTTGAAACGAAGATATTTCCTTTTCTGCCATTGACCTTAAAGCGCTTGAAATCTCCACTTGCCAATTGCACAAAAAGAGTGTTTCAAATCTGCTCTGTCTAAGGGAACGTTCAACTCTGTGAGTTGAATGTACACAACACAAGGAAGTTACTGGGAATTCTTCTGTCTAGCCTTACATGAAGAAAACCCGTTTCCAACGAAGGCCTCTAAGTGGTCAAAATATCCACGTGCAGACTTTACAAACAGAGTGTTTCCAAACCGCTGAATGAAAAGAAAAGTTAAACTCTGAGAGTTGAACGCACACATCACGCAGCAGTTTCTGAGAATGATTCTGTCTAGTTTTGAAACGAAGATATTTCCTTTTCTGCCTTTGGCCTCAAAGCGCTTGAAATCTCCACTTGCAAATTCCACAAAAAGAGTGTTTCAAATCTGCTCTGGGTAAATGAAAGTTCAACTCTGTGAGTTGAAAACACACAACACAAGGAAGTTACTGGGAATTCTTCTGTCTAGCAGAATATGAAGAAATCCCGTTTCCAACGAAAGCCTCAAAGAGGTCTGAATATCCCCTTGCAGACTTTACAAACAGAGTGTTTCCTAACTGCTCCATGAAAAGAAAGGTTAAACTCTGTGAGTTGAACGCACACATCACAAAGGAGTTTCTGAGAATCATTCTGTCTAGTTTTTCTACGAAGATATTTCCTTTTCTACTATTGACCTCAAAGCGGCTGAAATCTCCACTTGCAAATTCCACAAAAAGAATGTTTCAAGTCTGCTCTGTGTAAAGGATCGTTCAACTCTGTGAGTTGAATACACACAACACAAGGAAGTTACTGAGAATTCTTCTGTCTAGCAGAATATGAAGAAATCCCGTTACCAACGAAGGCCTCAAAGAGGTCTGAATATCCACTTGCAGACTTTACAAAGAGAGTGTTTCCTAACTGCTCTTTGAAAAGAAAAGTTAAACTCTGTGAGTTGAACGCACACATCACAAAGGAGTTTCTGAGAATCATTCTGTCTAGTTTTGAAACGAAGATATTTCCTTTTCTGCCGTTGACCTTAAAGAGCTTGAAAACTACACTTGCAAGTTGCACAAATAGAGTGTTTCAAATCTGCTCTGTCTAAGGGAACGTTCAACTCTGTGAGTTGAATGCACACAACACAAGGAAGTTACTGGGAATTCTTCTGTCTAGCCTTACATGAAAAAAACCCGTTTCCAACGAAGGCCTCTAAGTGGTCAAATTATCCACGTGCAGACTTTACAAACAGAGTGTTTCCAAACTGCTGAATGAAAAGCAAAGTTAAACTCTGAGAGTTGAACGCACACATCGCAGAGCACTTTCTGAGAATGATTCTGTGTAGTTTTTATACGAAGATATTTCCTTTTCTGCCTTTGGCCCCAAAGCGCTTGAAATCTCCACTTGCAAATTCCACAAAAACAGTGTTTCAAATCTGCTCTCTCTAAATGAAAGTTCAACTCTGTCAGTTGAATACACACAACACAAGGAAGTTACTGAGAATTCTTCTGTCTAGCCTTATATGAAAAAAACCCGTTTCCAACGAAGGCCTCAAAGAGGGCTGAATATCCACTTGCAGACTTTACAAGCAGAGTGTTTCCTAACTACTCTATGAAAAGAAAGGTTAAACTCTGTGAGTTGAACGCACACATCACAAAGGAGTTTCTGAGAATCATTCTGTCTAGTCTTTATACGAAGACATTTCCTTTTCTACCATTGACCTCAAAGCGGCTGAAATCTCCACTTGCGAATTCCACAAAAAGAGTGTTTCAAGTCTGCTCTCTGTAAAGGATCGTTCAACTACTGTGAGTTGAATACACACAACACAAGGAAGTTACTGAGAATTATTCTGTCTAGCAGAATATGAAGAAATCCCGTTTCCAACAAAGGCCACAAGATGTCAGAATATCCACTTACTGACTTTACAAACAGAGTGTTTCCTAACTGCTCTATGAACAGAAAGGTTAAACTCTGTGAGTTGAACGAACACATCACAACGCAGTTTGTGGGAATGATTCTGTCTAGTTTTGAAAGGAAGATATTTCCTTTCCTGCAGTTGACCTTAAAGCGCTTGAAATCTACACTTGCAAATTGCACAAATAGGCTGTTTCAAATCTGCTCTGTCTAAGGGAACGTTCAACTCTGTGAGTTGAATGCACCCAACACAAGGAAGTTACTGGGAATTCTTCTCTCTAGCAGAATATGAAGAAATCCCGTTTCCAACGAAGGCCTCAAAGAGGTCTGTATATCAACTTGTAGACTTTACAAACAGAGTGTTTCCTAACTGCTCTATGAAAAGAAAGGTTAAACTCTGTGAGTTGAACGCACACATCACAAAGGAGTTTCTGAGAATCATTCTGTCTAGTTTCTATAGGAAGATATTTCCTATTCTACCATTGACCACAAAGCGGCTGAAATCTCCACTTGCAAATTCCACAAAAAGAGTGTTTCAAGTCTGCTCTCTGTAAAGGATCGTTCAACTCTGTGAGTTGAATACACACAACACAAGGGAAGTTACTGAGAATTCTTCTGTCTAGCATAATATGAAGAAATCCCGTTTCCAACGAAGGCCTCAAGGAGGTCTGAGTATCCACTTGCAGACTTTACAAACAGAGTGTTTCCTAACTGCTCTATGAAAAGAAAGGTTAAACTCTGTGAGTTGAACGCACACATCACAAAGGAGTTTCTGAGAATCATTCTGTCTATTTTCTATAGGAAGATATTTCCTATTCTACCATTGACCTCAAAGCGGCTGAAATCTCCACTTGCAAATTCCACAAAAAGAGTGTTTCAAGTCTGCTCTGTGTAAAGGATCGTTCAACTCTGTGAGTTGAATACACACAACACAAAGAAGTTACTGAGAATTCTTCTGTCTAGCAGAATATGAAGAAATCCCGTTTCCAACGAAGGCCTCAAAGAGGTCTGAATATCCAGTTGCAGACTTTACAAACAGAGTGTTTCCTAACTGCTCTATGAAAAGAAAGGTTAAACTCTGTGAGTTGAACGCACACATCACAAAGGAGTTTATGAGAATCATTCTGTCTAGTTTTGAAACGAAGATATTTCCTTTTCTGCCGTTGACCTTAAAGAGCTTGAAAACTACACTTGTAAATTGCACAAATAGAGTGTTTCAAATCTGCTCTGTCTAAGGGAACGTTCAACTCTGTGAGTTGAATGCACACAACACAAGGAAGTTACTGGGAATTCTTCTGTCTAGCCTTACATGAAAAAAACCCGTTTCCAACGAAGGCCTCTAAGTGGTCAAAATATCCACGTGCAGACTTTACAAACAGAGTGTTTCCAAACTGCTGAATGAAAAGAAAAGTTAAACTCTGAGAGTTGAACGCATACATCACGCAGCAGTTTCTGAGAATGATTCTGTCTAGTTTTTATACGAAGATATTTCCTTTTCTGCCTTTGGCCCCAAAGCGCTTGAAATCTCCACTTGCAAATTCCACAAAAACAGTGTTACAAATCTGCTCTCTCTAAATGAAAGTTCGACTCTGTCAGTTGAATACACACAACACAGGGGAAGTTACTGAGAATTCTTCTGTCTAGCCTTATATGAAAAAAACCCGTTTCCAACGAAGGCCTCAAAGAGGTCTGAATATCCACTTGCAGACTTTACAAACAGAGTGATTCCTAACTGCTCTATGAAAAGAAAGGTTAAACTCTGTGAGTTGAACACACACATCACAAAGGAGTTTCTGAGAATCATTCTGTCTAGTTTTTATACGAAGATATTTCCTTTTCTACCATTGACCTCAACGCGGCTGAAATCTCCACTTACAAATTCCACAAAAAGAGTGTTTCAAGTCTGCTCTGTGTAAAGGATCGTTCAACTCTGTGAGTTGAATACACACAACACAAGGAAGTTACTGAGAATTCTTCTGTCTAGCAGAATATGAAGAAATCCCGTTTCCAACGAATGCCACAAGATGTCAGAATATCCACTTACAGAATTGACAAACAGACTGTTTCCTAACTGCTCTATGAAAAGAAAGGTTAAACTCTGTGAGTTGAACGAACACATCACAACGCAGTTTGTGGGAATGATTCTGTCTAGTTTTGAAACGAAGATATTTCCTTTTCTGCCATTGACCTTAAAGCGCTTGAAATCTACACTTGCAAATTGCACAAATAGAGTGTTTCAAATCTGCTCTGTCTAAGGGAACGTTCAACTCTGTGAGTTGAATGCACACAACACAAGGAAGTTACTGGGAATTCTTCTGTCTAGCCTTACAGGAAAAAAACCCGTTTCCAACGAAGGCCTCTAAGTGGTCAAAATATCCACGTGCAGACTTTACAAACAGAGTGTTTCCAAGCTGCTGAATGAAAAGAAAAGTTAAACTCTGAGAGTTGAACGCACACATCGCAGAGCAGTTTCTGAGAATGATTCTGTCTAGTTTTGAAACGAAGATATTTCCTTTTCTGCCATTGACCTTAAAGCGCTTGAAATCTCCGCTTGCCAATTGCACAAAAAGTGTGTTTCAAATCTGCTCTGTCTAAGGGAACGTTCAACTCTGTGAGTTGAATGTACACAACACAAGGAAGTTACTGGGAATTCTTCTGTCTAGCAGAACATGAAGAAATCCCGTTTCCAACGAAGGCCCCAAAGATGTCTGAATATCCACTTGCAGACTTTAGAAACAGAGTGTTTCCTAACTGCTCTATGAAAAGAAAGGTTAAACTCTGTGAGTTGAACGCACACATCACAAAGGAGTTTCTGAGAATCATTCTGTCTAGTCTTTATACGAAGATATTTCCTTTTCTACCATTGACCTCAAAGCGGCTGAAATCTCCACTTGCAAATTCCACAAAAAGAGTGTTTCAAGTCTGCTCTCTGTAAAGGATCGTTCAACTCTCTGAGTTGAATACACACAACACAAGGAAGTTACTGAGAATTATTCTGTCTAGCAGAATATGAAGAAATCCCGTTTCCAACGAAGGCCACAAGATGTCAGAATATCCACTTATAGACTTTACAAACAGAGTGTTTCCTAACTGCTCTATGAACAGAAAGGTTAAGCTCTGTGAGTTGAACGACCACATCACAACGCAGTTTGTGGGAATGATTCTGTCTAGTTTTGAAACGAAGATATTTCCTTTTCTGCCATTGACCTTAAAGCGCTTGTAATCTCCACTTGCCAATTGCCCAAAAAGAGTGTTTCAAATCTGCTCTGTCTAAGGGAACGTTCAACTCTGTGAGTTGAATGTACACAACACAAGGGAAGTTACTGGGAATTCTTCTGTCTAGCCTTACATGAAAAAAACCCGTTTCCAACGAAGGCCTCTAAGTGGTCAAATTATCCACGTGCAGACTTTACAAACAGAGTGTTTCCAAACTGCTGAATGAAAAGCAAAGTTAAACTCTGAGAGTTGAACGCACACATCGCAGAGCACTTTCTGAGAATGATTCTGTCTAGTTTTGAAACGAAGATATTTCCTTTTCTGCCTTTGGCCTCAAAGCGCTTGAAATCTCCACTTGCAAATTCCACAAAAAGAGTGTTTCAAATCTGCTCTGTGTAAATGAAAGTTCAACTCTGTGAGTTGAACAAACACAACACAAGGAAGTTACTGGGAATTCTTCTGTCTGGCATAATATGAAGAAATCCCGTTTCCAACGAAGGCCTCAAAGAGGTCTGAATATCCACTTGCAGACTTTACAAACAGAGTGTTTCCTAACTGCTCTATGAGAAGAAAAGTTAAACTCTGTGAGTTGAACGCACACATCACAAAAGATTTTCTGAGAATCATTCTGTCTAGTTTTTATACGAAGATATTTCCTTTTCTACCATTGACCTCAAAGCGGCTGAAATCTCCACTTGCTAATTCCACAAAAAGAGTGTTTCAAATCTGCTCTGTGTAAACCATCGTTCAACTCTGTGAGTTGAATACACAGAACACAAGGAAGATTCTGAGAATTCTTCTGTCTAGCAGAATATGAAGAAATCCCGTTTCCAACGAAGGGCACAAGATGTCAGAATATCCACTTACAGAATTTACAAACAGACTGTTTCCTAAGTGCTCTATGAAAAGAAAGGTTAAACTCTGTGAGTTGAACGAACACATCACAACGCAGTTTGTGGGAATGATTCTGTCTAGTTTTGAAACGAAGATATTTCCTTTTCTGCCGTTGACCTTAAAGCGCTTGAAATCTACACTTGCAAATTGCACAAATAGAGTGTTTCAAATCTGCTCTGTCTAAGGGAACTTTCAACTCTGTGAGTTGAATGCACACAACACAAGGAAGTTACTGGGAATTCTTCTGTCTAGCCTTACATGAAAAAAACCCGTTTCCAACGAAGGCCTCTAAGTGGTCAAATTATCCACGTGCAGACTTTACAAACAGAGTGTTTCCAAACTGCTGAATGAAAAGAAAAGTTAAACTCCTGAGAGTTGAACGCACACATCACAGAGCAGTTTCTGAGAATGATTCTGTCTAGTTTTTATACCGAAGATATTTCCTTTTCTGCCTTTGGCCCCAAAGCGCTTGAAATCTCCATTTGCAAATTCCACAAAAACAGTGTTTCAAATCTGCTCTCTCTAAATGAAAGTTCAACTCTGTCAGTTGAATACACACAACACAAGGAAGTTACTGAGAATTCTTCTGTCTAGCATAATAGGAAGAAATCCCGTTTCCAAAGAAGGCCTCAAGGAGGTCTGAATATCCACTTGCAGACTTTACAAACAGAGTGTTTCCTAACTGCTCTATAAAAAGAAAGGTTAAACTCTGTGAGTTGAACGCACACATCACAAAGGAGTTTCTGAGAATCATTCTGTCTATTTTCTATAGGAAGATATTTCCTATTCTACCATTGACCTCAAAGAGGCTGAAATCGCCACTTGCAAATTCCACAAAAAGAGTGTTTCAAGTCTGCTCTGTGTAAAGGATCGTTCAACCCTGTGAGTTGAATACACACAACACAAGGAAGTTACTGAGAATTCTTCTGTCTAGCAGAATATGAAGAAATCCCGTTTCCAACGAAGGCCACAAGATGTCAGAATATGCACTTACAGACTTTACAAACAGAGTGTTTCCTAACTGCTCTATGAACAGAAAGGTTAAACTCTGTGTGTTGAACGCACACATCACAAAGGAGTTTATGAGAATCATTCTGTCTAGTTTTGAAACGAAGATATTTCCTTTTCTGCCATTGACCTTAAAGCGCTTGAAATCTCCACTTGCCAATTGCACAAAAAGAGTGTTTCAAATATGCTCTGTCTAAGGGAACGTTCAACTCTGTGAGTTGAATGTACACAACACAAGGAAGTTACTGGGAATTCTTCTGTCTAGCCTTACATGAAAAAAACCCGTTTCCAACGAAGGCCTCTAAGTGGTCAAAATATCCACGTGCAGACTTTACAAACAGAGTGTTTCCAAACCGCTGAATGAAAAGAAAGGTTAAACTCTGAGAGTTGAACGCACACATCACGCAGCAGTTTCTGAGAATGATTCTGTCTAGTTTTTCTACGAAGATATTTCCTTTTCTGCCTTTGGCCCCAAAGCGCTTGAAATCTCCACTTGCAAATTCCACAAAAACAGTGTTTCAAATCTGCTCTCTCCAAATGAAAGTTCAACTCTGTCAGTTGAATACACACAACACAAGGGAAGTTACTGAGAATTCTTCTGTCTAGCATAATATGAAGAAATCCAGTTTCCAACGAAGGCCTCAAGGAGGTCTGAATATCCACTTGCAGACTTTACAAACAGAGTGTTTCCTAACTGCTCTATGAAAAGAAAGGTTAAACTGTGTGTGTTGAACGCACACATCACAAAGGAGTTTCTGAGAATCATTCTGTCTAGTTTCTATAAGAAGATATTTCCTATTCTACCATTGACCTCAAAGCGGCTGAAATCTCCACTTGCAAATTCGACAAAAAGAGTGTTTCAAGCCTGCTCTCTGTAAAGGATCCTTCAACTCTGTGAGTTGAATACACACAACACAAGGAAATTACTAAGAATTATTCTGTCTAGCAGAATATGAAGAAATCCCGTTTCCAACGAAGGCCACAAGATGTCAGAATATCCACTTACAGAATTTACAAACAGAGTGTTTCCTAACTGCTCTATGAAAAGAAAGGTTAAACTCTGTGAGATGAACGAACACATCACAACGCAGTTTTTGGGAATGATTCTGTCTAGTTTTGAAACGAAGATATTTCCTTTTCTGCCGTTGACCTTAAAGAGCTTGAAAACTACACTTGCAAATTGCACAAATAGAGTGTTTCAAATCTGCTCTGTCTAAGGGAACGTTCAACTCTGTGAGTTGAATGCACACAACACAAGGAAGTTACTGGGAATTCTTCTGTCTAGCCTTACAGGAAAAAAACCCGTTTCCAACGAAGTCCTCTAAGTGGTCAAGTTATCCACGTGCAGACTTTACAAACAGAGTGTTTCCAAACTGCTGAATGAAAAGAAAAGTTAAACTCTGAGAGTTGAACGCACACATCGCAGAGCAGTTTCTGAGAATGATTCTGTCTAATTTTTATACGAAGATATTTCCTTTTGTGCCTTTGGCCCCAAAGCGCTTGAAATCTCCACTTGCAAATTCCACAAAAACAGTGTTTGAATTCTGCTCTGTCTAACTGAAAGTTCAACTCTGTCAGATGAATACACACAACACAAGGAAGTTACTCAGAATTCTTCTGTCTAGCATAATATGAAGAAATCCCGTTTCCAACGAAGGCCTCAAAGAGGTCTGAATATCCACTTGCAGACTTTACAAACAGAGTGTTTCCTAACTGCTCTATGAAAAGAAAGGTTAAACTCTGTGAGTTGAACGCAGACATCACAAAGGAGTTTATGAGAATCATTCTGTCTAGTTTTTCTACGAAGATATTTCCTTTTCTACTATTGACCTCAAAGAGGCTGGAATCTCCACTTGCAAATTCCACAAAAAGAGTGCTTCAAGTCTGCTCTGTGTAAAGGATCGTTCAACTCTGTGAGTTGAATACACACAACACAAGGAAGTTACTGAGAATTCTTCTGTCTAGCAGAATAGGAAGAAATCCCGTTTCCAACGAAGGCCACAAGTTGTCAGAATATCCACTTACAGACTTTACAAACAGAGTGTTTCCTAACTGCTCTATGAACAGAAAGGTTAAACTCTGTGAGTTGAACGAACACATCACAACGCAGTTTGTGGGAATGATTCTGTCTAGTTTTGAAACGAAGATATTTCCTTTTCTGCCGTTGACCTTAAAGCGCTTGAAATCTACACTTGCAAATTGCACAAATAGAGTGTTTCAAATCTGCTCTGTCTAAGGGAACGTTCAACTCTGTGAGTTGAATGCACACAACACAAGGAAGTTACTGGGAATTCTTCTGTCTAGCCTTACATGAAAAAAACCCGTTTCCAACGAAGGCCTCTAAGTGGTCAAAATTTCCACGTGCAGACTTTACAAACAGAGTGTTTCCAAACCGCTGAATGAAAAGAAAAGTTAAACTCTGAGAGTTGAACGCACACATTACGCAGCAGTTTCTGAGAATGATTCTGTCTAGTTTTTATACGAAGATATTTCCTTTTCTGCCTTTGGCCTCAAAGCGCTTGAAATCTCCACTTGCAAATTCCACAAAAAGAGTGTTTCAAATCTGCTCTGTGTAAATGAAAGTTCAACTCTGTGAGTTGAACACACACAACACAAGGAAGTTACTGGGGAATTCTTCTGTTTAGCCTTATATGTAAAAAACCCGTTTCCAACGAAGGCCTCAAAGAGGTCTGAATATCCACTTGCAGACTTTACAAACAGAGTGTTTCCTAACTGCTCTATGAAAAGAAAGGTTAAACTCTGTGAGTTGAACGCACACATCACAAAGAAGTTTCTGAGAATCATTCTGTCTAGTTTTTATAGGAAGATATTCCCTTTTCTACCTTTGACTTCAAAGCGGCTGAAATCTCCACTTGCAAATGCCACAAAAAGAGTGTTAGAAGTCTGCTCTGTGTAAAGGATCGGTCAACTCTGTGAGTTGAATACACACAACACAAGGAAGTTACTGAGAATTCTTCTGTCTAGCAGAATATGAAGAAATCCCGTTTCCAACGAAGGCCTCAAGGAGGTCTGAATATCCACTTGCAGACTTTACAAACAGAGTGTTTCCTAACTGCTCTATGAACAGAAAGGTTAAACTCTGTGAGTTGAACGAACACATCACAACGCAGTTTGTGGGAATGATTCTGTCTAATTTTGAAACGAAGATATTTCCTTTTCTGCCATTGACCTTAATGCGCTTGAAATCTACACTTGCAAATTGCACAAATAGAGTGTTTCAAATCTGCTCTGTCTAAGGGAACGTTCAACTCTGTGAGTTGAATGCACACAACACAAGGAAGTTACTGGGAATTCTTCTGTCTAGCCTTACATGAAAAAAACCCGTTTCCAACGAAGGCCTCAAAGAGGTCTGAATATCCACGTGCAGACTTTACAAACAGAGTGTTTCCAAACCGCTGAATGAAAAGAAAAGTTAAACTCTGAGAGTTGAACGCACACATCACGCAGCAGTTTCTGAGAATGATTCTGTCTAGTTTCTTTAGGAAGATATTTCCTATTCTACCATTGACCTCAAAGCGGCTGAAATCTCCACTTGCAAATTCCACAAAAAGAGTGTTTCAAGTCTGCTCTGTGAAAAGGATCGTTCAACTCTGTGAGTTGAATACACACAACACAAGGAAGTTACTGAGAATTCTTCTTTCTAGCAGAATATGAAGAAATCCCGTTTCCAACGAAAGCCTCAAGGATGTCTGAATATCCACTTGCAGACTTTACAAACAGAGTGTTTCCTAACTGCTCTATGAAAAGAAAGGATAAACTCTGTGAGTTGAACGCACACATCACAAAGGAGTTTCTGAGAATCATTCTGTCTAGTTTCTATAGGAAGATATTTCCTATTCTACCATTGACCTCAAAGCGGCTGAAATCCCCACTTGCAAATTCCACAAAAAGAGTGTTTCAAGTCTGCTCTGTGTAAAGGATCGTTCAACTCTGTGAGTTGAATACACACAACACAAGGAAGTTACTGAGAATTCTTCTGTCTAGCAGAATATGAAGAAATCCCGCTTCCAACGAAGGCCTCAAAGAAGTCTGAATATCCGCTTGCAGACTTTACAAACAGAGTGTTTCCCAACTGCTCTATGAAAAGAAAGGTTGAACTCTGTGAGTTGAACGCACACATCACAAAGGAGTTTCTGAGAATCATTCTGTCTAGTTTTGAAACGAAGATATTTCCTTTTCTGCCATTGACCTTAAAGCGCTTGAAATCTCCATTTGCCAATTGCACAAAAAGAGTGTTTCAAATCTGCTCTGTCTAAGGGAACGTTCAACTCTGTGAGTTGAATGTACACAACACAAGGAAGTTACTGGGAATTCTTCTGTCTAGCCTTACAGGAAAAAAACCCGTTTCCAACGAAGGCCTCTAAGTGGTGAAAATATCCACGTGCAGACTTTACAAACAGAGTGTTTCCAAACTGCTGAATGAAAAGAAAAGTTAAACTCTGAGAGTTGAACACACACATCGCAGAGCAGTTTCTGAGAATGATTCTGTCTAATTTCTATATGAAGATATTTCCTATTCTACCATTGACCTCAAAGCGGCTGAAATCTCCACTTGCAAATTCCACAAAAAGAGTGTTTCAAGTCTGCTCTGTGTAAAGGATCGTTCAACTCTGTGAGTTGAATACACACAACACAAGGAAGTTACTGAGAATTCTTCTGTCTAGCATAATATGAAGAAATCCCGTTTCCAACGAAGGCCTCAAGGAGGTCTGAATATCCACTTGCAGACTTTACAAACAGAGTGTTTCCTAACTGCTCTATGAAAAGAAAGGTTAAACTGTGTGAGTTGAACGCACACATCACAAAGGAGTTTCTGAGAATCATTCTGTCTAGTTTTTATAGGAAGTTATTTCCTTTTCTACCTTTGACTTCAAAGCGGCTGAAATCTCCACTTGCAAATTCCACAAAAAGAGTGTTTCAAGTCTGCTCTGTGTAAAGGATCGTTCAACTCTGTGAGTTGAATACACACAACACAAGGAAGATTCTGAGAATTCTTCTGTCCAGCAGAATATGAAGAAATCCCGTTTCCAACGAAGGCCTCAAAGAGGTCTGAATATCCACTTGCAGACTTTACAAACAGAGTATTTCCTAACTGCTCTATGAAAAGAAAGGTTAAACTCTGTGAGTTGAACGAACACATCACAACGCAGTTTGTGGGAATGATTCTGTCTAGTTTTGAAACGAAGATATTTCCTTTTCTGCCATTGACCCTAAAGCGCTTGAAATCTCCACTTGCAAATTGCACAAAAAGAGTGTTTCAAATCTGCTCTGTCTAACGGAACGTTCAACTGTGTGAGTTGAATGCACACAACACAAGGAAGTTACTGGGAATTCTTCTGTCTAGCAGAATATGAAGAAATCCCGTTTCCAACGAAGGCCACAAGATGTCAGAATATCCACTTACAGAATTTACCAACAGAGTGTTTCCTAACTGCTCTATGAAAAGAAAGGTTAAACTCTGTGAGCTGAACGAACACATCACAACGCAGTTTGTGGGAATGATTCTGTCTAGTTTTGAAACGAAGATATTTCCTTTTCTGCCTTTGCCCTCAAAGCGCTTGAAATCTCCACTTGCAAATTCCACAAAAAGAGTGTTTCAAATCTGCTCTGTGTAAATGAAAGTTCAACTCTGTGAGTTGAACACACACAACACAAGGAAGTTACTTGGAATTCTTCTGTCTAGCATAGTATGAAGAAATCCCGTTTCCAACGAAGGCCTCAAACAGGTCTGAATATCCACTTGCAGAGTTTACACACAGAGTGTTTCCTAACTGCTCTATGAAAAGAAAGGTTAAACTCTGTGAGTTGAACGCACACATCACAAAGAAGTTTCTGAGAATCATTCTGTCTAGTTTCTATAGGAAGATATTTCCTATTCTACCATTGACCTCAAAGCGGATGAAATCTCCACTTGCAAATTCCACAAAAAGAGTGTTTCAAGACTGTTCTGTGTAAAGGATCATTCAACTCTGTGAGTTGAATACACACAACACAAGGAAGTTACTGAGAATTCTTCTGTCTAGCAGAATATGAAGAAATCCCGTTTCCAACGAAGGCCACAAGATGTCAGAATATCCACTTACAGAATTTACAAACAGACTGTTTCCTAACTGCTCTACGAAAAGAAAGGTTAAACTCTGTGAGATGAACGAACACATCACAACGCAGTTTGTGGGAATGATTCTGTCTAGTTTTTATAGGAAGATATTTCCTTTTCTACCTTTGACTTCAAAGCGGCTGAAATCTCCACTTGCAAATTCCACAAAAAGAGTGTTACAAGTCTCCTCTGTGTAAAGGATCGTTTAACTCTGTGAGTTGAATACACACAACACAAGGAAGTTACTGAGAATTCTTCTGTCTAGCCTTACTTGAAAAAAACCCGTTTCCAACGAAGGCCTCTAAGTGGTCAAAATATCCACGTGCAGACTTTACAAACAGAGTGTTTCCAAACCGCTGAATGAAAAGAAAAGTTAAACTCTGAGAGTTGAACGCACACATCACGCAGCAGTTTCTGAGAATGATTCTGTCTCGTTTTTATACGAAGATATTTCCTTTTCTGCCTTTGGCCCCAAAGCGCTTGAAATCTCCACTTGCAAATTCCACAAAAACAGTGTTTCAAATCTGCTCTCTCCAAATGAAAGTTCAACTCTGTGAGTTGAATACACACAACACAAGGAAGTTACTGAGAATTCTTCTGTCTAGCAGAATATGAAGAAATCCCGTTTCCAACGAAGGCCTCAAAGGGGTCTGAATATCCACTTGCAGACTTTATAAACAGAGTGTTTACTAACTGCTCTATGAAAAGAAAGGTTAAACTCTGTGAGTTGAACGCACACATCACAAAGGAGTTTCTGAGAATCATTATCTGTTTAGTTTTTATAGGAAGATATTTCCTTTTCTACCTTTGACTTCAAAGCGGCTGAAATCTCCACTTGCAAATTCCACAAAAAGAGTGTTACAAGTCTGCTCTGTGTAAAGGATCGTTCAACTCTGTGAGTTGAATACACACAAAACAAGGAAGTTACTGAGAATTCTTCTGTCTAGCATAATATGAAGAAATCCCGTTTCCAACGAAGGCCTCAAGGAGGTCTGAATATCCACTTGCAGACTTTACAAACAGAGTGTTTCCTAACTGCTCTATGAAAAGAGAGGTTAAACTGTGTGAGTTGAACGCACACATCACAAAGAAGTTTCTGAGAATCATTCTGTCTAGTTTTGAAACCAAGATATTTCCTTTTCTGCCGTTGACCTTAAAGAGCTTGAAAACTACACTTGCAAATTGCACAAATAGAGTGTTTCAAATCTGCTCTGTCTAAGGGAACGTTCAACTCTGTGAGTTGAATGCACACAACACAAGGAAGTTACTGGGAATTCTTCTGTCTAGCCTTACATGAAAAAATCCCGTTTCCAACGAAGGCCTCTAAGTGGTCAAATTATCCACGTGCAGACTTTACAAACAGAGTGTTTCCAAACCGCTGAATGAAAAGAAAAGTTAAACTCTGAGTGTTGAACGCACACATCACGCAGCAGTTTCTGAGAATGATTCTGTCTAGTTTTGAAACGAAGATATTTCCTTTTCTGCCTTTGGCCTCAAAGCGCTTGAAATCTCCACTTGCAAATTGCACAAAAAGAGTGTTTCAAATCTGCTCTGTGTAAATGAAAGTTCAACTCTGTGAGTTGAACACACACAACACAAGGAAGTTACTGGGAATTCTTCTTTCTAGCAGAATATGAAGAAATCCCGTTTCCAACGAAAGCCTCAAGGATGTCTGAATATCCACTTGCAGACTTTACAAACAGAGTGTTTCCTAACTGCTCTATGAAAAGAAAGGTTAAACTCTGTGAGTTGAACGCACACATCACAAAGGAGTTTCTGAGAATCACTCTGTCTAGTTTCTATAGGAAGATATTTCCTATTCTACCATTGACCTCAAAGCGGCTGAAATCTCCACTTGCAAATTCCACAAAAAGAGTGTTTCAAGTTTGCTCTGTGTAAAGGATCGTTCAACTCTGTGAGTTGAATACACACAACACAAGGAAGTTACTGAGAATTATTCTGTCTAGCAGAATATGAAGAAATCCCGTTTCCAACGAAAGCCTCAAGGAGGTCTGAATATCCACTTGCAGACTTTACAAACAGAGTGTTTCCCAACTGCTCTATGAAAAGAAAGGTTAAACTCTGTGAGTTGAACGCACACATCACAAAGGAGTTTCTGAGAATCATTCTGTCTAGTTTTGAAACGAAGATATTTCCTTTTCTGCCGTTGACCTTAAAGAGCTTGAAAACTACACTTGCAAATTGCACAAATAGAGTGTTTCAAATCTGCTCTGTCTAAGGGAACGTTCAACTCTGTGAGTTGAATGCACACAACACAAGGAAGTTACTGGGAATTCTTCTGTCTAGCCTTACATGAAAAAAACCCGTTTCCAACGAAGGCCTCTAAGTGGACAAAATTTCCACGTGCAGACTTTACAAACAGAGTGTTTCCAAACCGCTGAATGAAAAGAAAAGTTAAACTCTGAGAGTTGAACGCACACATCACGCAGCAGTTTCTGAGAATGATTCTGTCTAGTTTTTATACGAAGATATTACCTTTTCTACCATTGACCTCAACGCGGCTGAAATCTCCACTTGCAAATTCCACAAAAAGAGTGTTTCAAGTCTGCTCTGTGTAAAGGATCGTTCAACTCTGTGAGTTGAATACACACAACACAAGGAAGTTACTGAGAATTCTTCTGTCTAGCACAGTATGAAGAAATCCCGTTTCCAACGAAGGCCTCAAAGAGGTGTGAATATCCACTTGCAGAGTTTACAAACAGAGTGTTTCCTAACTGCTCTATGAAAAGAAAGGTTAAACTCTGTGAGTTGAACGCACACATCACAATGAAGTTTCTGAGAATCATTCTGTCTAGTTTTTTTACGAAGATATTTCCTTTTCTACCATTGACCTCAAAGCGGCTGAAATCACCACTTGCCAATTGCACAAAAAGAGTGTTTCAAATCTGCTCTGTCTAAGGAAACGTTCAACTCTGTGAGTTGAATGTACACAACACAAGGAAGTTACTGGGAATTCTTCTGTCTAGACTTACATGAAAAAAACCCGTTTCCAAGGAAGGCCTCTAAGTGGTCAAATTATCCACGTGCAGACTTTACAAACAGAGTGTTTCCAAACTGCTGAATGAAAAGAAAAGTTAAACTCTGAGAGTTGAACGCACACATCGCAGAGCAGTTTCTGAGAATGATTCTGTCTAGTTTTTATACGAAGATATTCCCTTTTCTACCATTGACCTCAAAGCAGCTGAAATCACCACTTGCCAATTGCACAAAAAGAGTGTTTCAAATCTGCTCTGTCTAAGGGAACGTTCAGCTCTGTGAGTTGAATGTACACAACACAAGGAAGTTACTGGGAATTCTTCTGTCTAGCCTTACATGAAAAAAACCCGTTTCCAACGAAGGCCTCTAAGTGGTCAAATTATCCACGTGGAGACTTTACAAACAGAGTGTTTCCAAACTGCTGAATGAAAAGAAAAGTTAAACTCTGAGAGTTGAACGCACACATCACAGAGCAGTTTCTGAGAATGATTCTGTCTAGTTTCTATACGAAGATATTTCATTTTCTACCATTAACCTCAAAGAGGCTGAAATCTCCACTTGCAAATTCCCCAAAAAGAGTGTTTCAAGTCTGCCCTGTGTAAAGGATCGTTCAACTCTGTGAGTTGAATACACACAACACAAGGAAGTTACTGAGAATTCTTCTGTCTAGCAGAATATGAAGAAATCCCGTTTCCATCGAAGGCCTCAAAGAGGTCTGAATATCCACTTGCAGACTTTACAAACAGAGTGTTTCCTAACTGCTCTATGAAAAGAAAGGTTAAACTCTGTGAGTTGAACGCACACATCACAAAGGAGTTTCTGAGAATCATTCTGTCTAGTTTTTATAGGAAGATATTTCCTTTTCTACCTTTGACTTCAAAGCGGCTGAAATCTCCACTTGCAAATTCCAGAAAAAGAGTGTTACATGTCTGCTCTGTGTAAAGGATCGTTCAACTCTGTGAGTTGAATACACACAACACAAGGAAGTTACTGAGAATTCTTCTGTCTAGCAGAATAGGAAGAAATCCCGTTTCCAACGAAGGCCACAAGATGTCAGAATATCCACTTACAGACTTTACAAACAGAGTGTTTCCTAACTGCTCTATGAACAGAAAGGTTAAACTCTGTGAGTTGAACGAACACATCACAACGCAGTTTGTGGGAATGATTATCTGTCTAGTTTTTATATGAAGATATTTCCTTTTCTACCATTGACCTCAAAGCGGCTGAAATCACCACTTGCCAATTGCACAAAAAGAGTGTTTCAAATCTACTCTGTCTAAGGGAACGTTCAAATGTGTGAGTTGAATGTACGCAACACAAGGAAGTTCCTGGGAATTCTTCTGTCTAGCCTTACAGGAAAAAAACCCGTTTGCAACGAAGGCCTCTAAGTGGTCAAATTATCCACGTGCAGACTTTACAAACAGATTGTTTCCAAACTGCTGAATGAAAAGAAAAGTTAAACTCTGAGAGTTGAACGCACACATCGCAGAGCAGTTTCTGAGAATGATTCTGTCTAGTTTTTATACGAAGATATTTCCTTTTCTGCATTGGCCTCAAAGCGCTTGAAATCTCCACTTGCAAATTCCACAAAAAGAGTGTTTCAAATCTGCTCTGTGTAAATGAAAGTTCAACTCTGTGAGTTGAACACACACAACACAAGGAAGTTACTGGGAATTCCTCTGTCTAGCCTTATATGAAAAAATCCCGTTTCCAACGAAGGCCTCAAAGAGGTCTGAATATCCACTTGCAGACTTTACAAACAGAGTGTTTCCTAACTGCTCTATGAAAAGAAAGGTTAAACTCAGTGAGTTGAACACACACATCACAAAGGAGTTTCTGAGAATCATTCTGTCTAGTTTCTATTGGAAGATATTTCCTATTCTACCATTGACCTCAAAGCGGCTGAAATCTCCACTTGCAAATTCCACAAAAAGAGTGTTTCAAGTCTGCTCTCTGTAAAGGATCGTTCAACTCTGTGAGTTGAATACACACAACACAAGGAAGTTACTGAGAATTGTTCTGTCTGGCAGAATATGTAGAAATCCCGTTTCCAACGAAGGCCACAAGATGTCAGAATATCCACTTACAGAATTTAACAACAGAGTGTTTCCTAACTGCTCTATGAAAAGAAAGGTTAAACTCTGTGAGTTGAACGAACACATCACAACGCAGTTTGTGGGAATGATTCTGTCTAGTTTTGAAACGAAGATATTTCCTTTTCTGCCATTGACCTTAAAGCGCTTGAAATCTCCACTTGCCAATTGCACAAAAAGAGTGTTTCAAATCTGCTCTGTCTAAGGGAACGTTCAACTCTGTGAGTTGAATGTACACAACGCAAGGAAGTTACTGGGAATTCTTCTGTCTAGCCTTACATGAAAAAAACCCGTTTCCAACGAAGGCCTCTAAGTGGTCAAATTATCCACGTGCAGACTTTACAAACAGAGTGTTTCCAAACTGCTGAATGAAAAGAAAAGTTAAACTCTGAGAGTTGAACGCACACATCACAGAGCAGTTTCTGAGAATGACTCTGTCTAGTTTTTATACGAAGATATTTCGTTTTCTGCCTTTGGCCCCAAAGCGCTTGAAATCTCCACTGGCAAATTCCACAAAAACAGTGTTTCAAATCTGCTCTCTCTAAATGAAAGTTCAACTCTGTCAGTTGAATACACACAACACAAGGAAGTTACTGAGAATTCTTCTGTCTAGCATAGTATGAAGAAATCCCGTTTCCAACGAAGGCCTCAAAGAGGTCTGAATATCCACTTGCAGAGTTTACAAATAGAGTGTTTCCTAACTGCTCTATGAAAAGAAAGGTTGAACTCTGTGAGTTGAACGCACACATCACAAAGAAGTTTCTGAGAATCATTCTGTCTAGTTTTTATAGGAAGATATTTCCTTTTCTACCTTTGACTTCAAAGCGGCTGAAATCTCCACTTGCAAATTCCACAAAAAGAGTGTTACAAGTCTGCTCTGTGTAAAGGATCGTTCAACTGTGTGAGTTGAATACACACAACACAAGGAAGTTACTGAGAATTCTTCTGTCTAGCCTTACATGAAAAAAACCTGTTTCCAACGAAGGCCTCTAAGTGGTCAAATTATGTACGTGCAGACTTTACAAACAGAGTGATTCCAAACTGCTGAATGAAAAGAAAAGTTAAACTCTGAGAGTTGAACGCACACATCGCAGAGCAGTTTCTGAGAATGATTCTGTCTAGTTTTGAAACGAAGATATTTCCTTTTCTGCCATTGACCTTAAAGCGCTTGAAATCTCCATTTGCCAATTGCACAAAAAGAGTGTTTCAAATCTGCTGTGTCTAAGGGAACTTTCAACTCTGTGAGTTGAATGTACACAACACAAGGAAGTTACTGGGAATTCTTCTGTCTAGCCTTACAGGAAAAAAACCCGTTTCCAACGAAGGCCTCTAAGTGGTCAAAATATCCACGTGCAGACTTTACAAACAGAGTGTTTCCAAACTGCTGAATGAAAAGAAAACTTAAACTCTGAGAGTTGAACGCACACATCGCAGAGCAGTTTCTGAGAATGATTCTGTCTAGTTTTTATACGAAGGATATTTCCTTTTCTGCCTTTGGCCCCAAAGCGCTTGAAATCTCCACTTGCAAATTCCACAAAAACAGTGTTTCAAATCTGCTCTCTCTAAATGAAAGTTCAACTCTGTCAGTTGAATACACACAACAGAAGGAAGTTACTGAGAATTCTTCTGTCTAGCCTTACATGAAAAAAACCCGTTTCCAACGAAGGCCTCAAAGAAGTCCAAATATCCACGTGCAGACTATACAAACAGAGTGTTTCCTAACTGCTCTATGAAAAGAAAGGTTAAACTCTGTGAGTTGAACGCAGACATCACAAAGGAGTTTCTGAGAATCATTCTGTCTAGTTTTTATACGAAGATATTTCCTTTTCTACAATTGACCTCAAAGCGGCTGAAATCTCCACTTGCAAATTCCAGAAAAAGAGTGTTTCAAGTCTGCTCTGTGTAAAGGATCGTTCAACTCTGTGAGTTGAATACACACAACACAAGGAAGTTACTGAGAATTCTTCTGTCTAGCAGAATATGAAGAAATCCCGTTTCCAACGAAGGCCACAAGATGTCAGAATATCCACTTACAGACTTTACAAACAGAGTGTTTCCTAACTCCTCTATGAACAGAAAGGTTAAACTCTGTGAGTTGAACGAACACATCACAACGCAGTTTGTGGGAATGATTCTGTCTAGTTTTGAAACGAAGATATTTCCTTTTCTGCCATTGAACTTAAAGCGCTTGAAATCTCCATTTGCCAATTGCACAAAAAGAGTGTTTCAAATCTGCTCTGTCTAAGGGAACGTTCAACTCTGTGAGTTGAATGTACACAACACAAGGAAGTTACTGGGAATTCTTCTGTCTAGCCTTACATGAAAAAAACCCGTTTCCAACGAAGGCCTCTAAGTGGTCAAAATATCCACGTGCAGACTTTACAAACAGAGTGTTTCCAAACCGCTGAATGAAAAGAAAAGTTAAACTCTGAGAGTTGAAAGCACACATCACGCAGCAGTTTCTGAGAATGATTCTGTCTAGTTTTTATACGAAGATATTTCCTTTTCTGCCTTTGGCCTCAAAGCGCTTGAAATCTCCATTTGCAAATTCCACAAAAAGAGTGTTTCAAATCTGCTCTGTGAAAATGAAAGTTCAACTCTGTGAGTTGAACACACACAACACATGGAAGTTACTGGGAATTCTTCTGTCTAGCCTTATATGAAAAAAACCCGTTTCCAACGAAGGCCTCAAAGAGGTCTGAATATCCACTTGCAGACTTTACAAACAGAGTGTTTCCTAACTGCTCTATGAAAAGAAAGGTTAAACTCTGTGAGTTGAACGCACACATCACAAAGGAGTTTCTGAGAATTATTCTGTCTAGTTTTTATAGGAAGATATTTCCTTTTCTACCTTTGACTTCAAAGCGGCTGAAATCTCCTCTTGCAAATTCCACAAAAAGAGTGTTACAAGTCTGCTCTGTGTAAAGGATCGTTCAACTCTGTGAGTTGAATACACACAACACAAGGAAGTTACTGAGAATTCTTCTGTCTAGCAGAATATGAAGAAATCCCGTTTCCAACGAAGGCCACAAGATGTCAGTATATCCACTTACAGACTTTACAAACAGAGTGTTTCCTAACTGCTCTATGAACAGAAAGGTTAAACTCTGTGAGTTGAACGAACACATCACAACGCAGTTTGTGGGAATGATTCTGTCTAGTTTTGAAACGAAGATATTTCCTTTTCTGCCATTGACCTTAAAGCGCTTGAAATCTCCATTTGCCAATTGCACAAAAAGACTGTTTCAAATCTGCTCTGTCTAAGGGAACGTTCAACTCTGTGAGTTGAATGTACACAACACAAGGAAGTTACTGGGAATTCTTCTGTCTAGCCTTATGTGAAAAAAACCCGTTTCCAACGAAGGCCTCAAAGAGGGCTGAATATCCACTTGCAGACTTTACAAGCAGAGTGTTTCCTAACTGCTCTATGAAAAGAAAGGTTAAACTCTGTGAGTTGAACGCACACATCACAAAGGAGTTTCTGAGAATCATTCTGTCTAGTTTTTATACGAAGATATTTCCTTTTCTGCCTTTGGTCCCAAAGCGCTTGAAATCTCCACTTGCAAATTCCACAAAAACAGTGTTTCAAATCTGCTCTCTCTAAATGAAACTTCAACTCTGTCAGTTGAATACACACAACAGAAGGAAGTTACTGAGAATTCTTCTGTATAGCAGAATATGAAGAAATCCCGTTTCCAACGAAGGCCTCAAGGAGGTCTGAATATCCACTTGCAGACTTTACAAACAGAGTGTTTCCTAACTGCTCTATGAAAAGAAAGGTTAAACTCTGTGAGTTGAACGCACACATCACAAAGGAGTTTCTGAGAATCACTCTGTCTAGTTTTTATACGAAGATATTCCCTTTTCTACCATTGACCTCAACGCGGCTGAAATCTCCACTTGCAAATTCCACAAAACGAGTGTTTCAAGTCCGCTCTGTGTAAAGGATCGTTCAACTCTGTGAGTTGAATACACACAACACAAGGAAGTTACTGAGAATTCTTCTGTCTAGCAGAATATGAAGAAATCCCGTTTCCAACGAAGGCCACAAGATGTCAGAATATCCACTTACAGAATTTACAAACAGAGTGTTTCCTAACTGCTCTATGAAAAGAAAGGTTAAACTCTGTGAGATGAACGAACACATCACAACGCAGTTTGTGGGAATGATTCTGTCTAGTTTTTATAGGAAGTTATTTCCTTTTCTAACTTTGACTTCAAAGCGGCTGAAATCTCCACTTGCAAATTCCACAAAAAGAGTGTTACAAGTCCGCTCTGTGTAAAGGATCGTTCAACTCTGTGAGTTGAATACACACAACACAAGGAAGTTACTGAGAATACTTCTGTCTAGCCTTACATGAAAAAAACCCATTTCCAACAAAGGCCTCTAAGTGGTCAAGTTATCCACGTGCAGACTTTACAAACAGAGTGTTTCCAAACTGCTGAATGAAAAGAAAAGTTAAACTCTGAGAGTTGAACGCACACATCGCAGAGCAGTTTCTGAGAATGATTCTGTCTAGTTTTTATACGAAGATATTTCCTTTTCTGCCTTTGGCCTCAAAGCGCTTGAAATCTCCACTTGCAAATTCCACAAAAAGAGTGTTTCAAATCTGCTCTGTGTAAATGAAAGTTCAACTCTGTGAGTCGAACACACACAACACAAGGAAGTTACTGGGAATTCTTCTGTCTAGCATAATATGAAGACATCCCGTTTCCAACGAAGGCCTGAAAGAGGTCTGAATATCCACTTGCAGACTTTACAAACAGAGTGTTTCCTAACTGCTCTATGAAAAGAAAGGTTAAACTCTGTGAGTTGAACGCACACATCACAAAGGAGTTTCTGAGAATCATTCTGTCTAGTTTCTATAGGAAGATATTTCCTATTCTACCATTGACCTGAAAGCGGCTGAAATCTCCACTTGCAAATTCCACAAAAAGAGTGTTTCAAGTCTGCTCTGTGTAAAGGATCGTTCAACTCTGTGAGTTGAATACACACAACACAAGGAAGTTACTGAGAATTCTTCTGTCTAGCAGAATATGAAGAAATCCCGTTTCCAACGAATGCCACAAGATGTCAGAATATCCACTTACAGAATTGACAAACAGACTGTTTCCTAACTGCTCTATGAAAAGAAAGGTTAAACTCTGTGAGTTGAACGAACACATCACAACGCTGTTTGTGGGAATGATTCTGTCTAGTTTTGAAACGAAGATATTTCCTTTTCTGCCATTGACCTTAAAGCGCTTGAAATCTACACTTGCAAATTGCACAAATAGAGTGTTTCAAATCTGCTCTGTCTAAGGGAAAGTTCAGCTCTGTGAGTTGAATGCACACAACACAAGGAAGTTACTGGGAATTCTTCTGCCTAGCATTACATGAAAAAAACCCGTTTCCAACGAAGGCCTCTAAGTGGTCAAAATATCCACGTGCAGACTTTACAAACAGAGTGTTTCCAAACTGCTGAATGAAAAGAAAAGTTAAACACTGAGAGTTGAACGCACACATCACAGTGCAGTTTCTGAGGATGATTCTGTCTAGTTTTTATACGAAGATATTTCCTTTTCTGCCTTTGGCCCCAAAGCGCTTGAAATCTCCACTTGCAAATTCCACAAAAACAGTGTTTCAAATCTGCTCTCTCTAAATGAAAGTTCAACTCTGTCATTTGAATACACACAACACCAAGGAAGTTACTGAGAATTCTTCTGTCTAGCATAATATGAAGAAATCCCTTTTCCAACGAAGGCCTCAAAGAGGTCTGAATATCCACTTGCACACTTTACAAACAGAGTGTTTCCTAACTGCTCTATGAGAAGAAAAGTTAAACTCTGTGAGTTGAACGCACACATCACAAAAGATTTTCTTAGAATCATTCTGTCTAGTCTTTATACGAAGATATTTCCTTTTCTACCATTGACCTCAAAGCGGCTGAAATCTCCACTTGCAATTCCACAAAAAGAGTGTTTCAAGTCTGCTCTGTGTAAAGGATCGTTCACCTCTGTGAGTTGAATACACACAACACAAGGAAGTTACTGAGAATTCTTCTGTCTAGCAGAATATGAAGAAATCCCGCTTCCAACGAAGGCCTCAAAGAAGTCTGAATATCCACTTGCAGACTTTACAAACAGAGTGTTTCCTAACTGCTCTATGAAAAGAAAGGTTAAACTGTGTGAGTTGAACGCACACATCACAAAGGAGTTTCTCAGAATCATTCTGTCTAGTTTTGAAACGAAGATATTTCCTTTTCTGCCATTGACCTTAATGCGCTTGAAATCTACACTTGCAAATTGCACAAATAGAGTGTTTCAAATCTGCTCTGTCCAAGGGAACGTTCAACTCTGTGAGTTGAATGCACACAACACAAGGAAGTTACTGGGAATTCTTCTGTCTAGCCTTACATGAAAAAAACCCGTTTCCAACGAAGGCCTCTAAGTGGTCAAGTTATCCACGTGCAGACTTTACAAACAGAGTGTTTCCAAACTGCTGAATGAAAAGAAAAGTTAAACTCTGAGAGTTGAACGCACACATTGCAGAGCAGTTTCTGAGAATGATTCTGTCTATTTTTTTACGAAGATATTTCCTTTTCTGCCTTTGGCCTCAAAGCGCTTGAAATCTCCACTTGCAAATTCCACAAAAAGAGTGTTTCAAATCTGCTCTGTGTAAATGAAAGTTCAACTCTGTGAGTTGAACACACACAACACAAGGAAGTTACTGGGAATTCTTCTGTCTAGCATAATATGAAGAAATCCCGTTTCCAACGAAGGCCTCAAAGGGGTCTGAATATCCACTTGCAGACGTTATAAACAGAGTGTTTACTAACTGCTCTATGAAAAGAAAAGTTAAACTCTGTGTGTTGAACGCACACATCACAAAGGAGTTTCTGAGAATCATTCTGTCTAGTTTTTCTACGAAGATATTTCCTTTTCTACTATTGACCTCAAAGCGGCTGAAATCTCCACTTGCAAATTCCACAAAAAGAGTGTTTCAAGTCTGCTCTGTGTAAAGGATCGTTCAACTCTGTGAGTTGAATACACACAACACAAGGAAGTTACTGAGAATCTTCTGTCTAGCAGAATATGAAGAAATCCCGTTTCCAACGAAGGCCTCAAAGAGGTCTGAATATCCACTTGCAGACTTTACAAACAGAGTGTTTCCTAACTGCTCTATGAAAAGAAAAGTTAAACTCTGTGAGTTGAACGCACACATCACAACGCAGTTTGTGGGAATGATTCTGTCTAGTTTTGAAACGAAGATATTCCCTTTTCTGCCATTGACCTTAAAGCGCTTGAAATCTACACTTGCAAATTGCACAAATAGAGTGTTTCAAATCTGCTCCGTCTAGGGAACGTTCAACTCTGTGAGTTGAATGCACACAACACAAGGAAGTTACTGGGAATTCTTCTGTCTAGCCTTACATGAAAAAAAAACCGTTTCCAAAGAAGGCCTCTAAGTGGTCAAATTATCCACGTGCAGACTTTACAAACAGAGTGTTTCCAAACTGCTGAATGAAAAGAAAAGTTAAACTCGGAGAGTTGAACGCACACATCGCAGAGCAGTTTCTGAGAATGATTCTGTCTAGTTTTTATACGAAGATATTTCCTTTTCTGCCTTTGGCCTGAAAGGGCTTGAAATCTCCATTTGCAAATTCCACAAAAAGAGTGTTTCAAATCTGCTCTGTGTAAATGAAAGTTCAACTCTGTGAGTTGAATCCACACAACACAAGGAAGTTACTGGGAATTCTTCTGTCTAGCAGAATATGAAGAAATCCCGTTTCCAACGAAGGCCTCAAAGGGGTCTGAATATCCACTTGCAGACATTATAAACAGAGTGTTTACTAACTGCTCTATGAAAAGAAAGGTTAAACTCTGTGAGTTGAACACACACATCACAAAGGAGTTTCTGAGAATCATTCTGTCTAGTTTTTCTACGAAGATATTTCCTTTTCCACTATTGACCTCAAAGCGGCTGAAATCTCCACTTGCAAATTCCACAAAAAGAGTGTTTCAAGTCTGCTCTGTGTAAAGGATCGTTCCACTCTGTGAGTTGAATACACACAACACAAGGAAGTTACTGAGAATTCTTCTGTCTAGCAGAATATGAAGAAATCCCGTTTCCAAAGAAGGCCTCAAAGAGGTCTGAATATCCACTTGCAGACTTTACAAACAGAGTGTTTCCTAACTGCTCTATGAAAAGAAATGTTAAACTCTGTGAGTTGAACGCACACATCACAAAGGATTTTCTGAGAATCATTCTGTCTAGTTTTTATAGGAAGATATTTACTTTTCTACCTTTGACTTCAAAGCGGCTGAAATCTCCACTTGCAAATTCCACAAAAAGAGTGTTACAAGTCTGCTCTGTGTAAAGGATCGTTCAATTCTGTGAGTTGAATACACACAACACAAGGAAGTTACTGAGAATTCTTCTGTCTAGCCTTACATGAAAAAATCCCGTTTCCAACGAAGGCCTCTAAGTGGTCAAGTTATCCACGTGCAGACTTTACAAACAGAGTGTTTCCAAACTGCTGAATGAAAAGAAAAGTTAAACTCTGAGAGTTGAACGCACACATCGCAGAGCAGTTTCTGAGAATGATTCTGTCTAGTTTTTATAAGTAAGCATATTTCCTTTTCTGCCTTTGGCCTCAAAGCGCTTGAAATCTCCATTTGCAAATTATACAAAAAGAGTGTTTCAAATCTGCTCTGTGTAAATGAAAGTTCAACTCTGTGAGTTGAACACACACAACACAAGGAAGTTACTGGGAATTCTTCTGTCTAGCAGAATATGAAGAAATCCCGTTTCCAAAGAAGGCCTCAAAGAGGTCTGAATATCCACTTGCAGACTTTACCAACAGAGTGTTTCCTAACTGCTCTATGAAAAGAAAGGTTAAACTCTGTGAGTTGAACGCACACATCACAAAGGAGTTTCTGAGAATCATTCTGTCTAGTTTCTATAGGAAGATATTTCCTATTCTACCATTGACCTCAAAGCGGCTGAAATCTCCACTTGCAAATTTCACAAAAAGAGTGTTTCAAGTCTGCTCTGTGTAAAGGATCGTTCAACTCTGTGAGTTGAATACACACAACACAAGGAAGTTACTGAGAATTCTTCTGTCTAGCATAATATGAAGAAATCCCCTTTCCAACGAAGGCCTCAAGGAGGTCTGAATATCCACTTGCAGACTTTACTAACAGAGTGCTTCCTAACTGCTCTATGAAAAGAAAGGTTAAACTCTGTGAGTTGAACGCACACATCACAAAGGAGTTTCTGAGAATCATTCTGTCAAGTTTTGAAACGAAGATATTTCCTTTTCTGCCATTGACCTTAAAGCGCTTGAAATCTACACTTGCAAATTGCACAAATAGAGTGTTTCAAATCTGCTCTGTCTAAGGGAACTGTTCAACTCTGTGAGTTGAATGCACACAACACAAGGAAGTTACTGGGAATTCTTCTGTCTAGCCTTACATGAAAAAACCCGTTTCCAACGAAGGCCTCTAAGTGGTCAAAATATCCACGTGCAGACTTTACAAACAGAGTGTTTCCAAACCGCTGAATGAAAAGAAAAGTTAAACTCTGAGAGTTGAACGCACACATCACGCAGCAGTTTCTGAGAATGATTCTGTCTAGTTTTTATTCGAAGATATTTCCTTTTCTACCATTGACCTCAAAGCGGCTGAAATCTCCACTTGCAAATTACACAAAAAGAGTGTTTCAAGTCTACTCTGTGTAAAGCATCGTTCAACTCTGTGAGTTGAAAACACACAACACAAGGAAGTTTCTGAGAATTCTTCTGTCTAGCAGAACATGAAGAAATCCCGTTTCCAACGAAGGCCTCAAAGATGTCTGAATATCTACTTGCAGACTTTACAAACAGAGTGTTTCCTAACTGCTCTATGAAAAGAAAGGTTAAACTCTGTGAGTTGAACGCACACATCACAAAGGAGTTTCTGAGAATCATTCTGTCTAGTTTCTATAGGAAGATATTTCCTATTCTACCATTGAGCTCAAAGCGGCTGAAATCTCCACTTGCAAATTCCACAAAAAGAGTGTTTCAAGTCTGCTCTGTGTAAAGGATCGTTCAACTCTGTGAGTTGAAAACACACAACACAAGGAAGTTACTGAGAATTCTTCTGTCTAGCAGAATATGAAGAAATCCCGTTTCCAACGAAGGCCTGAAGGAGGTCTGAATATCCACTTGCAGACTTTACAAACAGAGTGTTTCCTAACAGCTCTTTGAACAGAAAGGTTAAACTCTGTGAGTTGAACGCACACATCACAAAGGAGTTTCTGAGAATCATTCTGTCTAGTTTTGAAACGAAGATATTTCCTTTTCTGCCGTTGACCTTAAAGCGCCTGAAATCTACACTTGCAAATTGCACAAATAGAGTGTTTCAAATCTGCTCTGTCTAAGGGAACGTTCAACTCTGTGAGTTGAATGCACACAACACAAGGAAGTTACTGGGAATTCTTCTGTCTAGCCTTACATGAAAAAAAACCCGTTTCCAACGAAGGCCTCTAAGTGGTCAAAATATCCACGTGCAGTCTATACAAACAGAGTTTTTCCAAACCGCTGAATGAAAAGAAAAGTTAAACTCTGAGAGTTGAACGCACACATCACGCAGCAGTTTCTGAGAATGATTCTGTCTAGTTTTTATACGAAGATATTTCCTTTTCTGCCTTTGGCCACAAAGCGCTTGAAATCTCCATTTGCAAATTCCACAAAAAGAGTGTTTCAAATCTGCTCTGTGTAAATGAAAGTTCAACTCTGTGAGTTGAACACACACAACACAAGGAAGTTACTGGGAATTCTTCTGTCTAGCCTTACATGAAAAAAACCCGTTTCCAACGAAGGCCTCAAGGAGGTCTGAATATCCACTTGCAGACTTTACAAACAGAGTGTTTCCTAACTGCTCTATGAAAAGAAAGGTTAAACTCTGTGAGTTGAACGCATACATCACAAAGGAGTTTCTGAGAATCATTCTGTCTACTTTCTATAGGAAGATATTTCCTATTCTACCATTGACTTCAAAGCGGCTGAAATCTCCACTTGCAAATTCCACAAAAGGAGTGTTTCAAGTCTGCTCTGTGTAAAGGATCGTTCAACTCTGTGAGTTGAAAACACACAACACAAGGAAGTTTCTGAGAATTCTTCTGTCTAGCAGAATATGAAGAAATCCCGTTTCCAACGAAGGCCACAAGATGTCAGAATATCCACTTACAGAATTTTCAAAGAGACTGTTTCCTAACTGCTCTATGAAAAGAAAGGTTAAACTCTGTGAGTTGAACGAACACATCACAACGCAGTTTGTGGGAATGATTCTGTCTAGTTTTGAAACGAAGATATTTCCTTTTCTGCCATTGACCTTAAAGCGCTTGAAATCTCCACTTGTCAATTGCACAAAAAGAGTGTTTCAAATCTGCTCTGTCTAAGGGAACGTTCAACTCTGTGAGTTGAATGTACACAACACAAGGAAGTTACTGGGAATTCTTCTGTCTAGCCTTACATGAAAAAAACCCGTTTCCAACGAAGGCCTCTAAGTGGTCAAAATATCCACGTGCAGACTTTACAAACAGAGTGTTTCCAAACCGCTGAATGAAAAGAAAAGTTAAACTCTGAGAGTTGAACGCACACATCACACAGCAGTTTCTGAGAATGATCTGTCTAGTTTTTATACGAAGATATTTCCTTTTCTGCCTTTGGCCCCAAAGCGCTTGAAATCTCCACTTGCAAATTCCACAAAAACAGTGTTTCAAATCTGCTCTCTCTAAATGAAAGTTCAACTCTGTCAGTTGAATACACACAACACAAGGAAGTTACTGAGAATTCTTTCCGTCTAGCCTTACATGAAAAAAACCCGTTTCCAACGAAGGCCTCAAAGAAGTCCAAATATCCACGTGTAGACTTTACAAACAGAGTGTTTCCTAACTGCTCTATGAAAAGAAAGGTTAAACTCTGTGAGTTGAACGCCCACATCACAAAGGAGTTTCTGAGAATCATTCTGTCTAGTTTCTATAGGAAGATATTTCCTATTCTACCATTGACCTCAAAGCAGCAGAAATCTCCACTTGCAAATTCCACAAAAAGAGTGTTTCAAGACTGCTCTGTGTAAAGGATCGTTCAACTCTGTGAGTTGAATACACACAACACAAGGAAGTTACTGAGAATTCTTCTGTCTAGCAGAATATGAATAAATCCCGTTTCCAACGAAGGCCACAAGATGTCAGAATATCCACTTACAGACTTTACAAACAGAGTGTTTCCTAACTGCTCTATGAACAGAAAGGTTATACTCTGTGAGTTGAACGAACACATCACAACGCAGTTTGTGGGAATGATTCTGTCTAGTTTTGAAACGAAGATATTTCCTTTTCTGCCCTTGACCTTAAAGCGCTTGAAATCTACAATTGCAAATTGCACAAATAGAGTGTTTCAAATCTGCTCTGTCTAAGGGAACGTTCAACTCTGTAAGTTGAATGCACACAACACAAGGAAGTTACTGGGAATTCTTCTGTCTAGCCTTACATGAAAAAAACCCGTTTCCAACGAAGGCCTCTAAGTGGTCAAAATTTCCACGTGCAGACTTTACAAACAGAGTGTTTCCAAACCGCTGAATGAAAAGAAAAGTTAAACTCTGAGAGTTGAACGCACACATCACGCAGCAGTTTCTGAGAATGATTCTGTCTAGTTTTTATACGAAGATATTTCCTTTTCTGCCTTTGGCCCCAAAGCGCTTGAAATCTCCACTTGCAAATCCCACAAAAACAGTGTTTCAAATCTGCTCTCTCTAAATGAAAGTTCAACTCTGTCAGTTGAATACACACAACACAAGGAAGTTACTGAGAATTCTTCTGTCTAGCATAATATGAAGAAATCCCGTTTCCAACGAAGGCCTCAAAGAGGTCTGAATATCCACTTGCAGACTTTACAAACAGAGTGTTTCCTAACGGCTCTATGAACAGAAAGGTTAAACTCTGTGAGTTGAACGCACACATCACAAAGGAGTTTCTGAGAATCATTCTGTCTAGTCTTTATAGGAAGATATTTACTTTTCTACCATTGACCTCAAAGCGGCTGAAATCTCCACTTGCAAATTCCACAAAAAGAGTGTTTCAAGTCTACTCTGTGTAAAGGATCATTCAACTCTGTGAGTTGAATAAACACAACACAAGGAAGTTACTGAGAATTCTTCTGTCTAGCAGAATATGAAGAAATCCCGTTTACAACGAAGGCCACAAGATGTCAGAATATCCACTTACAGACTTTACAGAGTGTTTCCTAACTGCTCTATGAACAGAAAGGTTAAACTCTGTGAGTTGAACGAACACATCACAACGCAGTTTGTGGGAATGATTCTGTCTAGTTTTGAAACGAAGATATTTCCTTTTCTGCCATTGACCTTAAAGCGCTTGAAATCTACACTTGCAAATTGCACAAATAGATTGTTTCAAATCTGCTCTGTCTAAGGGAACGTTCAACTCTGTGAGTTGAATGCATACAACACAAGGAAGTTACTGGGAATTCTTCTGTCTAGCCTTACATGAAAAAAACCCGTTTCCAACGAAGGCCTCTAAGTGGTCAAAATGTCCACGTGCAGACTTTACAAACAGAGTGTTTCCAAACCGCTGAATGAAAAGAAAAGTTAAACTCTGAGAGTTGAACGCACACATCAAGCAGCAGTTTCTGAGAATGATTCTGTCTAGTTTTGAAACGGAGATATTTCCTTTTCTGCCTTTGGCCTCAAAGCGCTTGAAATCTCCACTTGCAAATTCCACAAAAAGAGTGTTTCAAATCTGCTCTGTGCAAATGAAAGTTCAACTCTGTGAGTTGAACACACACAACACAAGGAAGTTACTGGGAATTCTTCTGTCTAGCATAATATGAAGAAATCCCGTTTCCAACGAAGGACTCAAAGGGGTCGGAATATCCACTTGCAGACTTTATAAACAGAGTGTTTACTAACTGCTCTTGAAAAGAAAGGTTAAACTCTGTGAGTTGAACACACACATCACAAAGGAGTTTCTGAGAATCACTCTGTCTAGTCTTTATACGAAGATATTTCCTTTTCTACCATTGACCTCAAAGCGGCTGAAATCTCCACTTGCAAATTCCACAAAAAGAGTGTTTCAAGTCTGCTCTGTGTAAAGGATCGTTCAACTCTGTGAGTTGAATACACACAACCCAAGGAAGTTACTGAGAATTCTTCTGTCTAGCATAGTATGAAGAAATCCCGTTTCCAACGAAGGCCTCAAAGAGGTCTGAATATCCACTTGCAGAGTTTACAAACAGAGTGTTTCCTAACTGCTCTATGAAAAGAAAGGTTAAACTCTGTGAGTTGAACGCAAACATCACAAAGAAGTTTCTGAGAATCATTCTGTCTAGTTTTGAAACGAAGATATTTCCTTTTCTGCCATTGACCTTAAAACGCTTGAAATCTACAATTGCAAATTGCACAAATAGAGTGTTTCAAATCTGCTCTGTCTAAGGGAACGTTCAACTCTGTGAGTTGAATGCACACAACACAAGGAAGTTACTGGGAATTCTTCTGTCTAGCCTTACATGAAAAAATCCCGTTTCCAACGAAGGCCTCTAAGTGGTCAAAATATCCACGTGCAGACTTTACAAACAGAGTGTTTCCAAACCGCTGAATGAAAAGAAAAGTTAAACTCTGAGAGTTGAACGCACACATCACGCAGCAGTTTCTGAGAATGATTCTGTCTAGTTTTTATACGAAGATATTTCCTTTTCTGCCTTTGGCCTCAAAGCGCTTGAAATCTCCATTTGCAAATTCCACAAAAAGAGTGTTTCAAATCTGCTCTGTGTAAATGAAAGTTCAACTCTGTGAGTTGAACACACACAACACAATGAAGTTACTGGGAATCTCTTCTGTCTAGCAGAATATGAAGAAATCCCGTTTCCACCGAAGACCTCAAGTAGGTCTGAATATCCACTTGCAGAATTTACAAACAGAGTGTTTCCTAACTGCTCTATGAACAGAAAGGGTAAACTCTGTGAGTTGAACGCACACATCACAAAGGACTTTCTGAGAATCATTCTGTCTAGTTTTTATACGAAGATATTTCCTTTTCTACCATTGACCTCAACGCGGCTGAAATCTCCAGTTGCAAATTCCACAAAAAGAGTGTTTCAAGTCTGCTCTGTGTAAAGGATCGTTCAACTCTGTGAGTTGAATACACACAACTCAAGGAAGTTACTGAGAATTCTTCTGTCTAGCAGAATATGAAGAAATCTCGTTTCCAAAGAAGGCCACAAGATGTCAGAATATCCACTTACAGAATTTACAAACAGAGTTTTTCCTAACTGCTCTATGAAAAGAAAGGTTAAACTCTGTGAGTTGAACGAACACATCACAACGCAGTTTGTGGGAATGATTCTGTCTGGTTTTGAAACGAAGATATTTCCTTTTCTGCCATTGACATTAAGCGCTTGAAATCTCCACTTGCCAATTTCACAAAAAGAGTGTTTCAAATCTGCTCTGTCTAAGGGAACGTTGAACTCTGTGAGTTGAATGTACACAACACAAGGAAGTTACTGGGAAATATTCTGTCTAACCTTACATGACAAAAGCCCGCTTCCAACGAAGGCCTCTAAGTGGTCAAAATATCCACGTGCAGACTTTACAAACAGAGTGTTTCCAAACTGGTGAATGAAAAGAAAAGTTAAACTCTGAGAGCTGAATGCACACATCGGAGAGCAGTTTCTGAGAATGATTCTGTCTAGTTTTTATACGAAGATATTTCCTTTTCTGCCTTTGGCCTCAAAGCGCTTGAAATCTCCATTTGCAAATTCCACAAAAAGAGTGTTTCAAATCTGCTCTGTGTAAATGAAAGTTCAGCTCTGTGAGTTGAACACACACAACACAAGGAAGTTACTGGGAATTCTTCTGTCTAGCAGAACATGAAGAAATCCCGCTTCCAACGAAGGCCTCAAAGAAGTCTGAATATCCACTTGCAGACTTTACAAACAGAGTGTTTCCCAACTGCTCTATGAAAAGAAAGGTTGAACTCTGTGAGCTGAACGCACACATCACAAAGGAGTTTCTGAGAATCATTCTGTCTAGTTTCTATAGGAAGATATTTCCTATTCTACCATTGACCTCAAAGCGGCAGAAATCTCCACTTGCAAATTCCACAAAAAGAGTGTTTCAAGACTGCTCTGTGTAAAGGATCGTTCAACTCTGTGAGTTGAATACACACAACACAAGGAAGTCACTGAGAATTCTTCTGTCTAGCAGAATATGAAGAAATCCCGTTTCCAACGAAGGCCACAAGATGTCAGAATATCCACTTACAGACTTTACAAACAGAGTGTTTCCTAACTGCTCTATGAACAGAAAGTTTAAACTCTGTGTGTTGAACGCACACATCACAAAGTAGTTTATGAGAATCATTCTGTCTAGTTTCTATAGGAAGATATTTCCTATTCTACCATTGACCTCAAAGCGGCTGAAATCTCCACTTGCAAATTCCACAAAAAGAGTGTTTCAAGTCTGCTCTCTGTAAAGGATCGTTCAACTCTGTGAGTTGAATACACACAACAAAAGCAAGTTACTGAGAATTATTCTGTCTAGCCTTACATGAAAAAAACCCGTTTCCAACGAAGGCCTCTAAGTGGTCAAAATATCCACGTGCAGACTTTACAAACAGAGTGTTTCCAAACCGCTGAATGAAAAGAAAAGTTAAACTCTGAGAGTTGAACGCACACATCACGCAGCAGTTTCTGAGAATGATTCTGTCTAGTTTTTATACGAAGATATTTCCTTTTCTGCCTTTGGCCTCAAAGCGCTTGAAATCTCCACTTGCAAATTCCACAAAAAGAGTGTTTCAAATCTGCTCTGTGTAAATGAAAGTTCAACTCTGTGAGTTAAAAAACACACAACACAAGGAAGTTACTGGGAATTCTTCTGTCTAGCAGAATATGAAGAAATCCCGTTTCCACCGAAGGCCTCAAAGAGGTCTGAATATCCACTTGCAGACTTTACAAACAGAGTGTTTCCTAACTGCTCTATGAAAACAAAAGTTAAACTCTGTGAGTTGAACGCACACATCACAAAGGAGTTTATGAGAATCATTCTGTCTAGTTTTTCTACGAAGATATTTCCTTTTCTACTATTGACCTCAAAGCGGCTGAAATCTCCACTTGCAAATTCCACAAAAAGAGTGTTTCAAGTCTGCTCTGTGTAAAGGATCGTTCAACTCTGCGAGTTGAATACACACAACACAAGGGAAGTTACTGAGGAATTCTTCTGTCTAGCAGAACATGAAGAAATCCCGCTTCCAACGAAGGCCTCAAAGAAGTCTGAATATCCACTTGCAGACTTTACAAACAAAGTGTTTCCTAACTGCTCTATGAAAAGAAAGGTTGAACTCTGTGAGTTGAACGCACACATCACAAAGGAGTTTCTGAGAATCATTCTGTCTAGTTTTGAAACGAAGATATTTCCTTTTCTGCCGTTGACCTTAAAGCGCTTGAAATCTACACTTGCAAATTGCACAAATAGAGTGTTTCAAATCTGCTCTGTCTAAGGGAACGTTCAACTCTGTGAGTTGAATGCACACAACACAAGGAAGTTACTGGGAATTCTTCTGTCTAGCCTTATATGAAAAAAACCCGTTTCCAACGAAGGCATCAAAGAGGTCTGAATATCCACTTGCAGACTTTACAAACAGAGTGTTTCCTAACTGCTCTATGAAAAGAAAGGTTAAACTCTGTGAGTTGAACGCACACATCACAAAGGAGATTCTGAGAATCATTCTGTCTAGTCTTTATACGAAGATAATTCCTTTTCTACCATTGACCTCAAAGCGGCTGAAATCTCCACTTGCAAATTCCACAAAAAGAGTGTTTCAAGTCTGCTCTGTGTAAAGGATCGTTCAACTCTGTGAGTTGAATACACACAACACAAGGAAGTTACTGAGAATTCTTCTGTCTAGCAGAATATGAAGAAATCCCGTTTCCAACGAAGGCCTCAAGGAGGTCTGAATATCCACTTGCAGACTTTACAAACAGAGTGTTTCCTAACTGCTCTATGAAAATAAAAGTTAAACTCTGTGAGATGAACGCACACATCACAAAGGAGTTTATGAGAATCATTCTGTCTAGTCTTTATATGAAGATAGTTTCCTTTTCTACCATTGACCTCAAAGCGGCTGAAATCTCCACTTGCAAATTCCCCAAAAAGAGTGTTTCAAGTCTGCTCTGTGTAAAGGATCGTTCAACTCTGTGAGTTGAATACACACAACACAAGGAAAGTTACTGAGAATTCTTCTGTCTAGCAGAATATGAAGAAATCCCGTTTCCAACTAAGGCCACAAGATGTCAGAATATCCACTTACAGAATTGACAAACAGACTGTTTCCTAACTGCTCTATGAAAAGAAAGGTTAAACTCTGTGAGTTGAACAAACACATCACAACGCAGTTTGTGGGAATGATTCTCTCTAGTTTTGAAACGAAGATATTTCCTTTTCTGCCATTGACCTTAAAGCGCTTGAAATCTCCACTTGCCAATTGCACAAAAAGAGTGTTTCAAATCTGCTCTGTCTAAGGGAACGTTCAACTCTGTGAGTTGAATGTACACAACACAAGGAAGTTACTGGGAACTCTTCTGTCTAGCCTTACATGCAAAAAAACCGTTTCCAACGAAGGCCTCTAAGTGGTCAAAATATCCACGTGCAGACTTCACAAACAGAGTGTTTCCAAACCGCTGAATGAAAAGAAAAGTTAAACTCTGAGAGTTGAACGCACACATCACGCAGCAGCTTCTGAGAATGATTCTGTCTGGTTTTGAAACGAAGATATTTCCTTTTCTGCCTTTGGCCTCAAAGCGCTTGAAATCTCCACTTGCAAATTCCACAAAAAGAGAGTTTCAAATCTGCTCTGTGTAAATGAAAGTTCAACTCTGTGAGTTGAACACACACAACACAAGGAAGTTACTGGGAATTCTTCTGTCTAGCATAATATGAAGAAATCAAGTTTCCAACGAAGGCCTCAAAGAGGTCTGAATATCCACTTGCAGACTTTACAAACAGAGTGGTTCCTAACTGCTCTATGAGAAGAAAAGTTAAACTCTGTGAGTTGAACGCACACATCACAAAAGATTTTCTGAGAATCATTCTGTCTAGTCTCTATATGAAGATAGTTTCCTTTTCTACCATTGACCTCAAAGCGGCTGAAATCTCCACTTGCAAATTCCACAAAAAGAGTGTTTCAAGTCTGCTCTGTGTAAAGGATCGTTCAACTCTGTGAGTTGAATACACACAACACAAGGAAGTTACTGAGAATTCTTCTGTCTAGCAGAATATGAAGAAATCCCGTTTCCAACGAAGGCCACAAGATGTCAGAATATCCACTTACAGAATTGACAAACAGACTGTTTCCTAACTGCTCTATGAAAAGAAAGGTTAAACTCTGTGAGTTGAATGAACACATCACAACGCAGTTTGTGGGAATGATTCTGTCTAGTTTTGAAAGGAAGATATTTCCTTTTCTGCCATTGACCTTAAAGCGCTTGAAATCTACACTTGCAAATTGCACAAATAGAGTGTTTCAAATCTGCTCTGTCTAAGGGAACGTTCAACTCTGTGAGTTGAATGCACACAACACAGGGAAGTTACTGGGAATTCTACTGTCTAGCCTTACAGGAAAAAAACCCGTTTCCAACGAAGGCCTCTAAGTGGTCAAAATATCCACGTGCAGACTTTACAAACAGAGTGTTTCCAAACTGCTGAATGAAAAGAAAAGTTAAACTCTGAGAGTTTAACGCACACATCGCAGAGCAGTTTCTGAGAATGATTCTGTCTAGTTTTTATACGAAGATGTTTCCTTTTCTGCCTTTGGCCCCAAAGCGTTTGAAATCTCCACTTGCAAATTCCACAAAAACAGTGTTTCAAATCTGCTCCCTCTAAATGAAATTTCAACTCTGTCAGTTGAATACACACAACACAAGGAAGTTACTGAGAATTCTTCTGTCTAGAACATGAAGAAATCCCGCTTCCAACGAAGGCCTCAAAGAAGTCTGAATATCCACTTGCAGACTTTACAAACAGAGTGTTTCCCAACTGCTCTATGAAAAGAAAGGTTGAACTCTGTGAGTTGAACGCACACATCACAAAGGAGTTTCTGAGAATCATTCTGTCTAGTTTTTATAGGAAGATATTTCCTTTTCTACCTTTGACTTCAAATCGGCTGAAATCTCCACTTGCAAATTCCACAAAAAGAGTGTTACAAGTCTGCTCTGTGTAAAGGATCGTTCAACTCTGTGAGTTGAATACACACAACACAAGGAAGTTACTGAGAATTCTTCTGTCTAGCAGAATATGAAGAAATTCCGTTTCCAACGAAGGCCGCAAGATGTCAGAATATCCACTTGCAGACTTTACAAACAGAGTGTTTCCTAACTGCTCTATGAACAGAAAGGTTAAAATCTGTGAGTTGAACGAGCACTTCACAACGCAGTTTGTGGGAATGATTCTGTCTAGTTTTGAAACGAAGAAATTTCCTTTTCTGCCATTGACCTTAAAGCGCTTGAAATCTACACTTGCAAATTGCACAAATAGAGTGTTTCAAATCTGCTCTGTCTAAGGGAACGTTCAACTCTGTGAGTTGAATGCACACAACACAAGGAAGTTACTGGGAATTCTTCTGTCTAGCCTTACATGAATAAAACCCGTTTCCAACGAAGGCCTCTAAGTGGTCAAAATATCCACGTGCAGACTTTACAAACAGAGTGTTTCCAAACCGCTGAATGAAAAGAAAAGTTAAACTCTGAGAGTTGATCGCACACATCACGCAGCAGTTTCTGAGAATGATTCTGTCTAGTTTTGAAACGAAGATATTTCCTTTTCTGCCTTTGGCCTCAAAGCGCTTGAAATCTCCACTTGCAAATTCCACAAAAAGAGTGTTTCAAATCTGCTCTGTGTAAATGAAAGTTCCACTCTGTGAGTTGAACACACACAACACAAGGAAGTTACTGGGAATTCTTCTGTCTAGCAGAATATGAAGAAATCCCGTTTCCAACGAAGGCCTCAAAGAGGTCTGAATATCCACTTGCAGACTTTACAAAGAGAGTGTTTCCTAACTGCTCTTTGAAAAGAAAAGTTAAACTCTGTGAGTTGAACGCACACATCACAAAGGAGTTTCTGAGAATCATTCTGTCTAGTTTTTATATGAAGATATTTCCTTTTCTACCATTGACCTCAAAGCGGCTGAAATCTCCACTTGCAAATTCCACAAAAAGAGTGTTTCAAGTCTGCTCTGTGTAAAGGATCGTTCAACTCTGTGAGTTGAATACACACAACACGCGGAAGTTACTCAGTATTCTTCTGTCTAGCAGAATATGAAGAAATCCCGTTTCCAACGAAGGCCACAAGATGTCAGAATATCCACTTACAGAATTTTCAAACAGACTGTTTCCTAACTGCTCTATGAAAAGAAAGGTTAAACTCTGTGAGATGAACGAACACATCACAACGCAGTTTGTGGGAATGATTCTGTCTAGTTTTGAAACGAAGATATTTCCTTTTCTGCCATTGACCTTAAAGCGCTTGAAATCTCCATTTGCCAATTGCACAAAAAGAGTGTTTCAAATCTGCTCTGTCTAAGGGAACGTTCAACTCTGTGAGTTGAATGTACACAACACAAGGAAGTTACTGGGAATTCTTCTGTCTAGCCTTACATGAAAAAAACCCGTTTCCAACGAAGGCCTCTAAGTGGTCAAAATATCCACGTGCAGACTTTACAAACAGAGTGTTTCCAAACCGCTGAATGAAAAGAAAAGTTAAACTCTGAGAGTTGAACGCAGACATCACGCTGCAGATTCTGAGAATGATTCTGTCTAGTTTCTATAGGAAGATATTTCCTATTCCACCATTGACCTCAAAGCGGCTGAAATCTCCACTTGCAAATTCCACAAAAAGAGTGTTTCAAGTCTGCTCTCTGTAAAGGATCGTTCAACTCTGTGAGTTGAATACACACAACACAAGGAAGTTACTGAAAATTCTTCTGTCTAGCCTTATATGAAAAAAACCCGTTTCCAACGAAGGCCACAAAGAGGTCTGAATATCCACTTGCAGACTTTACAAACAGAGTGTTTCCTAACTGCTCTATGAAAAGAAAGGTTAAACTCTGTGAGTTGAACGCACACATCACAAAGGAGATTCTGAGAATCATTCTGTCTAGTTTTTCTACGAAGATATTTCCTTTTCTACTATTGACCTCAAAGCGGCTGAAATCTCCACTTGCAAATTCCACAAAAAGAGTGTTTTAAGTCTGCTCTGTGTAAAGGATCGTTCAACTCTGTGAGTTGAATACACACAACACAAGGAAGTTACTGAGAATTCTTCTGTCTAGCAGAATATGAAGAAATCCCGTTTCCAACGAAGGCCACAAGATGTCAGAATATCCACTTACAGAATTTACAAACAGACTGTTTCCTAACTGCTCTATGAAAAGAAAGGTTAAACTCTGTGAGTTGAACGAACACATCACAACGCAGTTTGTGGGAATGATTCTGTTTAGTTTTGAAACGAAGAAATTTCCTTTTCTGCCATTGACCTTAAAGCGCTTGAAATCTCCACTTGCCAATTGCACAAAAAGAGTGTTTCAAATCTGCTCTGTCTAAGGGTACGTTCAACTCTGTGAGTTGAATGTACACAACACAAGGAAGTTACTGGGAATTATTCTGTCTAGCCTTACAGGAAAAAAACCCGTTTCCAACGAAGGCCTCTAAGTGGTCAAAATATCCACGTGCAGACTTTATAAACAGAGTGTTTCCAAACTGCTGAATGAAAAGAAAAGTTAAACTCTGAGAGTTGAACGCACACATCGCAGAGCAGTTTCTGAGAATGATTCTATCTAGTTTTTATACAAAGATATTTCCTTTTCTGCCTTTGGCCTCAAAGCGCTTGAAATCTCCACTTGCAAATTCCACAAAAAGAGTGTTTCAAATCTGCTCTGTCTAAATGAAAGTTCAACTCTGTCAGTTGAATACACACAACACAAGGAAGTTACTGAGAATTCTTCTGTCTAGCATAAGATGAAGAAATCCCGTTTCCAACGAAGGCCTCAAAGGGGTCTGAATATCCACTTGCAGACTTTATAAACAGAGTGTTTACTAACTGCTCTATGAAAAGAAAGGTTAAACTCTGTGAGTTGAACACACACATCACAAAGGAGTTTCTGAGAATCATTCTGTCTAGTCTTTATACGAAGATATTTCCTTTTCTACCGTTGACCACAAAGCGGCTGAAATCTCCACTTGCAAATTCCACAAAAAGAGTGTTTCAAGTCTGCTCTGTGTAAAGGATCGTTCAACTCTGTGAGTTGAATACACACAACACAAGGAAGTTACTGAGAATTCTTCTGTCTAGCAGAAAATGAAGAAATCCCGTTTCCAACGAAGGCCTCAAAGAGGTCTGAATATCCACTTGCAGACTTTACAAACAGAGTGTTTCCTAACTGCTCTATGAAAAGAAAGGTTAAACTCTGTGAGTTGAACGCACACATCACAAAGGAGTTTCTGAGAATCGTTCTGTCTAGTTTTGAAACGAAGATATTTCCTTTTCTGCCATTGACCTTAAAGCCCTTGAAATCTCCATTTGCCAATTGCACAAAAAGAGTGTTTCAAATCTGCTCTGTTTAAGGGAACGTTCAACTCTGTGAGTTGAATGTACACAACACAAGGAAGTTACTGGGAATTCTTCTGTCTAGCCTTACATGAAAAAAACCCGTTTCCAACGAAGGCCTCTAAGTGGTCAAATTATCCACGTGCAGACTTTACAAACAGAGTGTTTCCAAACTGCTGAAGGAAAAGAAAAGTTAAACTCTGAGAGTTGAACACACACATCACAGAGCAGTTTCTTAGAATGATTCTGTCAAGTTTTTATACGAAGATATTTCCTTTTCTGCCTTTGGCCTCAAAGCGCTTGAAATCTCCATTTGCAAATTCCACAAAAAGAGTGTTTCAAATCTGCTCTGTGTAAATGAAAGTTCAACTCTGTGAGTTGAACACACACAACACAAGGAAGTTACTGGGAATTCTTCTGTCTAGCCTTATATGAAAAAAACCCGTTTCCAACGAAGGCCTCAAAGAGGTCTGAATATCCACTTACAGACTTTACAAACAGAGTGTTTCCTAACTGCTCTATGAAAAGAAAGGTTAAACTCTGTGAGTTGAACACACACATCACAAAGGAGTTTCTGAGAATCATTCTGTCTAGTCTTTATACGAAGATAGTTTCCTTTTCTACCATTGACCTCAAAGCGGCTGAAATCTCCACTTGCAAATTCCACAAAAGGAGTGTTTCAAGTCTGCTCTGTGTAAAGGATCGTTCATCTCTGTGAGTTGAATACACACAACACAAGGAAGTTACTGAGAATTCTTCTGTCTAGCAGAATATGAAGAAATCCCGTTTCCAACGAAGGCTTCAAAGAGGTCTGAATATCCGCTTGCAGACTTTACAAACAGAGTGTTTCCTAACTCCTCTATGAAAAGAAAGTTTAAACTCTGTGAGTTGAACGCACACATCACAAAGGAGTTTCTGAGAATCATTCTGTCTAGTTTTGAAACGAAGATATTTCCTTTTCTGCCATTGACCTTAAAGCGCTTGAAATCTCCACTTGCCAATTGCACAAAAAGAGTGTTTCAAATCTGCTCTGTCTAAGGGAACGTTCAACTCTGTGAGTTGAATGTACACAACACAAGGAAGTTACTGGGAATTCTTCTGTCTAGCCTTACATGAAAAAAACCCGTTTCCAATGAAGGCCTCTAAGTGGTCAAATTATCCACGTGCAGACTTTACAAACAGAGTGTTTCCAAACTGCTGAATGAAAAGAAAAGTTAAACTCTGAGAGTTGAACGCACACATCACAGAGCAGTTTCTGAGAATGATTCTGTCTAGTTTTTATACCGAAGATATTTCCTTTTCTGCCTTTGGCCTCAAAGCGCTTGAAATCTCCATTTGCAAATTCCACAAAAAGAGTGTTTCAAATCTGCTCTGTGTAAATGAAAGTTCAACTCTGTGAGTTGAATACACACAACACAAGGGAAGTTACTGGGAATTCTTCTGTCTAGCATAATATGAAGAAATCCCGTTTCCAACGAAGGCCTCAAAGAGGTCTGAATATCCACTTGCAGACTTTACAAACAGAGTGTTTCCTAACTGCTCTATGAAAAGAAAGGTTAAACTCTGTGAGGTGAACGCACACATCACAAAGGAGTTTCTGAGAATCATTCTGTCTAGTTTTTATACGAAGATATTTCCTTTTCTACCATTGACCTCAAAGCGGCTGAAATCTCCACTTGCAAATTCCACAAAAAGAGTGTTTCAAATCTGCTCTGTGTAAACCATCGTTCAACTCTGTGAGTTGAATACACACAACACAAGGAAAGATTCTGAGAATTCTTCTGTCTAGCAGAATATGAAGAAATCCAGTTTCCAACGAAGGCCACAAGATGTCAGAATATCAACTTACAGAATTTACAAACAGAGTGTTTCCTAACTGCTCTATGAAAAGAAAGGTTAAACTCTGTGAGTTGAACGAACACATCACAACGCAGTTTGTGGGAATGATTCTGTCTAGTTTTGAAACGAAGATATTTCCTTTTCTGCCATTGACCTTAAAGCGCTTGAAATCTCCACTTGCCAATTGCACAAAAAGAGTATTTCAAATCTGCTCTGTCTAAGGGAACGTTCAACTCTGTGAGTTGAATGTACACAACACAAGGAAGTTACTGGGAATTCTTCTGTCTAGCCTTATATGAAAAAAACCCGTTTCCAACGAAGGCCTCAAAGAGGTCTGAATATCCACTTGCAGACTTTACAAACAGAGTGTTTCCTAACAGCTCCATGAAAAGAAAGGTTAAACTCTGTGAGTTGAACGCACACATCACAAAGGAGTTTCTGAGAATCATTTCTGTCTAGTTTTCAAACGAAGATATTTCCTTTTCTGCCTTTGGCCTCAAAGCGCTTGAAATCTCCACTTGCAAATTCCACAAAAAGAGTGTTTCAAATCTGCTCTGTGTAAATGAAAGTTCAACTCTGTGAGTTGAACACACACAACACAAGGAAGTTACTGGGAATTCTTCTGTCTAGCATAATATGAAGAAATCCCTTTTCCAACGAAGGCCTCAAAGGGGTCTGAATATCCACTTTCAGACTGTACAAACAGAGTGTTTACTAACTGCTCTATGAAAAGAAAGGTTAAACTCTGTGAGTTGAACACACACATCACAAAGGAGTTTCTGAGAATCATTCTGTCTAGTTTTTATACGAAGATATTTCCTTTTCTACCTTTGACTTCAAAGCGGCTGAAATCTCCACTTGCAAATTCCACAAAAAGAGTGTTACAAGTCTGGTCTGTGTAAAGGATCGTTCAACTCTGTGAGTTGAATACACACAACACAAGGAAGTTACTGAGAATTCTTCTGTCTAGCCTTACATGAAAAAAAACCGTTTCCAACGAAGGCCTCTAAGTGGTCAAATTATCCACGTGCAGACTTTACAAACAGAGTGTTTCCAAACTGCTGAATGAAAAGAAAAGTTAAACTCGGAGAGTTGAACGCACACATCGCAGAGCAGTTTCTGAGAATGATTCTGTCTAGTTTTGAAACGAAGATATTTCCTTTTCTGCCATTGACCTTAAAGGGCTTGAAATCTACACTTGCAAATTGCACAAATAGAGTGTTTCAAATCTGCTCTGTCTAAGGGAACGTTCAACTCTGTGAGTTGAATGCACACAACACAAGGAAGTTGCTGGGAATTCTTCTGTCTAGCCTTACATGAAAAAAACCCGTTTCCAACGAAGGCCTCTAAGTGGTCAAATTATCCACGTGCAGACTTTACAAACAGAGTGTTTCCAAACTGCTGAATGAAAAGCAAAGTTAAACTCTGAGAGTTGAACGCACACATCGCAGAGCAGTTTCTGAGAATGATTCTGTCTAGTTTTTATACGAAGATATTTCCTTTTCTGCCTTTGGCCTCAAAGCGCTTGAAATCTCCATTTGCAAATTCCACAAAAAGAGTGTTTCAAATCTGCTGTGTGTAAATGAAAGTTCAACTCTGTGAGTTGAACACACACAACACAAGGAAGTTACTGGGAATTCTTCTTTCTAGCAGAATATGAAGAAATCCCGTTTCCAACGAAAGCCTCAAGGATGTCGGAATATCCACTTGCAGACTTTACAAACAGAGTGTTTCCTAACTGCTCTATGAAAAGAAAGGTTAAACTCTGTGAGTTGAACGTACACATCACAAAGGAGTTTCTGAGAATCATTCTGTCTAGTTTCTATAGGAAGATATTTCCTATTCTACCATTGACCTCAAAGCGGCTGAAATCTCCACTTGCAAATTCCACAAAAAGTGTGTTTCAAGTCTGCTCTGTGTAAAGGATCGTTCAACTCTGTGAGTTGAATACAGACAACACAAGGAAGTTACTGAGAATTCTTCTGTCTAGCAGCAATATGAAGAAATCCCGTTTCCAACGAAGGCCACAAGATGTCAGAATATCCACTTACAGAATTTACAAACAGACTGTTTCCTAACTGCTCTACGAAAAGAAAGGTTAAACTCTGTGAGATGAACGAACACATCACAACGCAGTTTGTGGGAATGATTCTGTCTAGTTTTGAAACGAAGATATTTCCTTTTCTGCCATTGACCTTAAAGCGCTTGAAATCTACACTTGCAAATTGCACAAATAGAGTGTTTCAAATCTGCTCCGTCTAGGGAACGTTCAACTCTGTGAGTTGAATGCACACAACACAAGGAAGTTACTGGGAATTCTTCTGTCTAGCCTTACATGAAAAAAACCCGTTTCCAACGAAGGCCTCTAAGTGGTCAAATTATCCACGTGCAGACTTTACAAACAGAGTGTTTCCAAACTGCTGAATGAAAAGCAAAGTTAAACTCTGAGAGTTGAACGCACACATCGCAGAGCACTTTCTGAGAATGATTCTGTCTAGTTTTTCTACGAAGATATTTCCTTTTCTACAATTGACCTCAAAGCGGCTGAAATCTCCACTTGCAAATTCCACAAAAAGAGTGTTTCAAGTATGCTCTGTGTAAAGGATCGTTCAACTCTGTGAGTTGAATACACACAACACAAGGAAGTTACTGAGAATTCTTCTGTCTAGCAGAATATGAAGAAATCCCGTTTCCAACGAAGGCCTCAAAGAGGTCTGAATATCCACTTGCAGACTTTACAAACAGAGTGTTTCCTAACTGCTCTATGAAAAGAAAGGTTAAACTCTGTGAGTTGAACGCACACATCACAAAGGAGTTTATGAGAATCATTCTGTCTAGTTTCTGTAGGAAGATATTTCCTATTCTACCATTGACCTCAAAGCGGCTGAAATCTCCACTTGCAAATTCCACAAAAAGAGTGTTTCAAGTCTGCTCTCTGTAAAGGATCGTTCAACTCTGTGAGTTGAATGCACACAACACAAGGAAGTTACTGAGAATTATTCTGTCTAGCAGAATATGAAGAAATCCCTTTTCCAACGAAGGCCACAAGATGTCAGAATATCCACTTACAGAATTTACAAACAGACTGTTTCCTAACTGCTCTATGAAAAGAAAGGTTAAACTGCTGTGAGTTGAACGAACACATCACAACGCAGTTTGTGGGAATGATTCTGTCTAGTTTTGAAACGAAGATATTTCCTTTTCTGCCTTTGACCTTAAAGCGCTTGAAATCTACACTTGCAAATTGCACAAATAGAGTGTTTCAAATCTACTCTGTCTAAGGGAACGTTCAACTCTGTGATTTGATTGCACACAACACAAGGAAGTTACTGGGAATTCTTCTGTCTAGCCTTACAGGAAAAAAACCCGTTTCCAACGAAGGCCTCTAAGTGGTCAAAATATCCACGTGCAGACTTTACAAACAGAGTGTTTCCAAACTGGTGAATGAAAAGAAAGGTTAAACTCTGTGAGTTGAACGCACACATCACAAAGGAGTTTCTGAGAATCATTCTGTCTAGTTTTTATACGAAGATATTTCCTTTTCTGCCTTTGGCCTCAAAGCGCTTGAAATCTCCACTTGAAATTCCACAAAAAGAGTGTTTCAAATCTGCTCTGTGTAAATGAAAGTTCAACTCTGTGAGTTGAACACACACAACACAAGGAAGTTACTGGGAATTCTTCTGTCTAGCATAATATGAAGAAATCCCGTTTCCAACGAAGGCCTCAAGGAGGTGTGAATATCCACTTGCAGACTTTACAAACAGAGTGTTTCCTAACTGCTCTATGAAAAGAAAGGTTAAACTGTGTGAGTTGAACGCACACATCACAAAGAAGTTTCTGAGAATCATTCTGTCTAGTTTCTATTGGAAGATATTTCCTATTCTACCATTGACCTCAAAGCGGCTGAAATCTCCACTTGCAAATTCCACAAAAAGAGTGTTTCAAGTCTGCTCTCTGTAAAGGATCGTTCAACTCTGTGAGTTGAATACACACAACACAAGGAAAGTTACTGAGAATTCTTCTTTATAGCATAATATGAAGAAATCCCGTTTCCAACGAAGGCCTCAAAGAGGTCTGAATATCCACTTGCAGACTTTACAAACAGAGTGTTTCCTAACTGTTCTATGAAAAGAAAAGTTAAACTCTGTGAGTTGAACGCACACATCACAAAGGATTTTCTGGGAATCATTCTGTCTAGTTTTGAAACGAAGATATTTCCTTTTCTGCCATTGACCTTAAAGCGCTTGAAATCTCCACTTGCCAATTGCACAAAAAGAGTGTTTCAAATCTGCTCTGTCTAAGGGAACGTTCAACTCTGTGAGTTGAATGTACACAACACAAGGAAGTTACTGCGAATTCTTCTGTCTAGCCTTACAGGAAAAAAACCCGTTTCCAACGAAGGCCTCTAAGTGGTCAAAATATCCACGTGCAGACTTTACAAACAGAGTGTTTCCAAACTGCTGAATGAAAAGAAAAGTTAAACTCTGAGACTTGAACGCACACATCGCAGAGCAGTTTCTGAGAATGATTCTGTCTAGTTTTTATACGAAGATATTTCCTTTTCTGCGTTTGGCCCCAAAGCGCTTGAAGTCACCACTTGCAAATTCCACAAAAACAGTGTTTCAAATCTGCTCTCTCTAAATGAAAGTTCAACTCTGTCAGTTGAATACACACAACACAAGGAAGTTACTGAGAATTCTTCTGTCTAGCAGAATATGAAGAAATCCCGTTTCCAACGAAGGCCTCAAAGATGTCTGAATATCCACTTGCAGACTTTACAAACAGAGTGTTTCCTAACTGCTCTATGAAAGGAATGGTTAAACTCTGTGAGTTGAACGCACACATCACAAAGGAGTTTCTGACAATCATTCTGTCTAGTTTCTATAGGAAGATATTTCCTATTCTACCATTGATCTCAAAGAGGCTGAAATCTCCACTTGCAAAATCCACAAAAAGTGTGTTTCAAGTCTGCTCTGTGTAAAGGATCGTTCAACTCTGTGAGTTGAATACACACAACACAAGGAAGTTACTGAGAATTCTTCTGTCTAGCAGAATATGAAGAAATCCCGTTTCCAACGAAGGCCTCAATGAGGACTGAATATCCACTTGCCGACTTTACAAACAGAGTGTTTCCTAACTGCTCTATGAAAAGAAAGGTTAAACTCTGTGAGTTGAACGCACACATCACAAAGGAGTTTCTGAGAATCATTCTGTCTAGTTTTGAAACGAAGATATTTCCTTTTCTGCCATTGACCTCAAAGCGCTTGAAATCTCCACTTGCCAATTGCACAAAAAGAGTGTTTCAAATCTGCTCTGTTTAAGGGAACGTTCAACTCTGTGAGTTGAATGTACACAACACAAGGAAGTTACTGGGAATTCTTCTGTCTAGCCTTACATGAAAAAAACCCGTTTCCAACGAAGGCCTGTAAGTGGTCAAATTATCCACGTGCAGACTTTACAAACAGAGTGTTTCCAAACTGCTGAATGAAAAGAAAAGTTAAACTCTGAGAGTTGAACGCACACATCGCAGAGCAGTTTCTGAGAATGATTCTGTCTAGTTTTTATACGAAGATATTTCCTTTTCTGCCTTTGGCCTCCAAGCGCTTGAAATCTCCATTTGCAAATTCCACAAAAAGAGTGTTTCAAATCTGCTCTGTGTAAATGAAAGTTCAACTCTGTGAGTTGAACACACACAACACAAGGAAGTTACTGGGAATTCTTCTGTCTAGCAGAATATGAAGAAATCCCGTTTCCAACGAAGGCCTCAAAGGGGTCTGAATATCCACTTGCAGACTTTAAAAACAGAGTGTTTACTAACTGTTCTATGAAAAGAAAGGTTAAACTCTGTGAGTTGAACACACACATCACAAAGGAGTTTCTGAGAATCATTCTGTCTGGTTTATATATGAAGATATTTCCTTTTCTACCATTGACCTCAAAGCGGCTGAAATCTCCACTTACAAATTCCACAAAAAGAGTGTCTCAAGTCTGCTCTGTGTAAACGATCGTTCAACTCTGTGAGTTGAATACACACAACACAAGGAAAGTTTCTGAGAATTCTTCTGTCTAGCAGAATATGAAGAAATCCCGTTTCCAACGAAGGCCACAAGATGTCAGAATATCCACTTACAGAATTTACAAACAGACTGTTTCCTAACTGCTCTATGAAAAGAAAGGTTAAACTCTGTGAGTTGAACGAACACCTCACAACGCAGTTTGTGGGAATGATTCTGTCTAGTTTTTATACGAAGATATTTCTTTTTCTACCATTGACCTCAAAGCTGCTGAAATCACCACTTGCCAATTGCACAAAAAGAGTGTTTCAAATCTGCTCTGTCTAAGGGAACGTTCAACTCTGTGAGTTGAATGTACACAACACAAGGAAGTTCCTGGGAATTCTTCTGTCTAGCCTTACAAGAAAAAAACCCGTTTCCAACGAAGGCCTCTAAATGGTCAAAATATCCACGTGCAGACTTTACAAACAGAGTGTTTCCAAACTGCTGAATGAAAAGAAAAGTTAAACTCTGAGAGTTGAACGCACACATCGCAGAGCAGTTTCTGAGAATGATTCTGTCTAGTTGTTATACGAAGATATTTCCTTTTCTGCCTTTAGCCTCAAAGCGCTTGAAATCTCCACTTGCAAATTCCACAAAAAGAGTGTTTCAAATCTGCTCTGTGTAAAGGATCGTTCAACTCTGTGAGTTGAATACACACAACACAAGGAAGATTCTGAGAATTTTTCTTTCTAGCAGAATATGAAGAAATCCCGTTTCCAACGAAGGCCTCAAGGAGGTCTGAATATCCACTTGCAGACTTTACAAACAGAGTGTTTCCTAACTGCTCTATGAAAAGAAAGGTTAAACTGTGTGAGTTGAACGCACACATCACAAAGGAGTTTCTGAGAATCATTCTGTCTAGTTTTGAAACGAAGATATTTCCTTTTCTACCATTGGCCTCAACGCGGCTGAAATCTCCATTTGCAAATTCCACAAAAAGAGTGTTTCAAATCTGCTCTGTGTAAATGAAAGTTCAACTCTGTGAGTTGAACACACACAACACAAGGAAGTTACTGGGAATTCTTCTGTCTAGTAGAATATGAAGAAATCCCGTTTCCAACGAAGGCCACAAGATGTCAGAATATCCACTTACAGAATTGACAAACAGACTGTTTCCTAACTGCTCTATGAAAAGAAAGGTTAAACTCTGTTAGTTGAACGAACACATCACAACGCAGTTTGTGGGAATGATTCTGTCTAGTTTTGAAACGAAGATATTTCCTTTTCTGCCGTTGACCTTAAAGAGCTTGAAAACTACACTTGCAAATTGCACAAATAGAGTGTTTCAAATCTGCTCTGTCTAAGGGAACGTTCAACTCTGTGAGTTGAATGCACACAACACAAGGAAGTTACTGGGAATTCTTCTGTCTAGCCTTACAGGAAAAAAACCCGTTTCCAACGAAGGCCTCTAACTGGTCAAGTTATCCACGTGCAGACTTTACAAACAGAGTGTTTCCAAACTGCTGAATGAAAAGAAAAGTTAAACTCTGAGAGTTGAACGCACACATCGCAGAGCAGTTTCTGAGAATGATTCTGTCTAGTTTTGAAACGAAGACATTTCCTTTTCTGCCTTTGGCCTCAAAGCGCTTGAAATCTCCATTTGCAAATTCCACAAAAAGAGTGTTTCAAATCTGCTCTGTGTAAATGAAAGTTCAACTCTGTGAGTTGAACACACACAACACAAGGAAGTTACTGGGAATTCTTCTGTCTAGCCTTATATGAAAAAAACCCGTTTCCAATGAAGGCCTCAAAGAGGTCTGAATATCCACTTGCAGACTTTACAAACAGAGTGTTTTTAACTGCTCTATGAAAAGAAAGGTTAAACTCTGTGAGTTGAACGCACACATCACAAAGGAGTTTCTGAGAATCATTCTGTCTAGTCTTTATACGAAGATATTTCCTTTTCTACCATTGACCTCAAAGCGGCTGAAATCTCCACTTGCAAATTCCACAAAAAGAGTGTTTCAAGTCTGCTCTGTGTAAAGGATCATTCAACTCTGTGAGTTGAATAAACACAACACAAGGAAGTTACTGAGAATTCTTCTGTCTAGCAGAATATGAAGAAATCCCGTTTCCAACGAAGGCCTCAAAGAGGTCTGAATATCCACTTGCAGACTTTACAAACAGAGTGTTTCCTAACTGCTCTATGAAAAGAAAGGTTAAACTCTGTGAGTTGAACGCACACATCACAAAGGAGTTTGTGAGAATCATTCTGTCTAGTTTTGAAACGAAAATATTTCCTTTTCTGCCATTGACCTTAAAGCGCTTGAAATCTACACTTGCAAATTGCACAAATAGAGTGTTTCAAATCTGCTCTGTCTAAGGGAACGTTCATCTCTGTGAGTTGAGTGCACAGAACACAAGGAAGTTACTGGGAATTCTTCTGTCTAGCCTTTCATGAAAAAAACCCGTTTCCAACAAAGGCCTCTAAGTGGTCACAATGTCCACGTGCAAACTTTACAAACAGAGTGTTTCCAAACTGCTGAATGAAAAGAAAAGTTAAACTATGACAGTTGAACGCACACATCACAGAGCAGTTTCTGAGAATGACTCTGTCTAGTTTTTATACGAAGATATTTCCTTTTCTGCCTTTGGCCTCAAAGCGCTTGAAATCTCCACTTGCAAATTCCACAAAAAGAGTGTTTCCAATCTGCTCTGTGTAAATGAAAGTTCAACTCTGTGAGTTGAACACACACAACACAAGGAAGTTACTGAGAATTCTTCTTTCTAGCAGAATATGAAGAAATCCCGTTTCCAACGAAAGCCTCAAGGATGTCTGAATATCCACATGCAGACTTTACCAACAGAGTGTTTCCCAACTGCTCTATGAAAAGAAAGGTTAAACTCTGTGAGTTGAACGCACACATCACAAAGCAGTTTCTGAGAATCATTCTGTCTAGTTTTTCTACGAAGATATTTCCTTTTCTACTATTGACCTCAAAGCGGCTGAAATCTCCACTTGCAAATTCGACAAAAAGAGTGTTTCAAGTCTGCTCTCTGTAAAGGATCGTTCAAATCTGTGAGTTGAATACACACAACACAAGGAAGTTACTGAGAATTATTCTGTCTAGCAGAATATGAAGAAATCCCATTTCCAACGAAGGCCTCAAAGAGGTCTGAATATCCACTTGCAGACTTTACAAACAGAGTGTTTCCTACCTGCTCTACGAAAAGAAAGGTTAAACTCTGTGAGTTGAACGCACACATCACAAAGGAGTTTCTGAGAATCATTCTGTCTAGTTTTGAAACGAAGATATTTCCTTTTCTGCCGTTGACCTTAAAGCGCTTGAAATCTACACTTGCAAATTGCACAAATAGAGTGTTTCAAATCTGCTCTGTCTAAGGGAACGTTCAACTCTGTGAGTTGAATGCACACAACACAAGGAAGTTACTGGGAATTCTTCTGTCTAGCCTTACATGAAAAAAACCCGTTTCCAACGAAGGCCTCTAAGTGGTCAAAATATCCACGTGCAGACTTTACACACAGAGTGTTTCCAAACCGCTGAATGAAAAGAAAAGTTAAACTCTGAGAGTTGAACGCACACATCACGCAGCAGTTTCTGAGAATGATTCTGTCTAGTTTTTATACGAAGATATTTCCTTTTCTGCCTTTGGCCTCAAAGCGCTTTAAATCTCCACTTGCAAACTCCACAAAAAGAGTGTTTCAAATCTGCTCTGTCTAAGGGAAGGTTCAACTCTGTCAGTTGAATACACACAACAAAAGGAAGTTACTGAGAATTCTTCTGTCTAGCATAATATGAAGAAATCCCGTTTCCAACGAAGGCCTCAAGGAGGTCTGAATATCCACTTGCAGACTTTACAAACAGAGTGTTTCCTAAATGCTCTATGAAAAGAAAGGTTAAACTCTGTGAGTTGAACGCACACATCACAAAGGAGATTCTGAGAATCATTCTGTCTAGTTTCTATAGGAAGATATTTCCTATTCAACCATTGAACTCAAAGCGGCTGAAATCTCCACTTGCAAATTCCACAAAAAGAGTGTTTCAAGTCTGTTCTGTGTAAAGGATCGTTCACCTCTATGAGTTGAATACACACAACACAAGGAAGTTACTGAGAATTCTTCTGTCTAGCAGAATATGAAGAAATCCCGTTTCCAACGAAGGCCACAAGATGTCAGAATATCCACTTACAGAATTTACAAACAGACTGTTTCCTAACTGCTCTATGAAAAGAAAGGTTAAACTCTGTGAGATGAACGAACACATCACAACGCAGTTTTTGGGAATGATTCTGTCTAGTTTTGAAACGAAGATATTTCCTTTTCTGCCATTGACCTTAAAGCGCTTGAAATCTCCACTTGCCAATTGCACAAAAAGAGTGTTTCAAATCTGCTCTGTCTAAGGGAACGTTCAACTCTGTGAGTTGAATGTACACAACGCAAGGAAGTTACTGGGAATTCTTCTGTCTAGCCTTACATGAAAAAAAACCCGTTTCCAACGAAGGCCTCTAAGTGGTCAAATTATGCACGTGCAGACTTTACAAACAGAGTGTTTCCAAACTGCTGAATGAAAAGAAAAGTTAAACTCTGAGAGTTGAACGAACACATCGCAGAGCAGTTTCTGAGAATGATTCTGTCTAGTTTTGAAACGAAGATATTTCCTTTTCTGCCTTTGGCCTCAAAGCGCTTGAAATCTCCATTTGCAAATTCCACAAAAAGAGTGTTTCAAATCTGCTCTGTGTAAATGAAAGTTCAACTCTGTGAGTTGAACACACACAACACAAGGAAGTTACTGGGAATTCTTCTGTCTAGCATAATATGAAGAAATCCCGTTTCCAACGAAGGCCTCAAAGAGGTCTGAATATCCACTTGCACACTTTACAAACAGAGTGTTTCCTAACTGCTCTATGAGAAGAAAAGTTAAACTCTGTGAGTTGAACGCACACATCACAAAAGATTTTCTTAGAATCATTCTGTCTAGTCTTTATACGAAGATATTTCCTTTTCTACCATTGACCTCAAAACGGCTGAAATCTCCACTTGCAAATTCCACAAAAAGAGTGTTTCAAGTCTGCTCTGTGTAAAGGATCGTTCAACTCTGTGAGTTGAATACACACAACACAAGGAAGTTACTGAGAATTCTTCTGTGTAGCAGAATATGAAGAAATCCCGTTTCCAACGAAGGCCACAAGATGTCAGAATATCCACTTACAGAATTTACCAACAGAGTGTTTCCTAACTGCTCTATGAAAAGAAAGGTTAAACTCTGTGAGTTGAACGAACACATCACAACACAGTTTGTGGGAATGATTCTGTCTAGTTTTGAAACGAAGATATTTCCTTTTCTGCCATTGACCTTAAAGCGCTTGAAATCTCCACTTGCCAATTGCACAAAAAGAGTGTTTCAAATCTGCTCTGTCTAAGGGAACGTTCAACTCTGTGAGTTGAATGTACACAACCCAAGGAAGTTACTGGGAATTCTTCTGTCTAGCCTTACATGAAAAAAACCCGTTTCCAACGAAGGCTTCTAAGTGGTCAAAATATCCACGTGCAGACTTTACAAACAGAGTGTTTCCAAACCGCTGAATGAAAAGAAAAGTTAAACTCTGAGAGTTGAACGCACACATCACGCAGCAGTTTCTGAGAATGATTCTGTCTAATTTCTATAGGAAGATATTTCCTATTCTACATTGACCTCAAAGCGGCTGAAATCTCCACTTGCAAATTCCATAAAAAGAGTATTTCAAGTCTGCTCTGTGTAAAGGATCGTTGAAATCTGTGAGTTGAATACACACAACACAATGAAGTTACTGAGAATTCTTCTGTCTAGCACAGTATGAAGAAATCCCGTTTCCAACGAAGGCCTCAAAGAGGTCTGAATATCCACTTGCAGAGTTTACAAACAGAGTGTTTCCTAACTGCTCTATGAAAAGAAAGGTTAAACTCTGTGAGTTGAACGGCACACATCACAATGAAGTTTCTGAGAATCATTCTGTCTAGTTTTTATACGAAGATATTTCCTTTTCTACCATTGACTTCAAAGCGGCTGAAATCAGCACTTGCCAATTGCACAAAAAGAGTGTTTCAAATCTGCTCTGTCTAAGGGAACGGTTCAACTCTGTGAGTTGAATGTACACAACACAAGGAAGTTACTGGGAATTCTTCTGTCTAGCCTTACAGGAAAAAAACCCGTTTCCAAAGAAGGCCTCTAAGTGGTCAAGTTATCCACGTGCAGACTTTAGAAACAGAGTGTTTCCAAACTGCTGAATGAAAAGAAAAGTTAAACTCTGAGAGTTGAACGCACACATCGCAGAGCAGTTTCTGAGAATGATTCTGTCTAGTTTTTATACGAAGATATTTCCTTTTATACCATTGACCACAAAGCGGCTGAAATCACCACTTGCCAATTGCACAAAAAGAGTGTTTCAAATCTGCTCTGTCTAAGGGAACGTTCAACTCTGTGAGTTGAATGTACACAACACAAGGAAGTTACTGGGAATTCTTCTGTCTAGCCTTACAGGAAAAAAACACGTTTCCAACGAAGGCCTTTAAGTGGTCAAAATATCCACGTGCAGACTTTACAAACAGAGTGTTTCCAAACTGCTGAATGAAAAGAAAAGTTAAACTCTGAGACTTGAACGCACACATCACAGAGCAGTTTCCGAGAATGATTCTGTCTAGTTTCTATAGGAAGATATTTCCTATTCTACCATTGACCTCAAAGCGGCTGAAATCTCCACTTGCAAATTCCACAAAAAGAATGTTTCAAGTCTGCTCTGTGTAAAGGATCGTTCAAATCTGTGAGTTGAATACACACAACACAAGGAAGTTACTGAGAATTATTCTGTCTAGCAGAATTTGAAGAAATCCCGCTTCCAACGAAGGCCTCAAGGAAGTCTGAATATCCACTTGCAGACATTACAAACAGAGTGTTTCCCAACTGCTCTATGAAAAGAAAGGTTGAACTCTGTGAGTTGAACGCACACATCACAAAGGAGTTTCTGAGAATCATTCTGTCTAGTCTTTATACGAAGATATTTCCTTTTCTACCATTGACCTCAAAGCGGCTGAAATCTCCTCTTGCAAATTCCACAAAAAGAGTGTTTCAAGTCTGCTCTGTGTAAAGGATCGTTCAACTCTGTGAGTTGAATACTCACAACACAAGGAAGTTACTGAGAATTCTTCTGTCTAGCAGAATATGAAGAAATCCCGTTTCCAACGAAGGTCTCAAGGAGGTCTGAATATCCACTTGCAGACTTTACAAACAGAGTGTTTCCTAACTGCTCTATGAACAGAAAGGTAAAACTCTGTGAGTTGAACGAACACATCACAACGCAGTTTGTGGGAATGATTCTGTCTAGTTTTGAAACGAAGATATTTCCTTTTCTGTCATTGACCTTAAAGCGCTTGAAATCTACACTTGCAAATTGCACAAATAGAGTGTTTCAAATCTGCTCTGTCTAAGGGAACGTTCAACTCTGTGAGTTGAATGCACACAACACAAGGAAGTTACTGGGAATTCTTCTGTCTAGCCTTACATGAAAAAAACCCGTTTCCAACGAAGGCCTCTAAGTGGTCAAAATTTCCACGTGCAGACTTTACAAACAGAGTGTTTCCAAACCGCTGAATGAAAAGAAAAGTTAAACTCTGAGAGTTGAACGCACACATCACGCAGCAGTTTCTGAGAATGATTCTGTCTAGTTTTTATACGAAGATATTTCCTTTTCTGCCTTTGGCCCCAAAGCGCTTGAAATCTCCACTTGCAAATTCCACAAAAACAGTGTTTCAAATCTGCTCTCTCTAAATGAAAGTTCAACCCTGTCAGTTGAATACACACAACACAAGGAAGTTACTGAGAATTCTTCTGTCTAGCCTTATATGAAAAAAACCCGTTTCCAACGAAGGCCTCAAAGAGGTCTGAATATCCACTTGCAGACTTTACAAACAGAGTGATTCCTAACTGCTCTATGAAAAGAAAGGTTAAACTGTGAGTTGAACACACACATCTCAAAGGAGTTTCTGAGAATCATTCTGTCTAGTTTCTATAAGAAGATATTTCCTATTCTACCATTGACCTCAAAGCGGCTGAAATCTCCACTTGCAAATTCGACAAAAAGAGTGTTTCAAGCCTGCTCTCTGTAAAGGATCCTTCAACTCTGTGAGTTGAATACACACAACACAAGGAAGTTACTGAGAATTATTTCTGTCTAGCCAAATATGAAGAAATCCCGTTTCCAACGAAGGCCACAAGATGTCAGAATATCCACTTACAGAATTGACAAACAGACTGTTTCCTAACTGCTCTATGAAAAGAAAGGTTAAACTCCTGTGAGTTGAACGAACACATCACAACGCAGTTTGTGGGAATGATTTCTGTCTAGTTTTGAAACGAAGATATTTCCTTTTCTGCCATTGACCTTAAAGCGCTTGAAATCTACACTTGCAAATTGCACAAATAGAGTGTTTCAAATCTGCTCTGTCTAAGGGAACGTTCAACTCTGCAAGTTGAATGCACACAACACAAGGAAGTTACTGGGAATTCTTCTGTCTAGCCTTACATGAAAAAAACCCGTTTCCAACGAAGGCCTCTAAGTGGTCAAAATATCCACGGGCAGACTTTACAAATAGAGTGTTTCCAAACCGCTGAATGAAAAGAAAAGTTAAACTCTGAGAGTTGAACGCACACATCACGCCACAGTTTCTGAGAATGATTCTGTCTAGTTTTTATACGAAGATATTTCCTTTTCGGCCTTTGGCCCAAAAGCGCTTGAAATCTCCACTTGCAAATTCCACAAAAACAGTGTTTCAAATCTGCTCTCTCTAAATGAAAGTTCAACTCTGTCAGTTGAATACACACAACACAAGGAAGTTACTGAGAATTCTTCTGTCTAGCAGAATACGAAGAAATCCCATTTCCAACGAAGGCCTCAAAGAGGTCTGAATATCCACTTGCAGACTTTACAAACAGAGTGTTTCCTAACTGCTCTATGAAAAGAAAAGTTAAACTCTGTGAGTTGAACGCACACATCACAAAGGAGTTTCTGAGAATCATTCTGTCTAGTCTTTATACGAAGATATTTCCTTTTCTACCATTGACCTCAAAGCGGCTGAAATCTCCACTTGCAAATTCCACAAAAAGAATGTTTCAAGTCTGCTCTCTGTAAAGGATCATTCAACTCTGTGAGTTGAATACACACAACACAAGGAAGTTACTGAGAATTATTCTGTCTAGCAGAATATGAAGAAATCCCGTTTCCAACGAAGGCCTCAAATAGGTCTGAATATCCACTTGCAGACTTTACAAACAGAGTGTTTCCTAACTGCTCTATGAAAAGAAAAGTTGAACTCTGTGAGTTGAACGCACACATCACAACGCAGTTTGTGGGAATGATTCTGTCTGGTTTTGAAACGAAGATATTTCCTTTTCTGCCGTTGACCTTAAAGCGCTTGAAATCTACACTTGCAAATTGCACAAATAGAGTGTTTCAAATCTGCTCTGTCTAAGGGAACGTTCAGCTCTGTGAGTTGAATGCACACAACACAAGGAAGTTACTGGGAATTCTTCTGTCTAGCCTTACATGAAAAAAACCCGTTTCCAACGAAGGCCTCTAAGTGGTCAAAATATCCACGTGCAGACTTTACAAACAGAGTGTTTCCAAACCGCTGAATGAAAAGAAAAGTTAATCTCTGAGAGTTGAACGCACACATCACGCAGCAGTTTCTGAGAATGATTCTGTCTAGTTTTGAAACGAAGATATTTCCTTTTCTGCCTTTGGCCTCAAAGCGCTTGAAATCTCCACTTGCAAATTCCACAAAAAAAGTGTTTCAAATCTGCTCTGGGTAAATGAAAGTTCAACTCTGTGAGTTGAACACACACAACACAAGGAAGTTACTGGGAATTCTTCTGTCTAGCACAGTATGAAGAAATCCCGTTTCCAACGAAGGCCTCAAAGAGGTGTGAATATCGACTTGCAGAGTTTACAAACAGAGTGTTTCCTAACTGCTCTATGAAAAGAAAGGTTAAACTCTGTGAGTTGAACGCACACATCACAATGAAGTTTCTGAGAATCATTCTGTCTTGTTTCTATACGAAGATATTTCCTTTTCTACCATTGACCTCAAAGCGGCTGAAATCTCCACTTGCAAATTCCACAAAAAGAGTGTTTCAAGTCTGCTCTGTGTAAAGGATCGTTCAATTCTGTGAGTTGAATACACACAACACAAGGAAGTTACTGAGAATTCTTCTGTCTAGCAGAATATGAAGAAATCCCGTTTCCAACGAAGGCCACAAGATGTCAGAATATCCACTTTCATACTTTACAAACAGTGTGTTTCCTAACTGCTCTATGAACAGAAAGGTTAAACTCTGTGGGTTGAACGAACACATCACAACGCAGTTTGTGGGAATGATTCTGTCTAGTTTTGAAACGAAGATATTTCCTTTTCTGCCGTTGACCTTAAAGCGCTTGAAATCTACACTTGCAAATTGGACAAATAGAGTGTTTCAAATCTGCTCTGTCTAAGGGAACGTTCAACTCTGTGAGTTGAATGCACACAACACAAGGAAGTTACTGGGAATTCTTCTGTCTAGCCTTACATGAAAAAATCCCGTTTCCAACGAAGGCCTCTAAGTGGTCAAAATATCCACGTGCAGTCTTTACAAACAGAGTGTTTCCAAACCGCTGAATGAAAAGAAAAGTTAAACTCTGAGAGTTGAACGCACACATCACGCAGCAGTTTCTGAGAATGATTCTGTCTAGTTTTTATACGAAGATATTTCCTTTTCTGCCTTTGGCCCCAAATCGCTTGAAATCTCCACTTGCAAATTCCACAAAAACAGTGTTTCAAATCTGCTCTCTCTAAATGAAAGTTCAACTCTGTCAGTTGAATACACACAACACAAGGAAGTTACTGAGAATTCTTCTGTCTAGCCTTATATGAAAAAAACCCGTTTCCAACGAAGGCCTCAAAGAGGTCTGAATATCCACTTGCAGACTTTACAAACAGAGTGTTTCATAACTGCTCTATGAAAAGAAAGGTTAAACTTCTGTGAGTTGAACGCACACATCACAAAGGAGTTTCTGAGAATCATTCTGTCTAGTCTTTATACGAAAATAGTTTCCTTTTCTACCATTGACCTCAAAGCGGCTGAAATCACCACTTGCAAATTCCACAAAAAGAGTGTTTCAAGTCTGCTCGGTGTAAAGGATCGTTCAACTCTGTGAGCTGAATACACACAACACAAGGAAGTTACTGAGAATTCTTCTGTCTAGCAGAATATGAAGAAATCCCGTTTCCAACGAAGGCCACAAGATGTCAGAATATCCACTTACAGACTTTACAAACAGAGTGTTTCCTAACTGCTCTATGAACGGAAAGGTTAAACTCTGTGAGTTGAACGAACACATCACAACGCAGTTTGTGGGAATGATTCTGTCTAGTTTTGAAACGAAGATATTTCCTTTTCTGCCATTGACCTTAAAGCGCTTGAAATCTACACTTGCAAATTGCACAACTAGAGTGTTTCAAATCTGCTCTGTCTAAGGGAACGTTCAACTCTGTGAGTTGAATGCACACAACACAAGGAAGTTACTGGGAATTCTTCTGTCTAGCCTTACATGAAAAAAAACCCGTTTCCAACGAAGGCCTCTAAGTGGTCAAAATATCCACGTGCAGACTTTACAAACAGAGTGTTTCCAAACCGCTGAATGAAAAGAAAAGTTAAACTCTGAGAGTTGAACGCACACATCACGCAGCAGTTTCTGAGAATGATTCTGTCTAGTTTTTATACGAAGATATTTCCTTTTCTGCCTTTGACCCCAAAGCGCTTGAAATTTCCACTTGCAAATTCCACAAAAACAGTGTTTCAAATCTGCTCTCTCCAAATGAAAGTTCAACTCTGTCAGTTGAATACACACAACACAAGGAAGTTACTGAGAATTCTTCTGTCTAGCATAATATGAAGCAATCCCATTTCCAACGAAGGCCTCAAAGGGGTCTGAATATCCACTTGCAGACTTTATAAACAGAGTGTTTACTAACTGCTCTATGAAAAGAAAGGTTAAACTCTGTGAGTTGAACACACACATCACAAAGGAGTTTCTGAGAATCATTCTCTCTAGTTTTTATACGAAGATATTTCCTTTTCTACCATTGACCTCAAAGCGGCTGAAATCTCCACTTGCAAATTCCACAAAAATAGTGTTTCAAATCTGCTCTGTGTAAACCATCGTTCAACTGTGTGAGTTGAATACACACAACACAAGGAAGATTCTGAGAATTCTTCTGTCTAACAGAATATGAAGAAATCGCGTTTCCAACGAAGGCCACAAGATGTCAGAATATCCACTTATAGACTTTACAAACAGAGTGTTTCCTAACTGCTCTATGAACAGAAAGGTTAAACTCTGTGAGTTGAACGAACACATCACAACGCAGTTTGTGGGAATAATTCTGTCTAGTTTTGAAACGAAGATATTTCCTTTTCTGCCTTTGACCTTAAAGCGCTTGAAATCTACACTTGCAAATTCACAAATAGAGTGTTTCAAATCTGCTCTGTCTAAGGGAACGTTCAACTCTGTGAGTTGAATGCACACAACACAAGGAAGTTACTGGGAATTCTTCTGTCTAGCCTTACATGAAAAAAACCCGTTTCCAACGAAGGCCTCTAAGTGGTCAAAATATCCACGTGCAGACTTTACAAACAGAGTGTTTCCAAACCGCTGAATGAAAAGAAAAGTTAAACTCTGAGAGTTGAACGCACACATCACACAGCAGTTTCTGAGAATGATTCTGTCTAGTTTTTATATGAAGATATTTCCTTTTCTACCATTGACCTCAAAGCGGCTGAAATCTCCACTTACAATTTCCACAAAAAGAGTGTCTCAAGTCTGCTGTGTGTAAACGATCGTTCAACTCTGTGAGTTGAATACACACAACACAAGGAAGTTTCTGAGAATTCTTCTGTATAGCAGAATATGAAGAAATCCCGTTTCCAACGAAGGCCTCAAGGAGGTCTGAATATCCACTTGCAGACTTTACAAACAGAGTGTTTCCTAACTGCTCTATGAAAAGAAAGGTTAAACTCTGTGAGTTGAACGCACACATCACAAAGGAGTTTCTGAGAATCATTCTGTCTAGTTTTTATACGAAGATATTTCCTTTTCTACCATTTACCTCAACACGGCTGAAATCTCCACTTGCAAATTCCACAAAACGAGTGTTTCAAGTGCGCTCTGTGTAAAGGATCGTTCAACTCTGTGAGTTGAATACACACAACACAAGGAAGTTACTGAGAATTCTTCTGTCTAGCAGAAGATGAAGAAATCCCGTTTCCAACGAAGGCCACAAGATGTCAGAATATCCACTTGCAGACTTTACAAACAGAGTGTTTCCTAACTGCTCTATGAACAGAAAGGTTAAACTCTGTGAGTTGAACGAACACATCACAACGCAGTTTGTGGGAATGATTCTGTCTAGTTTTGAAACGAAGATATTTCCTTTTCTGCCATTGACCTTAAAGCGCTTGAAATCTCCATTTGCCAATTGCACAAAAAAAGTGTTTCAAATCTGCTCTGTCTAAGGGAACGTTCAACTCTGTGAGTTGAATGTACACAACACAAGGTAAGTTACTGGGAATTCTTCTGTCTAGCCTTACATGAAAACAACCCGTTTCCAACGAAGGCCTCTAAGTGGTCAAATTATCCACGTGCAGACTTTACAAACAGAGTGTTTCCAAACTGCTGAATGAAAAGAAAAGTTAAACTCTGAGAGTTGAACGCACACATCGCAGAGCAGTTTCTGAGAATGATTCTGTCTAGCCTTATATGAAAAAAACCCGTTTCCAACGAAGGCCTCAAAGAGGTCTGAATATCCACTTGCAGACTTTACAAACAGAGTGTTTCCTAACTGCTCTATGAAAAGAAAGGTTAAATTCTGTGAGTTGAACGCACACATCACAAAGGAGTTTCTGAGAATCATTCTGTCTAGTCTTTATATGAAGATAGTTTCCTTTTCTACCATTGACCTCAAAGCGGCTGAAATCTCCACTTGCAAATTCCACAAAAAGAGTGTTTCAAGTCTGCTCTGTGTAAAGGATCGTTCAACTCTGTGAGTTGAATTCACACAACACAAGGAAGTTACTGAGAATTCTTCTGTCTAGCAGAATATGAAGAAATCCCGTTTCCAACGAAGGCCACAAGATGTCAGAATATCCACTTACAGAATTTACAAACAGACTGTTTCCTAACTGCTCTATGAAAAGAAAGGTTAAACTCTGTGAGTTGAATGAACACATCACAACGCTGTTTGTGGGAATGATTCTGTCTAGTTTTGAAACGAAGATATTTCCTTTTCTGCCATTGACCTGAAAGCGCTTGAAATCTACACTTGCAAATTGCACAAATAGAGTGTTTCAAATCTGCTCTGTCTAAGGGAACGTTCAAGTCTGTGAGTTGAATGCACACAACACAAGGAAGTTACTGGGAATTCTTCTGTCTAGCCTTAAATGAAAAAAACCCGTTTCCAACGAAGGCCTCTAAGTGGTCAAAATTTCCACGTGCAGACTTTACAAACAGAGTGTTTCCAAACCGCTGAATGAAAAGAGAAGTTAAACTCTGAGAGTTGAACGCACACATCACGCAGCAGTTTCTGAGAATGATTCTGTCTAGTTTTTATACGAAGATATTTCCTTTTCTGCCTTTGGCCTCAAAGCGCTTGAAATCTCCATTTGCAAATTCCACAAAAAGAGTGTTTCAAATCTGCTCTGTGTAAATGAAAGTTCAACTCTGTGAGTTGAATACAAACAACACAAGGAAGATTCTGAGAATTCTTCTGTATAGCAGAATATGAAGAAATCCCGTTTCCAACGAAGGCCTCAAGGAGGTCTGAATATCCACTTGCAGACTTTACAAACAGAGTGTTTCCTAACTGCTCTACGAAAAGAAAGGTTAAACTCTGTGAGTTGAACGCAGACATCACAAAGGAGTTTCTGAGAATCACTCTGTCTAGTTTCTATGGGAAGATATTTCCTATTCTACCATTGACCTCAAAGCGGCTGAAATCTCCACTTGCAAATTCCAGAAAAAGAGTGTTTCAAGTCTGCTCTGTGTAAAGGATCGTTCAACTCTGTGAGTTGAATACACACAACACAAGGAAGTTACTGAGAATTCTTCTGTCTAGCATAATATGAAGAAATCCCGTTTCCTACGAAGGCCTCAAAGAGGTCTGAATATCCACTTGCAGACTTTACAAACAGAGTGTTTCCTAACTGCTCTATGAAAAGAAAGGTTAAACTCTGTGAGTTGAGCGCACACATCACAAAGAAGTTTCTGAGAATCATTCTGTCTAGTTTTTATAGGGAGATATTTCCTTTTCTACCTTTGACTTCAAAGCGGCTGAAATCTCCACTTGCAAATTCCACAAAAAGAGTGTTACAAGTCTGCTCTGTGTAAAGGATCGTTCAACTCTGTGAGTTGAATACACACAACACAAGGAAGTTACTGAGAATTCTTCTGTCTAGCCTTACAGGAAAAAAACCCGTTTCCAATGAAGGCCTCTAAGTGGTCAAAATATCCACGTGCAGACTTTACAAACAGAGTGTTTCCACACTGCTGAATGAAAAGAAAAGTTAAACTCTGAGAGTTGAACGCACACATCGCAGAGCAGTTTCTGAGAATGATTCTGTCTAGTTTTTATACGAAGATATTTCCTTTTCTGCCTTTGGCCTCAAAGCGCTTGAAATCTCCACTTGCAAATTCCACAAAAAGAGTGTTTCAAATCTGCTCTGTGTAAATGAAAGTTCAACTCTGTGAGTTGAACACACACAACACAAGGAAGTTACTGGGAATTGTTTCTGTATAGCAGAATATGAAGGAATCCCGTTTCCAACGAAGGCCTCAAGGAGGTCTGAATATCCACTTGCAGACTTTACAAACAGAGTGTTTCCTACCTGCTCTATGAAAAGAAAGGTTAAACTCTGTGAGTTGAACGCACACATCACAAAGGAGTTTCTGAGAATCATTTTGTCTAGTTTCTATAAGAAGATATTTCCTATTCTACCATTGACCTCAAAGCGGCTGAAATCTCCACTTGCAAATTCGACAAAAAGAGTGTTTCAAGCCTGCTCGCTGTAAAGGATCCTTCAACTCTGTGAGTTGAATACACACAACACAAGGAAGTTACTGAGAATTCTTCTGTCTAGCAGAATATGAAGAAATCCCGTTTCCAACGAAGGCCTCAAACAGGTCTGAATATCCACTTGCAGACTTTACAAACAGAGTGTTTCCTAACTGCTCTATGAAAAGAAAAGTTAAACTCTGTGAGTTGAACGCACACATCACAAAAGATTTTCTGAGAATCATTCTGTCTAGTTTTGAAACGAAGATATTTCCTTTTCTGCCATTGACCTTAAAGTGCTTGAAATCTACACTTGCAAATTGCACAAATAGAGCGTTTCAAATCTGCTCTGTCTAAGGGAACGTTCATCTCTGTGAGTTGAATGCACACAACACAAGGAAGTTACTGGGAATGCTACCGTCTAGCCTTACATGAAAAAAAACCCGTTTCCAACGAAGGCCTCTAAGTGGTCAAAATATCCACGTGCAGACTTTACAAACAGAGTGTTTCCAAACTGCTGAATGAAAAGAAAAGTTAAACTCTGAGAGTTGAACGCACACATCACAGAGCAGTTTCTGAGAATGATTCTGACTAGTTTTTATACGAAGATATTTCCTTTTCTGCCTTTGGCCTCAAAGCGCTTGAAATCTCCACTTGCAAATTCCACAAAAAGAGTGTTTCCAATCTGCTCTGTGTAAATGAAAGTTCAACTCTGTGAGTTGAACACACACAACACAAGGAAGTTACTGGGAATTCTTCTGTCTAGCAGAATATGAAGAAATCCCGTTTCCAACGAAGACCTCAAGGAGGTCTGAATATCCACTTGCAGACTTTAGAGAGTGTTTCCTAACTGCTCTATGAAAAGAAAGGTTAAACTCTGTGAGTTGAACGCACACATCACAAAGGAGTTTCTGAGAATCATTCTATCTAATTTCTATAGGAAGATATTTCCTATTCTACGATTGACCTCAAAGCGGCTGAAATCTCCAATTGGAAATTCCACAAAAAGAGTGTTTCAAGTCTGCTCTCTGTAAAGGATCGTTCAACTCTGTGAGTTGAATACACACAACACAAGGAAGTTACTGAGAATTATTCTGTCTAGCATAATATGAAGAAATCCCGTTTCCAACGAAGGCCTCAAAGACGTCTGAATATCCACTTGCAGACTTTACAAACAGAGTGTTTCCTAACTGCTCTATGAAAAGAAAAGTTAAACTCTGTGAGTTCAACGCACACATCACAGAGGAGTTTATGAGAATCATTCTGTCTAGTTTTGAAACGAAGATATTTCCTTTTCTGCCATTGACCTCAAAGCGCTTGAAATCTCCACTTGCCAATTGCACAAAAAGAGTGTTTCAAATCTGCTCTGTCTAAGGGAACGTTCAACTCTGTGAGTTGAATGTACACAACACAAGGAAGTTACTGGGAATTCTTCTGTCTAGCCTTACATGAAAAAAAACCCGTTTCCAACGAAGGCCTCTAAGTGGTCAAAATATCCACGTGCAGACTTTACAAACAGAGTGTTTCCAAACTGCTGAATGAAAAGAAAAGTTAAACTCTGAGAGTTGAACGCACACATCACAGAGCGGTTTCTGAGAATGATTCTGTCTAGTTTTTATACGAAGACATTTCGTTTTCTGCCTTTGGCCCCAAAGCGCTTGAAATCTCCACTTGCAAATTCCACAAAAACAGTGTTTCAAATCTGCTCTCTCTAAATGAAAGTTCAACTCTGTCAGTTGAATACACACAACACAAGGAAGTTACTGAGAATTCTTCTATCTAGCCTTATATGAAAAAAACCCGTTTCCAACGAAGGCCTCAAAGAGGTCTGAATATCCACTTGCAGACTTTACAAACAGAGTGTTTCCTAACTGCTCTATGAAAAGAAAGGTTAAACTCTGTGAGTTGAACGCACACATCACAAAGGAGTTTCTGAGAATCATTCTGTCTAGTTTTTATAGGAAGTTATTTCCTTTTCTACCTTTGACTTCAAAGTGGCTGAAATCTCCACTTGCAAATTCCACAAAAAGAGTGTTACAAGTCTGCTCTGTGTAAAGGATCGTTCAACTCTGTGAGTTGAATACACACTACACAAGGAAGTTACTGAGAATTCTTCTGTCTAGCAGAATATGAAGAAATCCCGTTTCCAACGAAGGCCACATGATGTCAGAATATCCACTTACAGACTTTACAAACAGAGTGTTTCCTAACTGCTCTATGAAAAGAAAGGTTAAACCCTGTGTGTTGAACGAACACATCACAACGCAGTTTGTGGGAATGATTCTGTCTAGTTTTGAAACGAAGATATTTCCTTTTCTGCCTTTGGTCTCAAAGCGCTTCAAATCTCCACTGGCCAATTCCACATAAAGAGTGTTTCAAATCTGCTCTGTCTAAATGAAAGTTCAACTCTGTCAGTTGAATACACACAACACAAGGGAGTTTCTGAGAATTCTTCTGTCTAGCAGAATATGAAGAACTCCCGTTTCCAACGAAGGCCTCAAAGAGGTCTGAATATCCACTTGCAGACTTTATAAACAGAGTGTTTCCTAACTGCTCTATGAAAAGAAAAGTTAAACTCTGTGAGTTGAGCGCACACATCACAAAGGAGTTTCTGAGAATCATTCTGTCTAGTTTCTATTGGAAGATATTTCCTATTCAACCATTGACCTCAAAGCGGCTGAAATCTCCACTTGCAAATTCCACAAAAAGAGTGTTTCAAGTCTGCTCTGTGTAAAGGATCGTTCAACTCTGTGAGTTGAATACACACAACACAAGGAAGTTACTGAGAATTCTTCTGTCTAGCATAATATGAAGAAATCCCGTTTCCAACGATGGCCTCAAAGAGGACTGAATATCCACTTGCAGACTTAACAAACAGAGTGTTTCCTAACTGCTCTATGAAAAGAAAGGTTAAACTCTGTGAGTTGAACGCACACATCACAAAGGAGTTTCTGAGAATCATTCTGTCTAGTTTCTATAGGAAGATATTTCCTATTCTACGATTGACCTCAAAGCGGCTGAAATCTCCACTTGCAAATTCCACAAAAAGAATGTTTCAAGTCTGCTCTGTGTAAAGGATCGTTCAATTCTGTGAGTTGAATACACACAACACAAGGAAGTTACTGAGAATTCTTCTGTCTAGCAGAATATGAAGAAATCCCGTTTCCAACGAAGGTCACAAGATGTCAGAATATCCACTTACAGAATTTACAAACAGACTGTTTCCTAACTGCTCTATGAAAAGAAAGGTTAAACTCTGTGAGTTGAACGAACACATCACAACGCAGTTTGTGCCAATGATTCTGTCTAGTGTTTATAGGAAGATATTTCCTTTTCTACCTTTGACTTCAAAGCGGCTGAAATCTCCACTTGCAAATTCCACAAAAAGAGTGTTACAAGTCTGCTCTGTGTAAAGGAACGTTCAACTCTGTGAGTTGAATACACACAACACAAGGAAGTTACTGAGAATTCTTCTGTCTAGCCTTACATGAAAAAAACCCGTTTCCAACAAAGACCTCTAAGTGGTCAAATTATCCACATGCAGACTTTACAAACAGAGTGTTTCCAAACTGCTGAATGAAAAGAAAAGTTAAACTCTGAGAGTTGAACGCACACATCGCAGAGCAGTTTCTGAGAATGATTCTGTCTAGTTTTTATACGAAGATATTTCCTTTTCTGCCTCTGGCCTCAAAGCGCTTGAAACCTCCATTTGCAAATTCCACAAAAAGAGTGTTTCAAATCTGCTCTGTGTAAATGAAAGTTCAACTCTGTGAGTTGAACACACACAACACATGGAAGTTACTGGGAATTCTTCTGTCTAGCATAATATGAAGAAATCCCGTTTCCAACGAAGGCCTCAAAGAGATCTGAATATCCACTTGCAGACTTTACAAACAGAGTGTTTCCTAACGGCTCTATGAACAGAAAGGTTAAACTCTGTGAGTTGAACGCACACATCACAAAGGAGTTTCTGAGAATCATTCTGTCTAGTCTTTATAGGAAGATATTTACTTTTCTACCATTGACCTCAAAGCGGCTGAAATCTCCACTTGCAAATTCCACAAAAAGAGTGTTTCAAGTCTGCTCTGTGTAAAGGATCATTCAACTCTGTGAGTTGAATAAACACAACACAAGGAAGTTACTGAGAATTATTCTGTCTAGCAGAATATGAAGAAATCCCGTTTCAAACGAAGGCCACAAGATGTCAGAATATCCACTTACAGAATTTACAAACAGAGTGTTTCCTAACTGCTCTATGAAAAGAAAGGTTAAACTCTGTGAGTTGAACGAACACATCACAACGCAGTTTGTGGGAATGATTCTGTCCAGTTTTGAAACGAAGATATTTCCTTTTCTGCCATTGACCTTAAAGCGCTTGAAATATCCATTTGCCAATTGCACAAAAAGAGTGTTTCAAATCTGCTCTGTCTAAGGGAACCGTTCAACTCTGTGAGTTGAATGTACACAACACAAGGAAGTTACTGGGAATTCTTCTGTCTAGCCTTACATGAAAAAATCCCGTTTCCAACGAAGACCTCTAAGTGGTCAAATTATCCACGTGCAGACTTTACAAACAGAGTGTTTCCAAACTGCTGAATGAAAAGCAAAGTTAAACTCAGAGAGTTGAACGCACACATCGCAGAGCAGTTTCTGAGAATGATTCTGTCTAGTTTCTATAGGAAGATATTTCCTATTCTACCATTGACCTCAAAGCGGCTGAAATCTCCACTTGCAATTTCCACAAAAAGAGTGTTTCAAGACTGTTCTGTGTAAAGGATCATTCAACTCTGTGAGTTGAATACACACAACACAAGGAAGTTACTGAGAATTCTTCTTTCTAGCAGAATATGAAGAAATCCCGTTTCCAACGAAAACCTCAAGGATGTCTGAATATTCACTTGCAGACTTTACAAACAGAGTGTTTCCTAACTGCTCTATGAAAAGAAAGGTTAAACTCTGTGAGTTGAACGCACACATCACAAAGGAGTTTCTGAGAATCATTCTGTCTAGTTTTTATACGAAGATATTTCCTTTTCTACCATGGACCTCAAAGCGGCTGAAATCTCCACTTGCAAATTCCACAAAAAGAGTGTTTCAAGTCTGCTCTGTGTAAAGGATCGTTCAACTCTGTGAGATGTATACACACAACACAAGGAAGTTACTGAGAATTCTTCTGTCTAGCAGAATATGAAGAAATCCCGTTTCCAACGAAGGCCACAAGATATCAGAATATCCACTTACAGACTTTACAAAGAGAGTGTTTCCTAACTGCTCTATGAACAGAAAGGTTAAACTCTGTGAGTTGAACGAACACATCACAACGCAGTTTGTGGGAATGATTCTGTCTAGTTTTGAAACGAAGATATTTCCTTTTCTGCCGTTGACCTTAAAGGGCTTGAAATCTACACTTGCAAGTTGCACAAATAGAGTGTTTCAAATCTGCTCTGTCTAAGGGAACGTTCAACTCTGTGAGTTGAATGCACACAACACAAGGAAGTTACTGGGAATTCTTCTGTCCAGCCTTACATGAAAAAAACCCGTTTCCAACGAAGGCCTCTAAGTGGTCAAAATATCCACGTGCAGACTTTACAAACAGAGTGTTTCCAAACCGCTGAATGAAAAGAAAAGTTAAACTCTGAGAGTTGAACGCACACATCACGCAGCAGTTTCTGAGAATGATTCTGTCTAGTCTTTATACGAAGATATTTACTTTTCTACCATTGTCCTCAAAGCGGCTGAAATCTCCACTTGCAAATTCCACAAAAAGAGTGTTTCAAGTCTGCTCTGTGTAAAGGATCATTCAACTCTGTGAGTTGAATACACACAACACAAGGAAGTTACTGAGAATTCTTCTGTCTAGCAGAATATGAAGAAATCCCGTTTCCAACGAAGGCCTCAAGGAGGTCTGAATATCCACTTGCAGACTTTACAAACAGAGTGTTTCCTAACTGCTCTATGAACAGAAAGGTTAAACTCTGTGAGTTGAACGCACACATCACAAAGGAGTTTATGAGAATCATTCTGTCTAGTTTCTATAAGAAGATATTTCCTATTCTACCATTGACCTCAAAGCGGCTGAAATCTCCACTTGCAAATTCGACAAAAAGAGTGTTTCAAGCCTGCTCTCTGTAAAGGATCCTTCAACTCTGTGAGTTGAATACACACAACACAAGGAAGTTACTGTAGAATTATTCTGTCTAGTAGAATATGGAGAAATCCAGTTTCCAACGAAGGCCACAAGATGTCAGAATATCCACTTACAGACTTTACAAACAGAGTGTTTCCTAACTGCTCTATGAACAGAAAGGTTAAACTCTGTGAGTTGAACGAACACATCACAACGCAGTTTGTGGGAATGATTCTGTCTAGTTTTGAAACGAAGATATTTCCTTTTCTGCCGTTGACCTTAAAGCGCTTGAAATCTACACTTGCAAATTGCACAAATAGAGTGTTCCAAATCTGCTCTGTCTAAGGGAACGTTCAACTCTGTGAGTTGAATGCACACAACACAAGGAAGTTACTGGGAATTCTTCTGTCTAGCCTTACATGAAAAAAACCCGTTTCCAACGAAGGCCTCTAAGTGGTCAAAATTTCCACGTGCAGACTTTACAAACAGAGTGTTTCCAAACTGCTGAATGAAAAGAAAAGTTAAACTCTGAGAGTTGAACGCACACATCACGCAGCAGTTTCTGAGAATGATTCTGTCTAGTTTTTATACGAAGATATTTCCTTTTCTGCCTTTAGCCCCAAAGCGCTTGAAATCTCCTCTTGCAAATTCCACAAAAACAGTGTTTCAAATCTGCTCTCTCTAAATGAAAGTTCAACTCTGTCAGTTGAATACACACAACACAAGGAAGTTACTGAGAATTCTTCTGTCTAGCATAATATGAAGAAATCCCGTTTCCAACGAAGGCCTCAAAGGGGTCTGAATATCCACTTGCAGACTTTATAAACAGAGTGTTTACTAACTGCTCTAGGAAAAGAAAGGTTAAACTCTGTGAGTTGAACGCACACATCACAAAGGAGTTTCTGAGAATCATTATGTCTAGTTTCTATAGGAAGATATTTCCTATTCTACCATTGACCTCAAAGCGGCCGAAATCTCCACTTGCAAATTCCACAAAAAGAGTGTTTCAAGTCTGCTCTCTGTAAAGGATCGTTCAACTCTGTGAGTTGAATACACACAACACAAGGAAGTTACTGAGAATTATTCTGTCTAGCAGAATATGAAGAAATCCCGTTTCCAACGAAGGCCACAAGATGTCAGAATATCCACTTACAGACTTTACAAACAGTGTGTTTCCTAACTGCTCTATGAACGGAAAGGTTAAACTCTGTGAGTTGAACGAACACATCTCAACGCAGTTTGTGGGAATGATTCTGTCTAGTTTTGAAACGAAGATATTTCCTTTTCTGCCATTGACCTTAAAGCGCTTGAAATCTACACTTGCAAATTGCACAAATAGAGTGTTTCAAATCTGCTCTGTCTAAGGGAACGTTCAACTCTGTGAGTTGAATGCACACAACACAAGGAAGTTACTGGGAATTCTTCTGTCTAGCCTTACAGGAAAAAAACCCATTTCCAACGAAGGCCTCTAAGTGGTCAAAATATCCACGTGCAGACTTTACAAACAGAGTGTTTCCAAACTGCTGAATGAAAAGAAAAGTTAAACTCTGAGAGTTGAAGGCACACATCGCAGAGCAGTTTCTGAGAATGATTCTGTCTAGTTTTCAAACGAAGATATTTCCTTTTCTGCCTTTGGCCTCAAAGCGCTTGAAATCTCCACTTGCAAATTCCACAAAAAGAGTGTTTCAAATCTGCTCTGTGTAAATGAAAGTTCAAACTCTGTGAGTTGAACACACACAACACAAGGAAGTTACTGGGAATTCTTCTCTCTAGCAGAATATGAAGAAATCCCGTTTCCAACGAAGGCCTCAAAGAGGTCTGAATATCCACTTGCAGACTTTACAAACAGAGTGTTTCCTAACTGCTCTATGAAAAGAAAGGTTAAACTCTGTGAGTTGAATGCACACATCAGAAAGGAGTTTCTGAGAATCATTCTGTCTAGTTTCTATAGGAAGATATTTCCTATTCTACCATTGACCTCAAAGCGGCTGAAATATCCACTTGCAAATTCCACCAAAAGAGTGTTTCAAGTCTGCTCTGTGTAAAGGATCGTTCAACTCTGTGAGTTAAATACACACAACACAAGGAAGTTACTGAGAATTCTTCTGTCTAGCACAGTATGAAGAAATCCCGTTTCCAACGAAGGCCACTAGATGTCAGAATATCCACTTACAGAATTGAAAAACAGACTGTTTCCTAACTGCTCTATGAAAAGAAAGGTTAAACTCTGTGAGTTGAACGAACACATCACAACGCAGTTTGTGGGAATGATTCTGTCTAGTTTTGAAACGAAGATATTTCCTTTTCTGCCATTGACCTTAAAGCGCTTGAAATCTCCACTTGCCAATTGCACAAAAAGAGTATTTCAAATCTGCTCTGTCTAAGGGAACGTTCAACTCTGTGAGTTGAATGTACACAACACAAGGAAGTTACTGGGAATTCTTCTGTCTAGCCTTACATGAAAAAAACCCGTTTCCAACGAAGGCCTCTAAGTGGTCAAATTATCCACGTGCAGACTTTACAAACAGAGTGTTTTCAAACTGCTGAATGAAAAGAAAAGTTAAACTCTGAGAGTTGAACGCACACATCGCAGAGCAGTTTCTGAGAATGATTCTGTCTAGTTTTTATACGAAGATATTTCCTTTTCTGCCTTTGGCCTCACAGCGCTTGAAATCTCCACTTGCAAATTCCACAAAAAGAGTGTTTCAAATCTGCTCTGTGTAAATGAAAGTTCAACTCTGTGAGTTGAACACACACAACACAAGGAAGTTACTGGGAATTCTTCTGTCTAGCAGAATATGAAGAAATCCCGTTTCCAACGAAGGACTCAAAGAGGTCTGAATATCCACTTGCAGACTTTACAAACAGAGTGTTTCCTAACTGCTCTATGAAAAGAAAGGTTAAACTCTGTGAGTTGAACGCACACATCACAAAGGAGTTTCTGAGAATCATTCTGTCTAGTTTCTATTGGAAGATATTTCCTATTCTACCATTGACCTCAAAGCGGCTGAAATCTCCACTTGCAAATTCCACAAAAAGAGTGTTTCAAGTCTGCTCTGTGTAAAGGATCGTTCAACTCTGTGAGTTGAATACACACAACACAAGGAAGTTACTGAGAATTCTTCTGTCTAGCAGAATATGAAGAAATCCCGTTTCCAACGAAGGCCACAAGATGTCAGAATATCCACTTACAGACTTTACAAACAGAGTGTTTCCTAACTGCTCTATGAACCGAAAGGTTAAACTCTGTGAGTTGAACGAACACATCACAACGCAGTTTGTGGGAATGATTCTGTCTAGTTTTGAAACGAAGATATTTCCTTTTCTGCCATTGACCTTAAAGCGCTTGTAATCTCCACTTGCCAATTGCCCAAAAAGAGTGTTTCAAATCTGCTCTGTCTAAGGGAACGTTCAACTCTGTGAGTTGAATGTACACAACACAAGGGAAGTTACTGGGAATTCTTCTGTCTAGCAGAATATGAAGAAATCCCGTTTCCAACGAAGACCTCAAAGAGGTCTGAATATCCACTTGCAGACTTTACAAACAGAGTGTTTCCTAACTGCTCTATGAAAAGAAAGGTTAAACTCCGTGAGTTGAACGCACACATCACAAATGAGTTTCTGAGAATCATTCTGTCTAGTTTCTATAGGAAGATATTTCCTATTCTACCATTGACCTCAAAGCGGCTGAAATCTCCACTTGCAAATTCCACAAAAAGAGTATTTCAAGTCTGCTCTGTGTAAAGGATCGTTCAACTCTGTGAGTTGAATAAACACAACACAAGGCAGTTACTGAGAATTCTTCTGTCTAGCATAATATGAAAAAATCCCGTTTCCAACGAAGGCCTCAAAGAGGTCTGAATATCCACTTGCAGACTTTACAAACAGAGTGTTTCCTAACTGCTCTATGAAAAGAAAAGTTAAACTCTGTGATTTGAACGCACACATCACAAAGGAGTTTCTGAGAATCATTCTGTCTAGTTTTTATACGAAGATATTTCCTTTTCTACCATTGACCTCAAAGAGGCTGAAATCTCCACTTGCAAATTCCACAAAAAGAGTGTTTCAAATCTGCTCTGTGTAAACCATCGTTCAACTCTGTGAGTTGAATACACACAACACAAGGAAGTTACTGAGAATTCTTCTGTCTAGCAGAATATGAAGAAATCCCGTTTCCAACCAAGGCCACAAGATGTCAGAATATCCACTTACAGACTTTACAAACAGAGTGTTTCCTAACTGCTCTATGAACAGAAAGGTTAAACTCTGTGAGTTGAACGAACACATCACAACGCAGTTTGTGGGAATGATTCTGTCTAGTTTTGAAACGAAGACATTTCCTTTTCTGCCATTGACCTTAAAGCGCTTGAAATCTACACTTGCAAATTGCACAAATAGAGTGTTTCAAATCTGCTCTGTCTAAGGGAACGTTCAACTCTGTGAGTTGAATGCACACAACACAAGGAAGTTACTGGGAATTCTTCTGTCTAGCCTTACATGAAAAAAACCCGTTTCCAACGAAGGCCTCTAAGTGGTCAAGTTATCCACGTGCAGACTTTACAAACAGAGTGTTTCCAAACTGCTGAATGAAAAGAAAAGTTAAACTCTGAGAGTTGAACGCACACATCGCAGAGCAGTTTCTGAGAATGATTCTGTCTAGTTTCTATAAGAAGATATTTCCTATTCTACCATTGACCTCAAAGCGGCTGAAATCTCCACAAGCAAATTCCACAAAAAGAGTGTTTCAAGTCTGCTCTGTGTAAAGGATCATTCAACTCTGTGAGTTGAATACACACAACACAAGGAAGTTACTGAGAATTATTCTTTCTAGCAGAATATGAAGAAATCCCGTTTCCAACGAAAGCCTCAAGGATGTCTGAATATCCACTTGCAGACTTTACAAACAGAGTGTTTCCTAACTACTCTATGAAAAGAAAGGTTAAACTCTGTGAGTTGAACGCACACATCACAAAGGAGTTTCTGAGAATCATTCTGTCTAGTTTTTCTACGAAGATATTTCCTTTTCTACTATTGACCTCAAAGCGGCTGAAATCTCCACTTGCAAATTCCACAAAAAGAGTGTTTCAAGTCTGCTCTGTGTAAAGGATCGTTCAACTCTGTGAGTTGAATACACACAACACAAGGAAGTTACTGATAATTCTTCTGTCTAGCAGAATGTGAAGAAATCCCGTTTCCAACGAAGGCCACAAGATGTCAGAATATCCACTTACAGAATTGACAAACAGACTGTTTCCTAACTGCTCTATGAAAAGAAAGGTTAAACTCTGTGAGTTGAACGAACACATCACAACGCAGTTTGTGGGAATGATTCTGTCTAGTTTTGAAACGAAGATATTTCCTTTTCTGCCATTGACCTTAAAGCGCTTGAAATCTCCATTTGCCAATTGCACAAAAAGAGTGTTTCAAATCTGCTCTGTCTAAGGGAACGTTCAACTCTGTGAGTTGAATGTACACAACACAAGGAAGTTACTGGGAATTCTTCTGTCTAGCCTTACAGGAATAAAACCCGTTTCCAACGAAGGCCTCTAAGTGGTCAAAATATCCACGTGCAGACTTTACAAAGAGAGTGTTTCCAAACTGCTGAATGAAAAGAAAAATTAAACTCTGAGAGTTGAATGCACACATCGCAGAGCAGTTTCTGAGAATGATTCTGTCTAGTTTTTATACGAAGATATTTCCTTTTCTGCCTTTGGCCCCAAAGCGCTTGAAATCTCCACTTGCAAATTCCACAAAAACAGTGTTTCAAATGTGCTCTCTCTAAATGAAAGTTCAGCTCTGTCAGTTGAATACACACAACACAAGGAAGTTACTGAGAATTCTTCTGTCTAGCCTTACATGAAAAAACCCCGTTGCCAACGAAGGCCTCAAAGAAGTCCAAATATCCACGTGCAGACTTTACAAACAGAGTGTTTCCTAACTGCTCTATGAAAAGAAAGGTTAAACTCTGTGAGTTGAACGCACACATCACAAAGGAGTTTCTGAGAATCATTCTGTCTAGTTTTTATACGAAGATATTTCCTTTTCTACCATTGACCTCAAAGCGGCTGAAATCTCCAATTGCAAATTCCACAAAAAGAGTGTTTCGAGTCTGCTCTGTGTAAAGGATCGTTGAACTCTGTGAGTTGAATACACACAACACAAGGAAGTTACTGAGAATTCTTCTGTCTAGCAGAATATGAAGAAATCCCGTTTCCAACGAAGGCCACAAGATGTCAGAATATCCACTTACAGACTTTACAAACAGAGTGTTTCCTAACTGCTCTATGAACAGAAAGGTTAAACTCTATGAGTTGAACGAACACATCACAACGCAGTTTGTGGGAATGATTCTGTCTAGTTTTGAAACGAAGATATTTCCTTTTCTGCCATTGACCTTAAAGCGCTTGAAATCTACACTTGCAAATTGCACAAATAGAGTGTTTCAAATCTGCTCTGTCTAAGGGAACGTTCAACTCTGTGAGTTGAATGCACACAACACAAGGAAGTTACTGGGAATTCTTCTGTCTAGCCTTACATGAAAAAAACCCGTTTCCAACGAAGGCCTCTAAGTGGTCAAAATTTCCACGTGCAGACTTTACAAACAGAGTGTTTCCAAACCGCTGAATGAAAAGAAAAGTTAAACTCTGAGAGTTGAACGCACACATCACGCAGCAGTTTCTGAGAATGATTCTGTATAGTTTCTATAGCAAGATATTTCCTATTCTACCATTGACCTCAAAGCGGCTGAAATCTCCACTTGCAAATTCCACAAAAAGAGTGTTTCAAGTCTGCTCTGTGTAAAGGATCGTTCAACTCTGTGAGTTGAATACAGACAACACAAGGAAGTTACTGAGAATTCTTCTTTCTAGCAGAATATGAAGAAATCCCTTTTCCAACGAAAGCCTCAAGGATGTCTGAATATCCACTTGCAGACTTTACAAACAGAGTGTTTCCCAACTGCTCTATGAAAAGAAAGGTTAAACTCTGTGAGTTGAACGCACACATCACAAAGGAGTTTCTGAGAATCATTCTGTCTAGTTTCTATAGGAAGATATTTCCTATTCTACCATTGACCTCAAAGCGGCTGAAATCTCCACTTGCAAATTCCACAAAAAGAGTGTTTCAAGTCTGCTCTCTGTAAAGGATCGTTCAACTCTGTGAGTTGAATACACACAACAAAAGGAAGTTACTGAGAATTATTCTGTCTAGCAGAATATGAAGAAATCCCGTTTCCAACGAAGGCCTCAAAGAGGTCTGAATATCCACTTGCAGACTTTACAAACAGAGTGTTTCCTAACTGCTCTATGAAAAGAAAAGTTAAACTCTGTGTGTTGAACGCACACATCACAAAGGAGTTTACTGAGAATCATTCTGTCTAGTTTTTATAGGAAGTTATTTCCTTTTCTACCTTTGACTTCAAAGTGGCTGAAATCTCCACTTGCAAATTCCACAAAAAGAGTGTTACAAGTCTGTTCTGTGTAAAGGATCGTTCAACTATGTGAGTTGAATACACACAACACAAGGAAGTTACTGAGAATTCTTCTGTCTAGCCTTACATGAAAAAAACCCGTTTCCAACGAAGGCCTCTAAGTGGTCAAGTTATCCACGTGCAGACTTTACAAACAGAGTGTTTCCAAACTTCTGAATGAAAAGAAAAGTTAAACTCTGAGAGTTGAACGCACACATCGCAGAGCAGTTTCTGAGAATGATTCTGTCTAGTTTTTATACGAAGATATTTCCTTTTCTGCCTTTGGCCCCAAAGCGCTTGAAATCTCCACTTGCAAATTCCACAAAAACAGTGTTTCAAGTCTGCTCTCTCTAAATGAAAGTTCAACTCTGTCAGTTGAATACACACAACACAAGGAAGTTACTGAGAATTCTTCTGTCTAGCATAGTATGAAGAAATCCCGTTTCCAACGAAGGCCTCAAAGAGGTCTGAATATCCACTTGCAGAGTTTACAAACAGAGTGTTTCGTAACTGCTCTATGAAAAGAAAGGTTAAACTCTGTGAGTTGAACGCACACATCACAAAGAAGTTTCTGAGAATCATTCTGTCTAGTTGTTATACGAAGATATTTCCTTTTCTACCGTGGACCTCAAAGCGGCTGAAATCTCCACTTGCAAATTCCACAAAAAGAGTGTTTCAAGTCTGCTCTGTGTAAAGGATCGTTCAACTCTGTGAGTTGAATACACACAACACAAGGAAGATTCTGAGAATTCTTCTGTCTAGCACAGTATGAAGAAATCCGGTTTCCAACGAAGGCCTCAAAGAGGTCTGAATATCCACTTGCAGAGTTTACAAACAGAGTGTTTCCTAACTGCTCTATGAAAAGAAAGGTTAAACTCTGTGAGTTGAACACACACATCTCAAAGGAGTTTCTGAGAATCATTCTGTCTAGTTTTGAAACGAAGATATTTCCTTTTCTGCCATTGACCTTAAAGCGCTTGAAATCTCCATTTGCCAATTGCACAAAAAGAGTGTTTCAAATCTGCTCTGTCTAAGGGAACGTTCAACTCTGTGAGTTGAATGTACACAACACAAGGAAGTTACTGGGAATTCTTCTGTCTAGCCTTACAAGAATAAAACCCGTTTCCAACGAAGGCCTCTAAGTGGTCAAAATATCCACGTGCAGACTTTACAAAGAGAATGTTTCCAAACTGCTGAATGAAAAGAAAAATTAAACTCTGAGAGTTGAATGCACACATCGCAGAGCAGTTTCTGAGAATGATTCTGTCTAGTTTTGAAACGGAGATATTTCCTTTTCTGCCTTTGGCCTCAAAGCGCTTGAAATCTCCGCTTGCAAATTCCACAAAAAGAGTGTTTCAAATCTGCTCTGTGTAAATGAAAGTTCAACTCTGTGAGTTGAACACACACAACACAAGGAAGTTACTGGGAATTCTTCTGTCTAGCCTTATATGAAAAAAACCCGTTTCCAACGAAGGCCTCAAAGAGGTCTGAATATCCTCTTGCAGACTTTACAAACAGAGTGTTTCCTAACTGCTCTATGAAAAGAAAGGTTAAACTCTGTGAGTTGAACGCACACATCACAAAGGAGTTTCTGAGAATCATTCTGTCTAGTTTCTATAGGAAGATATTTCCTATTCTACCATTGAATAAAAAGCGGCTGAAATCTACACCTGCAAATTCCACAAAAAGAGTGTTTCAAGTCTGCTCTGTGTAAAGGATCGTTCAACTTTGTGAGTTGAATTCACACAACACAAGGAAGTTACTGAGAATTCTTCTGTCTAGCATAATATGAAGAAATCCCGTTTCCAACGAAGGCCTCAAGGAGGTCTGAATATCCACTTGCACACTTTACAAACAGAGTGTTTCCCAACTGCTCTATGAAAAGAAAGGTTGAACTCTGTGAGTTGAACGCACACATCACAAAGGAGTTTCTCAGAATCATTCTGTCTAATTTTGAAACGAAGATATTTCCTTTTCTGCCATTGACCTTAATGCGCTTGAAATCTACACTTGCAAATTGCACAAATAGAGTGTTTCAAATCTGCTCTGTCTAAGGGAACGTTCAACTCTGTGAGTTGAATGCACACAACACAAGGAAGTTACTGGGAATTCTTCTGTCTAGCCTTACATGAAAAAAACCCGTTTCCAACGAAGGCCTCTAAGTGGTCAAAATATCCACGTGCAGACTTTACAAACAGAGTGTTTCCAAACCGCTGAATGAAAAGAAAAGTTAAACTCTGAGAGTTGAACGCACACATCACGCAGCAGTTTCTGAGAATGATTCTGTCTAGTTTTTATACGAAGATATTTCCTTTTCTGCCTTTGGTCCCAAAGCGCTTGAAATCTCCACTTGCAAATTCCACAAAAACAGTGTTTCAAATCTGCTCTCTCTAAATGAAAGTTCAACTCTGTCAGTTGAATACACAAAACACAAGGAAGTTACTGAGAATTCTTCTTTATAGCAGAATATGAAGAAATCCCGTTTCCAACGAAAGCCTCAAGGATGTCTGAATATCCACTTGCAGACTTTACAAACAGAGTGTTTCCCAACTGCGCTATGAAAAGAAAGGTTAAACTCTGTGAGTTGAACGCACACATCACAAAGGAGTTTCTGAGAATCATTCTGTCTAGTTTCTATAGGAAGATATTTCCTATTCTACCATTGACCTCAAAGCGGCTGAAATCTCCACTTGCAAATTCCACAAAAAGAGTGTTTCAAGACTGTTCTGTGTAAAGGATCATTCAACTCTGGTGAGTTGAATACACACAACACAAGGAAGTTACTGAGAATTCTTCTGTCTAGCAGAATATGAAGAAATCCCGTTTCCAACGAAGGCCACAAGATGTCAGAATATCCACTTACAGACTTTACAAACAGAGTGTTTCCTAACTGCTCTATGAACAGAAAGGTTAAACCCTGTGAGTTGAACGAACACATCACAACGCAGTTTGTGGGAATGATTATCTGTCTAGTTTTGAAACGACGATATTTCCTTTTCTGCCATTGACCTTAAAGCGCTTGAAATCTACACTTGCAAATTGCACAAATAGAGTGTTTCAAATCTGCTCTGTCTAAGGGAACGTTCAACTCTGTGAGTTGAATGCACACAACACAAGGAAGTTGCTGGGAATTCTTCTGTCTAGCCTTACAGGAAAAAAACCCGTTTCCAACGAAGGCCTCTAAGTGGTCAAAATATCCACGTGCAGACTTTACAAACAGAGTGTTTCCAAACTGCTGAATGAAAAGAAAAGTTAAACTCTGAGAGTTGAACGAACACATCGCAGAGCAGTTTCTGAGAATGATTCTGTCTAGTCTTTATACGAAGATAGTTTCCTTTTCTACCATTGACCTCAAAGCGGCTGAAATCTCCACTTGCAAATTCCACAAAAAGAGTTTTTCAAGTCTGCTCTTTGTAAAGGATCGTTCAACTCTGTGAGTTGAATACACACAACACAAGGAAGTTACTGAGAATTCTTCTGTCTAGCAGAATATGAAGAAATCCCGTTTCCAACGAAGGCCTCAAGGAGGTCTGAATATCCACTTGCAGACTTTACAAACAGAGTGTTTCCTAACTGCTCTATGAAAAGAAAGGTGAAACTCTGTGAGTTGAATGCACACATCACAAAGGAGTTTATGAGAATCATTCTGTCTAGTTTCTATAGGAAGATATTTCCTGTTCTACCATTGACCTCAAAGCGGCTGAAATCTGCGCTTGCAAATTCCACAAAAAGAGTGTTTCAAGTCTGTTCTGTGTAAAGGATCGTTCAACTCTGTGAGTTGAATACACACAACACAAGGAAGTTACTGAGAATTCTTCTGTCTAGCAGAATATGAAGAAATCCCGTTTCCAACGAAGGCCTCAAGGAGGTCTGAATATCCACTTGCAGACTTTACAAACAGAGTGTTTCCTAACTGCTCTATGAACAGAAAGGTTAAACTCTGTGAGTTGAACGAACACATCACAACGCAGTTTGTAGGAATGATTCTGTCTAGTTTTGAAACGAAGATATTTCCTTTTCTGCCGTTGACCTTAAAGCGCTTGAAATCTACACTTGCAAATTGCACAAATAGAGTGTTTCAAATCTGCTCTGTCTAAGGGAACGTTCAACTCTGTGAGTTGAATGCACACAACACAAGGAAGTTACTGGGAATTCTTCTGTCTAGCCTTACATGAAAAAAACCCGTTTCCAACGAAGGCCTCTAAGTGGTCAAAATATCCACGTGCAGACTTTACAAACAGAGTGTTTCCAAACCGCTGAATGAAAAGAAAAGTTAAACTCTGAGAGTTGAACGCCCACATCACGCAGCAGTTTCTGAGAATGATTCTGTCTAGTTTTTATACGAAGATATTTCCTTTTCTGCCTTTGGCCTCAAAGCGCTTGAAATCTCCATTAGCAAATTCCACAAAAAGAGTGTCTCAAATCTGCTCTGTGTAAAGGACCGTTCACCTCTGTGAGTTGAACACACACAACACAAGGAAGTTACTGGGAATTCTTCTGTCTAGCATAGTATGAAGAAATCCCGTTTCCAACGAAGGCCTCAAAGAGGTCTGAATATCCACTTGCATAGTTTACAAACAGAGTGTTTCCTAACTGCTCTATGAAAAGAAAGGTTAAACTCTGTGAGTTGAACGCACACATCACAAAGAAGTTTCTGAGAATCATTCTGTCTAGTCTTTATACGAAGATAGTTTCCTTTTCTACCATTGACCTCAAAGCGGCTGAAATCTCCACTTGCAAATTCCACAAAAAGAGTGTTTCAAGTCTGCTCTGTGTAAAGGATCGTTCAACTCTGTGAGTTGAATACAGACAACACAAGGAAGTTACTGAGAATTCTTCTGTCTAGCAGAATATGAAGAAATCCCGTTACCAACGAAGGCCTCAAGGAGGTCTGAATATCCACTTGCAGACTTTACAAACAGAGTGTTTCCTAACTGCTCTATGAAAAGAAAGGTGAAACTCTGTGAGTTGAATGCACACATCACAAAGGAGTTTATGAGAATCATTCTGTCTAGTTTTGAAACGAAGATATTTCCTTTTCTGCCGTTGACCTTAAAGAGCTTGAAAACTACACTTGCAAATTGCACAAATAGAGTGTTTCAAATCTGCTCTGTCTAAGGGAACGTTCAACTCTGTGAGTTGAATGCACACAACACAAGGAAGTTACTGGGAATTCTTCTGTCTAGCCTTACATGAAAAAAACCCGTTTCCAACGAAGGCCTCTAAGTGGTCAAAATTTCCACGTGCAGACTTTACAAACAGAGTGTTTCCAAACCGCTGAATGAAAAGAAAAGTTAAACTCTGAGAGTTGAACCCACACATCACGCAGTAGTTCCTGAGAATGATTCTGTCTAGTTTTTATACGAAGATATTTCCTTTTCTGCCTTTGGCCCCAAAGCGCTTGAAATCTCCACTTGCAAATTCCACAAAAACAGTGTTTCAAATCTGCTCTCTCTCGAAATGAAAGTTCAACTCTGTCAGTTGAATACACACAACACAAGGAAGTTACTGAGAATTCTTCTGTCTAGCACAGTATGGAGAAATCCCGTTTCCAACGAAGGCCTCAAAGAGGTCTGAATATCCACTTGCAGAGTTTACAAACAGAGTGTTTCCTAACTGCTCTATGAAAAGAAAGGTTAAACTCTGTGAGTTGAACGCACACATCACAATGAAGTTTCTGAGAATCATTCTGTCTAGTTTTTATACGAAGATATTTCCTTTTCTACCATTGACCTCAAAGCGGCTGAAATCTCCACTTGCAAATTCCACAAAAAGAGTGTTTCAAGTCTGCTCTGTGTAAAGGATCGTTCAACTCTGTGAGTTGAAAACACACAACACAACGAAGTTTCTGAGAATTCTTCTGTCTAGCAGAATATGAAGAAATCCCGTTTCCAACGAAGGCCACAAGACGTCAGAATATCCACTTACAGACTTTACAAACAGAGTGTTTCCTAACTGCTCTATGAACAGAAAGGTTAAACTCTGTGAGTTGAACGAACACATCACAACGCAGTTTCTGGGAATGATTCTGTCTAGTTTTAAAACGAAGAAATTTCCTTTTCTGCCATTGACCTTAAAGCGCTTGAAATCTACACTTGCAAATTGCACAAATAGAGTGTTTCAAATCTGCTCTGTCTAAGGGAACGTTCAACTCTGTGAGTTGAATGCACACAACACAAGGAAGTTACTGGGAATTCTTCTGTCTAGCCTTATATGAAAAAAACCCGTTTCCAACGAAGGCCTCAAAGAGGTCTGAATATCGACTTGCAGACTTTACAAACAGAGTGTTTCCTATCTGCTCTATGAAAAGAAAGGTGAAACTCTGTGAGTTGAACACACACATCGCAGAGCAGTTTCTGAGAATGATTCTGTCTAGTCTTTATACGTAGATAGTTTCCTTTTCTACCATTGACCTCAAAGCGGCTGAAGTCTCCACTTGCAAATTCCACAAAAAGAGTGTTTCAAGTCTGCTCTCTGTAAAGGATCGTTCAACTCTGTGAGTTGAATACACACAACACAAGGAAGTTACTGAGAATTCTTCTGTCTAGCATAATATGAAGAAATCTCCGTTTCCAACGAAGGCCTCAAGGAGTTCTGAATATCCACTTGCAGACTTTACAATCAGAGTGTTTCCTAACTGCTCTATGAAAAGAAAGGTTAAACTCTGTGAGTTGAACGCACACATCACAAAGGAGTTTCTGAGAATCATTCTGTCTAGTTTCTATAGGAAGATATTTCCTATTCTACCATTGACCTCAAAGCGGCTGAAATCTCCACTTGCAAATTCCACAAAAAGAGTGTTTCAAGTCTGCTCTGTGTAAAGGATCGTTGAACTCTGTGAGTTGAAAACACACAACACAAGGAAGTTTACTGAGAATTGCTCTGTCTAGCAGAATATGAAGAAATCCCGTTTCCAACGAAGGCCACAAGATGTCAGAATATCCACTTACAGAATTTTCAAACAGACTGTTTCCTAACTGCTCTATGAAAAGAAAGGTTAAACTCTGTGAGATGAACGAACACATCACAACGCAGTTTGTGGGAATGATTTCTGTCTAGTTTTGAAACGAAGATATTTCCTTTTCTGTCATTGACCTCAAAGCGCTTGAAATCTCCACTTGCCAATTGCACAAAAAGAGTGTTTCAAATCTGCTCTGTCTAAGGGAACGTTCAACTCTGTGAGTTGAATGTACACAACACAAGGAAGTTACTGGGAATTCTTCTGTCTAGCCTTACATGAAAAAAACCCGTTTCCAACGAAGGTCTCTAAGTTGTCAAATTATCCACGTGCAGACTTTACAAACAGAGTGTTTCCAAACTGCTGAATGAAAAGAAAAGTTAAACTCTGAGATTTGTACGCACACATCGCAGAGCAGTTTCTGAGAATGATTCTGTCTAGTTTTTATACGAAGATATTTCCTTTTCTGCCTTTGGCCTCAAAGTGCATGAATTCTCCATTTGCAAATTCCACAAAAAGAGTGTTTCAAATCTGCTCTGTCTAAATGAAAGTTCAACTCTGTGAGTTCAACACACACAACACAAGGAAGTTACTGGGAATTCTTCTGTCTAGCATAATATGAAGAAATCCCGTTTCCAAGGAAGGCCTCAAGGAGGTCTGAATATCCACTTGCAGAGTTTACAAACGGAGTGTTTCCAAACTGCTCTATGAAAAGAAAGGTTAAACTCTGTGAGTTGAACGCACACATCACAAAGGAGTTTCTCAGAATCATTCTGTCTAGTTTTTATACGAAGATATTTCCTTTTCTACCATGGACCTCAAAGCGGCTGAAATCTCCACTTGCAAATTCCACAAAAAGAGTGTTTCAAGTGTGCTCTGTGTAAAGGATCATTCAACTCTCTGAGTTGAATACACACAACAGAAGGAAGATTCTGAGAATTCTTCTGTCTAGCAGAATATGAAGAAATCCCGTTTCCAACGAAGGCCACAAGATGTCAGAATATCCACTTACAGACTTTACAAACAGAGTGTTTCCTAACTGCTCTATGAACAGAAAGGTTAAACTCTGTGAGTTGAACGCACACATCACAAAGGAGTTTCTGAGAATCATTCTGTCTAGTTTTGAAACGAAGATATTTCCTTTTCTGCCGTTGACCTTAAAGCGCTTGAAATCTACACTTGCAAATTGCACAAATAGAGTGTTTCAAATCTGCTCTGTCTAAGGGAACGTTCAACTCTGTGAGTTGAATGCACACAACACAAGGAAGTTACTGGGAATTCTTCTGTCTAGCCTTACAGGCAAAAAAACCCGTTTCCAACGAAGGCCTCTAAGTGGTCAAAATATCCACGTGCAGACTTTACAAACAGAGTGTTTTCAAACTGCTGAATGAAAAGAAAAGTTAAACTCTGAGAGTTGAACGCACACATCGCAGAGCAGTTTCTGAGAATGATTCTGTCTAGTTTTTATACGAAGATATTTCCTTTTCTGCCTTTGGCCTCAAAGCGCTTGAAATCTCCACTTGCAAATTCCACAAAAAGAGTGTTTCAAATCTGCTCTGTGTATATGAAAGTTCAACTCTGTGAGTTGAACACACACAACACAAGGAAGTTACTGGGAATTCTTCTGTCTAGCAGAATATGAAGAAATCCCGTTTCCAACGAAGGCCTCAAAGAGGTCTGAATATCCACTTGCAGACTTTACAAACAGAGTGTTTCCTAACTGCTCTATGAAAAGAAAGGTTAAACTCTGTGAGTTGAACGCACACATCACAAAGGAGTTTTGAGAATCATTCTGTCTAGTCTTTATACGAAGATATTTCCTTTTCTACCATTGACCACAAAGCGGCTGAAATCTCCACTTGCAAATTCCACAAAAAGAGTGTTTCAAGTCTGCTCTGTGTAAAGGATCGTTCAACTCTGTGAGTTGAATAAACACAACACAAGGAAGTTACTGAGAATTCTTCTGTCTAGCAGAATATGAAGAAATCCCGTTTCCAACGAAGGTCTCAACGAGGTCTGAATATCCACTTGCAGACTTTACAAACAGAGCGTTTCCTAACTGCTCTATGAAAAGAAATGTTAAACTCTGTGAGTTGAACACACACATCACAAAGGAGTTTCTGAGAATCATTCTGTCTAGTTTTGAAACGGAGATATTTCCTTTTCTGCCATTGACCTTAAAGCGCTTGAAATCTACACTTGCAAATTACACAAATAGAGTGTTTCAAATCTGCTCTGTCTAAGGGAACGTTCATCTCTGTGAGTTGAATGCACACAACACAAGGAAGTTACTGGGAATTCTTCTGTCTAGCCTTACATGAAAAAAACCCGTTTCCAACGAAGGCCTCTAAGTGGTCAAAATATCTACGTGCAGACTTTGCAGAGTGTTTCCAAACTGCTGAATGAAAAGAAAAGTTAAACTCTGAGAGTTGTACGCACACATCACAGAGCAGTTTCTGAGAATGATTCTGTCTAGTTTTGAAACGAAGATATTTCCTTTTCTGCCTTTGGCCTCAAAGCCCTTGAAATCTCCACTTGCAAATTCCACAAAAAGAGTGTTTCAAATCTGCTCTGTGTAAATGAAAGTTCAACTCTGTGAGTTGAACACACACAACACAAGGAAGTTACTGGGAATTCTTCTGTCTAGCAGAATATGAAGAAATCCCGTTTCCAACGAAGGCCTCAAAGAGGTCTCAATATCCACTTGCAGACTTTACAAACAGAGTGTTTCCTAACTGCTCTATGAAAAGAAAAGTTAAACTCTGTGAGTTGAACGCACACATCACAAAGGAGTTTCTGAGAATCATTCTGTCTAGTTTCTATACGAAGATATTTCCTTTTCTACCATTGACCTCAAAGCGGCTGAAATCTCCACTTTCAAATTCCACAAAAAGAGTGTTTCAAGTCTGCTCTGTGTAAAGGATCTTTCAACTCTGTGAGTTGAATACACACAACACAAGGAAGTTACTGAGAATTCTTCTGTCTAGGAGAATATGAAGAAATCCCATTTCCAACCAAGGCCACAAAATGTCAGAATATCCACTTACAGACTTTACAAACAGAGTGTTTCCTAACTGCTCTATGAACAAAAAGGTTAAACTCTGTGAGTTGAACGAACACATCACAACGCAGTTTGTGGGATTGATTCTGTCTAGTTTTTATACGAAGATATTCCCTTTTCTACCATTGACCTCAAAGCGGCTGAAATCACCACTTGCCAATTGCACAAAAAGAGTGTTTCAAATCTGCTCTGTCTAAGGGAACGTTCAACTCTGTGAGTTGAATGTACACAACACAAGGAAGTTCCTGGGAATTCTTCTGTCTAGCAGAATATGAAGAAATCCCGTTTCCAACGAAGGCCTCAAGGAGGTCTGAATATCCACTTGCAGACTTTACAAACAGAGTGTTTCCTAACTGCTCTATGAAAAGAAAGGTTAAACTCTGTGAGTTGAACGCACACATCACAAAGGAGTTTCTGAGAATGATTCTGTCTAGTTTTGAAACGAAGATATTTCCTTTTCTGCCTTTGGCCTCAAAGCCCTTGAAATCTCCACTTGCAAATGCCACAAAAAGAGTGTTTCAAATCTGCTCTGTGTAAATGAAAGTTCAACTCTGTGAGTTGAACACACACAACACAAGGAAGTTACTGGGAATTCTTCTGTCTAGCAGAATATGAAGAAATCCCGTTTCCAACGAAGGCCTCAAGGAGGTCTGAATATCCACTTGCAGACTTTACAAACAGAGTGTTTCCTAACTGCTCTATGAACAGAAAGGTTAAACTCTGTGAGTTGAACAGCACACATCACAAAGGAGTTTCTGAGAATCATTCTGTCTAGTTTTTATACGAAGATATTTCCTTTTCTACCATTGACCTCAAAGCGGCTGAAATCTCCACTTGCAAATTCCACAAAACGAGTGTTTCAAGTCCGCTCTGTGTAAAGGATCGTTCAACTCTGTGAGTTGAATACACACAACACAAGGAAGTTACTGAGAATTCTTCTGTCTAGCAAAGTATGGAGAAATCCCGTTTCCAACGAAGGCCTCAAAGAGGTCTGAATATCCACTTGCAGAGTTTACAAACAGAGTGTTTCCTAACTGCTCTATGAAAAGAAAGGTTAAACTCTGTGAGTTGAACGCACACATCACAAAGAAGTTTCTGAGAATCATTCTGTCTAGTTTTGAAACGAAGATATTACCTTTTCTGCCATTGACCTTAAAGCGCTTGAAATCTACACTTGCAAATTGCACAAATAGAGCGTTTCAAATCTGCTCTGTCTAAGGGAACGTTCATCTCTGTGAGTTGAATGCACACAACACAAGGAAGTTACTGGGAATGCTTCTGTTTAGCCTTACATGAAAAAAACCCGTTTCCAACGAAGGCCTCTATGTGGTCAAATTATCCACGTGCAGACTTTACAAACAGAGTGTTTCCAAACTGCTGAATGAAAAGAAAAGTTAAACTCTGAGAGTTGAACGCACACATCGCAGAGCAGTTTCTGAGAATGATTCTGTCTAGTTTTTATACGAAGATATTTCCTTTTCTGCCTTTGACCCCAAAGCGCTTGAAATCTCCACTTGCAAATTCCACAAAAACAGTGTTTCAAATCTGCTCTCTCTAAATGAAAGTTCAACTCTGTCAGTTGAATACACACAACACAAGGAAGTTACTGAGAATTCTTCTGTCTAGCATAATATGAAGAAATCCCGTTTCCAACGAAGGCCACAAAGAGGTCTGAATATCCACTTGCAGACTTTACAAACAGAGTGTTTCCTAACTGCTCTATGAAAAGAAAAGTTAATCTCTGTGAGTTGAACGCACACATCACAAAGGAGTTTCTGAGAATCATTCTGTCTAGTCTTTATACGAAGATATTTCCTTTTCTACCATTGACCTCAAAGCGGCTGAAATCTCCACTTGCAAATTCCACAAAAAGAGTGTTTCAAGTCTGCTCTGTGTAAAGGATCGTTCTACTCTGTGAGTTGAATACACACAACACAAGGAAGTTAGTGAGAATTCTTCTGTCTAGCAGAATATGAAGAAATCCCATTTCCAACGAAGGCCTCAAGGAGGTCTGAATATCCACTTGCAGACTTTACAAACAGAGTGTTTCCTAACTGCTCTATGAAAAGAAAAGTTAAACTCTGTGAGTTGAACGCACACATCACAAAGGAGTTTCTGAGAATCATTCTGTCTAGTTTTTATACGAAGATATTTCCTTTTCTACCATTGACCTCAAAGCGGCTGAAATCACCACTTGCCAATTGCACAAAAAGAGTGTTTCAAATCTGCTCTGTCTAAGGAAACGTTCAACTCTGTGAGTTGAATGTACACAACCCAAGGAAGTTACTGGGAATTCTTCTGTCTAGCCTTACATGAAAAAAACCCGTTTCCAACGAAGGCCTCTAAGTGGTCAAATTATCCACGTGCAGACTTTAAAAACAGAGTGTTTCCAAACTGCTGAATGAAAAGAAAAGTTAAACTCTGAGAGTTGAACGCACACATCGCAGAGCAGTTTCTGAGAATGATTCTGTCTAGTTTTTATACGAAGATATTTCCTTTTCTGCGTTTGGCCCCAAAGCACTTGAAATCTCCAATTGCAAATTACACAAAAACAGTGTTTCAAATCTGCTCTCTCTAAATGAAAGTTCAACTCTGTCAGCTGAATACACACAACACAAGGAAGTTACTGAGAATTCTTCTGTCTAGCATAGTATGGAGAAATCCCGTTTCCAATGAAGGCCTCAAAGAGGTCTGAATATCCACTTGCAGAGTTTACAAACGGAGTGTTTCCTAACTGCTCTATGAAAAGAAAGGTTAAACTCTGTGAGTTGAACGCACACATCACAAAGAAGTTTCTGAGAATCATTCTGTCTAGTTTCTATACGAAGATATTCCCTTTTCTACCATTGACCTCAAAGCGGCTGAAATCTCCACTTGCAAATTCCACAACAAGAGTGTTTCAAGTCTGCTCTGTGTAAGGGATCGTTCAACTCTGTGAGTTGAATACACACAACACAAGGAAGTTACTGAGAATTCTTCTGTCTAGCAGAATATGAAGAAATCCCGTTTCCAACGAAGGCCACAAAGAGGTCTGAAAATCCACTTGCAGACTTTACAAACAGAGTGTTTCCTAACTGCTGTATGAAAAGAAAGGTTAAACTCTGTGACTTGAAGGCACACATCACAAAGGAGTTTCTGAGAATCATTCTGTCTAGTTTTGAAACGAAGATATTTCCTTTTCTGCCGTTGACCTTAAAGCGCTTGAAATCTACACTTGCAAATTGCACAAATAGAGTGTTTCAAATCTGCTCTGTCTAAGGGAACGTTCAACTCTGTGAGTTGAATGCACACAACACAAGGAAGTTACTGGGAATTCTTCTGTCTAGCCTTACATGAAAAAAACCCGTTTCCAACGAAGGCCTCTAAGTGGTCAAAATATCCACGTGCAGACTTTAGAAACAGAGTGTTTCCAAACCGCTGAATGAAAAGAAAGGTTAAACTCTGAGAGTTGAACGCACACATCACGCAGCAGTTTCTGAGAATGATTCTGTCTAGTTTTTATACGAAGATATTTCCTTTTCTGCCTTTGGCCCCAAAGCGCTTGAAATCTCCACTTGCAAATTCCACAAAAAGAGTGTTTCAAATCTGCTCTCTCTAAATGAAAGTTCAACTCTGTCAGTTGAATACGCACAACACAAGGAAGTTACTGAGAATTCTTCTTTCTAGCATAATATGAAGAAATCCCGTTTCCAACGAAAGCCTCAAGGAGGTCTGAATATCCACTTGCAGACTTTACAAACAGAGTGTTTCCTAACTGCTCTATGAAAAGAAAGGTTAAACTCTGTGAGTTGAACGCACACATCACAAAGGAGTTTCTGAGAATCATTCTGTCTAGTTTTTATAGGAAGTTATTTCCTTTTCTACCTTTGACTTCAAAGCGGCTGAAATCTCCACTTGCAAATTCCACAAAAAGAGTGTTACAAGTCTGCTCTGTGTAAAGGATCGTTCAACTCTGTGAGTTGAATACACACAACACAAGGAAGTTACTGAGAATTCTTCTGTCTAGCACAGTATGAAGAAATCCCGTTTCCAACGAAGGCCTCAAAGAGGTCTGAATATCCACTTGCAGAGTTTACAAACAGAGTGTTTCCTAACTGCTCTATGAAAAGAAAGGTTAAACTCTGTTAGTTGAACGCACACATCACAACGCAGTTTTTGGGAATGATTCTGTCTGGTTTTGAAACGAAGATATTTCCTTTTCTGCCATTGACCTTAAAGCGCTTGAAATCTCCACTTGCCAATTGCACAAAAAGAGTGTTTCAAATCTGCTCTGTCTAAGGGAACGTTCAACTCTGTGAGTTGAATGTACACAACACAAGGAAGTTACTGGGAATTCTTCTGTCTAGCCTTACAGGAATAAAACCCGTTTCCAACGAAGGCCTCTAAGTGGTCAAAATATCCACGTGCAGACTTTACAAAGAGAGTGTTTCCAAACTGCTGAATGAAAAGAAAAATTAAACTCTGAGAGTTGAATGCACACATCGCAGAGCAGTTTCTGAGAATGATTCTGTCTAGTTTTTATACGAAGATATTTCCTTTTCTGCCTTTGGCCCCAATGCGCTTGAAATCTCCACTGGCAAATTCCACAAAAACAGTGTTTCAAATCTGCTCTCTCTAAATGAAAGTTCAACTCTGTCAGTTGAATACACACAACACAAGGAAAGTTACTGAGAATTCTTCTGTCTAGCAGAATATGAAGAAATCCCGTTTCCAACGAAGGCCTCAAAGGGGTCTGAATATCCACTTGCAGACTTTATAAACAGAGTGTTTACTAACTGCTCTATGAAAAGAAAGGTTAAAATCTGTGAGTTGAACACACATATCACAAAGGAGTTTCTGAGAATCATTCTATCTAGTTTCTATAGGAAGATATTTCCTATTCTACCATTGACCTCAAAGCGGCTGAAATCTCCACTTGCAGATTCCACAAAAAGAGTGTTTCAAGTCTGCTCTGTGTAAAGGATCGTTCAACTCTGTGAGTTGAATACACACAACACAAGGAAGTTACTGGGAATTCTTCTGTCTAGCATAATATGAGGAAATCCCGTTTCCAACGAAGGCCTCAAGGAGGTCTGAATATCCACTTGCAGACTTTACAAACAGAGTGTTTCCTAACTGCTCTATGAAAAGAAAGGTTAAACTCTGTGAGTTGAACGCACACATCACAAAGGAGTTTCTGAGAATCATTCTGTCTAGTTTTGAAACGAAGATATTTCCTTTTCTGCCATTGACCTTAAAGCGCTTGAATTCTCCACTTGCCAATTGCACAAAAAGAGTGTTTCAAATCTGCTCTGTCTAAGGGAACGTTCAACTCTGTGAGTTGAATGTACACAACACAAGGAAGTTACTGGGAATTCTTCTGTCTAGCCTTACAGGAAAAAAACCCGTTTCCAACGAAGGCCTCTAAGTGGTCAAAATATCCACGTGCAGACGTTACAAACAGAGTGTTTCCAAACTGCTGAATGAAAAGAAAAGTTAAACTCTGAGAGTTGAAAGCACACATCGCAGAGCAGTTTCTGAGAATGATTCTGTCTAGTTTTTATACGAAGATATTTCCTTTTCTGGGTTTGGCCCCAAAGCGCTTGAAATCTCCAATTGCAAATTACACAAAAACAGTGTTTCAAATCTGCTCTCTCTAAATGAAAGTTCAACTCTGTCAGCTGAATACACACAACACAAGGAAGTTACTGAGAATTCTTCTGTCTAGCATAAAATGAAGAAATCCCGTTTCCAACGAAGGCCTCAAAGAGGTCTGAATATCCACTTGCAGACTTTACAAACAGAGTGTTTCCTAACGGCTCTATGAAAAGAAAAGTTAAACTCTGTGAGTTGAACGCACACATCACAAAGGAGTTTCTGAGAATCATTCTGTCTAGTTTTTATAGGAAGATATTTCCTTTTCTACCTTTGACTTCAAAGCGGCTGAAATCTCCACTTGCAAATTCCACAAAAAGAGTGTTACAAGTCTGCTCTGTCTAAGGGAACGTTCAACTCTGTGAGTTGAATGTACACAACACAAGGAAGTTACTGGGAATTCTTCTGTCTAGCAGAATATGAAGAAATCCCGTTTCCAACGAAGGCCACAAGATGTCAGAATATCCACTTACAGACTTTACAAACAGAGTGTTTCCTAACTGCTCTATGAACAGAAAGGTTAAACTCTGTGAGTTGAACGAACACATCACAACGCCGTTTGTGGGAATGATTCTGTCTAGTTTTGAAACGAAGATATTTCCTTTTCTGCCGTTGACCTTAAAGCGCTTGAAATCTACACTTGCAAATTACACAAATAGAGTGTTTCAAATCTGCTCTGTCTAAGGGAACGTTCAACTCTGTGAGTTGAATGCCCACAACACAAGGAAGTTACTGGGAATTCTTCTGTCTACCCTTACATGAAAAAAACCCGTTTCCAACGAAGGCCTCTAAGTGGTCAAAATATCCACGTGCAGACTTTACAAACAGAGTGTTTCCAAACTGCTGAATGAAAAGAAAAGTTAAACTCTGAGAGTTGAAAGCACACATCACAGAGGATTTTCTGAGAATGATTCTGTCTAGTTTTTATACGAAGATATTTCCTTTTCTGCCTTTGGCCCCAAAGCGCTTGAAATCTCCACTTGCAAATTCCACAAAAACAGTGTTTCAAATCTGCTCTCTCCAAATGAAAGTTCAACTCTGTCAGTTGAATACACACAACACAAGGAAGTTACTGAGAATTCTTCTGTCTAGCATAATATGAAGAAATCCCGTTTCCAACGAAGGCCTCAAGGAGGTCTGAATATCCACTTGCAGACTTTACAAACAGAGTGTTTCCCAACTGCTCTATGAAAAGAAAGGTTGAACTCTGTGAGTTGAACACACACATCACAAAGGAGTTTCTGAGAATCATTCTGTCTAGTTTCTATAGGAAGTTATTTCCTATTCTACCATTGACCTCAAAGCGGCTGAAATCTCCACTTGCAAATTCCACAAAAAGAGTGTTTCAAGTCTGCTCTGTGTAAAGGATCATTCAACTCTGTGAGTTGAATACACACAACACAAGGAAGTTACTGAGGAATTCTTCTGTCTAGCATAATATGAAGAAATCCCGTTTCCAACGAAGGCCTCAAGGAGGTCTGAATATCCACTTGCAGACTTTACAAACAGAGTGTTTCCTAACTGCTCTATGAAGAGAAAGGTTAAACTCTGTGAGTTGAACGAACACATCACAACGCAGTTTGTGGTAATGATTCTGTCTAGTTTTGAAACGAAGATATTTCCTTTTCTGCCGTTGACCTTAAAGCGCTTGAAATCTACACTTGCAAATTGCACAAATAGAGTGTTTCAAATCTTCTCTGTCTAAGGGAACGTTCAACTCTGTGAGTTGAATGCACACAACACAAGGAAGTTACTGGGAATTCTTCTGTCTAGCCTTACATGAAAAAAACCCGTTTCCAACGAAGGCCTCTAAGTGGTCAAAATTTCCACGTGCAGACTTTACAAACAGAGTGTTTCCAAACCGCTGAATGAAAAGAAAAGTTAAACTCTGAGAGTTGAACGCACACATCACGCAGCAGTTTCTGAGAATGATTCTGTCTAGTTTTTGTACGAAGATATTTCCTTTTCTACCCTTGACCTCAAAGCGGCTGAAATCTGCACTTGCAAATTCCACAAAAAGAGTGTTTCAAGTCTGTTCTGTGTAAAGGATCATTCAACTCTGTGAGTTGAATACACACAACACAAGGAAGTTACTGAGAATTCTTCTGTCTAACCTTATATGAAAAAAACCCGTTTCCAACGAAGGCCTCAAAGAGGTCTGAATATCCACTTGCAAACTTTACACACAGAGTGTTTCCTAACTGCTCTATGAAAAGAAAGGTTAAACTCTGTGAGTTGAACGCACACATCACAAAGGAGTTTCTGAGAATCATTCTGTCTAGTTTCTATAGGAAGATATTTCCTATTCTACCATTGAACTCAAAGCGGCTGAAATCTCCACTTGCAAATTCCACAAAAAGAGTGTTTCAAGTCTGCTCTGTGTAAAGGATCATTCAACTCTGTGAGTTGAATACACACAACACAAGGAAGTTACTGAGAATTCTTCTGTCTAGCATAATAGGAAGAAATCCCGTTTCCAACGAAGGCCTCAAGGAGGTCTGAATATCCACTTGCAGACTTTACAATCAGAGTGTTTCCTAACTGCTCTATGAAAAGAAAGGTTAAACTCTGTGAGTTGAACGCACATATCACAAAGGAGTTTCTCAGAATCATTCTGTCTAGTTTTGAAACGAAGATATTTCCTTTTCTGCCATTGACCTTAAAGCGCTTGAAATCTCCACTTGCCAATTGCACAAAAAGAGTGTTTCAAATCTGCTCTGTCTAAGGGAACGTTCAACTCTGTGAGTTGAATGTACACAACACAAGGAAGTTACTGGGAATTCTTCTGTCTAGCCTTACATGAAAAAAACCCGTTTCCAACGAAGGCCTCTAAGTGGTCAAATTATCCACGTGCAGACTTTACAAACAGAGTGTTTCCAAACTGCTGAATGAAAAGAAAAGTTAAACTCTGAGAGTTGAACGCACACATCGCAGAGCAGTTTCTGAGAATGATTTCTGTCTAGTTTTTATACGAAGATATTTCCTTTTCTGCCTTTGGCCTCAAAGCGCTTGAAATCTCCACCTGCAAATTCCACAAAAAGAGTGTTTCAAATCTGCTCTGTGTAAATGAAAGTTCAACTCTGTGAGTTGAACACACACAACACAAGGAAGTTACTGGGAATTCTTCTGTCTAGCATAATATGAAGAAATCCCGTTTCCAACGAAGGCCTCAAAGGGGTCTGAATATCCACTTGCAGACTTTATAAACGGAGTGTTTACTAACTGCTCTATGAAAAGAAAGGTTAAACTCTGTGAGTTGAACACACACATCACAAAGGAGTTTCTGAGAATCATTCTGTCTAGTTTCTATAGGAAGATATTTCCTATTCTACCATTGACCTCAAAGTGGCTGAAATCTCCACTTGCAAATTCCACAAAAAGATTGTTTCAAGTCTGCTCTGTGTAAAGGATCGTTCAACTCTGTGAGTTGAATACACACAACACAAGGCAGTTACTGAGAATTCTTCTGTCTAGCAGAAAATGAAGAAATCCCGTTTCCAACGAAGGCCACAAGATGTCAGAATATCCACTTACAGACTTTACAAACAGAGTGTTTCCTAACTGCTCTATGAACAGAAAGGTTAAACTGCTGTGAGTTGAACGAACACATCACAACGCAGTTTGTGGGAATGATTCTGTCTAGTTTTGAAACGAAGATATTTCCTTTTCTGCCATTGACCTTAAAGCGCTTGAAATCTCCACTTGCCAATTGCACAAAGAGTGTTTCAAATCTGCTCTGTCTAAGGGAACGTTCAACTCTGTGAGTTGAATGTACACAACACAAGGAAGTTACTGGGAATTCTACTGTCTATGCCTTACAGGAAAAAAACCCGTTTCCAACGAAGGCCTCTAAGTGGTCAAAATATCCACGTGCAGACTTTACAAACAGAGTGTTTCCAAACTGCTGAATGAAAAGAAAAGTTAAACTCTGAGAGTTGAACGCACACATCGCAGAGCAGTTTCTGAGAATGATTCTGTCTAGTTTTTATACGAAGATATTTCCTTTTCTGCCTTTGGCCTCACAGCGCTTGAAATCTCCACTTGCAAATTCCACAAAAAGAGTGTTTCAAATCTGCTCTGTGTAAATGAAAGTTCAACTCTGTGAGTTGAACACACACAACACAAGGAAGTTAGTGGGAATTCTTCTGTCCAGCAGAACATGAAGAAATCCCGCTTCCAACGAAGGCCTCAAAGAAGTCTGAATATCCACTTGCAGACTTTACAAACAGAGTGTTTCCCAACTGCTCTAGGAAAACAAAGGTTGAACTCTGTGAGTTGAACGCACACATCACAAAGGAGTTTCTGAGAATCATTCTGTCTAGTTTCTATGGGAAGATATTTCCTATTCTACCATTGACCTCAAAGCGGCTGAAATCTCCACTTGCAAATTCCACAAAAAGAGTGTTTCAAGTCTGCTCTGTGTAAAGGATCGTTGAACTCTGTGAGTTGAATACACACAACACAAGATAGTTACTGAGAATTCTTCTGTCTAGCAGAATATGAAGAAATCCCGTTTCCAACGAAGGCCTCAAGGAGGTCTGAATATCCACTTGCAGACTTTACAATCAGAGTGTTTCCTAACTGCTCTATGAAAAGAAAGGTTAAACTCTTTGAGTTGAACGCACACATCACAACGCAGTTTGTGGGAATGATTCTGTCTAGTTTTGAAACGAAGATATTTCCTTTTCTGCCATTGACCTTAAAGCGCTTGAAATCTACACTTGCAAATTGCACAAATAGATTGTTTCAAATCTGCTCTGTCTAAGGAAACGTTCAACTCTGTGAGTTGAATGCACACAACACAAGGAAGTTACTGGGAATTCTTCTGTCTAGCCTTACATGAAAAAAACCCGTTTCCAACGAAGGCCTCTAAGTGGTCAAAATATCCACGTGCAGACTTTACAAACAGAGTGTTTCAAAACCGCTGAATGAAAAGAAAAGTTAAACTCTGAGAGTTGAACGCACACATCACGCAGCAGTTTCTGAGAATGATTCTGTCTAGTTTTGAAACGAAGATATTTCCTTTTCTGCCTTTGGCCTCAAAGCGCTTGAAATCTCCACTTGCGAATTCCACAAAAAGAGTGTTTCAAATCTGCTCTGTGTAAATGAAAGTTCAACTCTGTGAGTTGAACACACACAACACAAGGAAGTTACTGGGAATTCTTCTGTCTAGATTTTATATGAAGAAATCCCGTTTCCAACGAAGGCCTCAAAGAGGTCTGAATATCCACTTGCAGACTTTACAAACAGAGTGTTTCCTAACTGCTCTATGAAAAGAAAGGTTAAACTCTGTGAGTTGAACGCACACATCACAAAGGAGTTTCTGAGAATCATTCTGTCTAGTTTCTATAGGAAGATATTTCCTATTCTACCATTGACCTCAAAGCGGCTGAAATCTCCCCTTGCAAATTCCACAAAAAGAGTGTTTCAAGTCTGCTCTGTGTAAAGGATCGTTCAACTCTGTGAGTTGAATACACACAACACAAGGCAGTTACTGAGAATTCTTCTGTCTAGCAGAATATGAATAAATCCCGTTTCCAACGAAGGCCTCAAAGAGGTCTGAATATCCACTTACAGACTTTACAAACAGAGTGTTTCCTAACTGCTCTATGAAAAGAAAAGTTAAACTCTGTGAGTTGAACGAACACATCACAACGCAGTTTGTGGGAATGATTCTGTCTATTTTTCAAACGAAGATATTTCCTTTTCTGCCATTGACCTTAAAGCGCTTGAAATCTACACTTGCAAATTGCACAAATAGAGTGTTTCAAATCTGCTCTGTCTAAGGGAACGTTCAACTCTGTGAGTTGAATGCACACAACACAAGGAAGTTACTGGGAATTCTTCTGTCTAGCCTTACATGCAAAAAACCCGTTTCCAACGAAGGCCTCTAAGTGGTCAAAATATCCACGTGCAGACTTCACAAACAGAGTGTTTCCAAACCGCTGAATGAAAAGAAAAGTTAAACTCTGAGAGTTGAACGCACACATCACGCAGCAGCTTCTGAGAATGATTCTGCCTAGTTTTCATACGAAGATATTTCCTTTTCTGCCTTTGGCCCCAAAGCGCTTGAAATCTCCACTTGCAAATTCCACAAAAACAGTGTTTCAAATCTGCTCTCTCTAAATGAAAGTTCAACTCTGTCAGTTGAATACACACAACACAAGGAAGTTACTGAGAATTCTTCTGTCTAGCATAATATGAAGAAATCCCGTTTCCAACGAAGGCCTCAAGGAGGTCTGAATATCCACTTGCAGACTTTACAAACAGAGTGTTTCCTAACTGCTCTATGAAAAGAAAGTTTAAAGTCTGTGAGTTGAACGCACACATCACAAGGGAGTTTCTGAGGATCATTCTGTCTAGTTTTTATAGGAAGATATTTCCTTTTCTACCTTTGACTTCAAAGCGGCTGAAATCTCCACTTGCAAATTCCACAAAAAGAGTGTTACAAGTCTGCTCTGTGTAAAGGATCGTTCAACTCTGTGAGTTGAATACACACAACACAAGGAAGTTACTTGAGAATTCTTCTGTCTAGCAGAATATGAAGAAATCCCGTTTCCAACGAAGGCCAGAAGATGTCAGAATATCCACTTACAGACTTTACAAACAGAGTGTTTCCTAACCGCTCTATGAACGGAAAGGTTAAACTCTGTGAGTTGAACGAACACATCACAACGCAGTTTGTGGGAATGATTCTGTCTAGTTTTGAAACGAAGATATTTCCTTTTCTGCCATTGACCTTAAAGCGCTTGAAATCTCCACTTGCCAATTGCACAAAAAGAGTGTTTCAAATCTGCTCTGTCTAAGGGAACGTTCAACTCTGTGAGTTGAATGTACACAACACAAGGAATTTAATGGGAAATCTTCTGTCTAGCCTTATATGAAAAAAACCCGTTTCCAAAGAAGGCCTCTAAGTGGTCAAAATATCCACGTGCAGACTTTACAAACAGAGTGTTTCCAAACCGCTGAATGAAAAGAAAAGTTAAACTCTGAGAGTTGAACGCACACATCACGCAGCAGTTTCTGAGAATGATTCTGTCTAGTTTTTATACGAAGATATTTCCTTTTCTGCCTTTGGCCCCGAAGCGCTTGAAATCTCCACTTGCAAATTCCACAAAAACAGTGTTTCAAATCTGCTCTCTCTAAATGAAAGTTCAACTCTGTCAGTTGAATACACACAACACAAGGGAAGTTACTGAGAATTCTTCTGTCCAGCAGAATACGAAGAAATCCCGTTTCCAACGAAGGCCTCAAAGAGGTCTGAATATCCACTTACAGACTTTACAAACAGAGTGTTTCCTAACTGCTCTATGAAAAGAAATGTTAAATTCTGTGAGTTGAACGCACACATCACAAAGGAGTTTCTGAGAATCATTCTGTCTAGTCTTTATACGAAGATATTTACTTTTCTACCATTGACCTCAAAGCGGCTGAAATCTCCACTTGCAATTTCCACAAAAAGAGTGTTTCAAGTCTGCTCTGTGTAAAGGATCATTCAACTCTGTGAGTTGAATACACACAACACAAGGAAGTTACTGAGAATTCTTCTGTCTAGCAGAATATGAAGAAATCCCTTTTCCAAAGAAGGCCTCAAGGAGGTCTGAATATCCACTTGCAGACTTTACAAACAGAGTGTTTCCTAACTGCTCTATGAAAACAAAGGTTAAACTCTGTGAGTTGAACGCACACATCACAAAGGAGTTCATGAGAATCATTCTCTCTAGTTTTGAAACGAAGATATTTCCTTTTCTGCCATTGACCTTAAAGCGCTTGAAATCTCCACTTGCCAATTGCACAAAAAGAGTGTTTCAAATCTGCTCTGTCTAAGGGAACGTTCAACTCTGTGAGTTGAATGTACACAACACAAGGAAGTTACTGGGAATTCTTCTGTCTAGCCTTACATGAAAAAAACCCGTTTCCAACGAAGGCCTCTAAGTGGTCAAAATATCCACGTGCAGACTTTACAAACAGAGTGTTTCCAAACCGCTGAATGAAAAGAAAAGTTAAACTCTGAGAGTTGAACGCACACATCACGCAGCAGTTTCTGAGAATGATTCTGTCTAGTTTTTATACGAAGATATTTCCTTTTCGGCCTTTGGCCCCAAAGCGCTTGAAATCTCCACTTGCAAATTCCACAAAAACAGTGTTTCAAATCTGCTCTCTCTAAATGAAAGTTCAACTCTGTCAGTTGAATACACACAACACAAGGAAGTTACTGAGAATTCTTCTTTCTAGCAGAATATGAAGAAATCCCGTTTCCAACGAAAGCCTCAAGGATGTCTGAATATCCACTTGCAGACATTACAAACAGAGTGTTTCCCAACTGCTCTATGAAAAGAAAGGTTAAACTCTGTGAGTTGAACGCACACATCACAAAGGAGTTTCTGAGAATCATTCTGTCTAGTTTTTATACGAAGATATTTCCTTTTCTACCATTGAACACAAAGCGGCTGAAATCTCCACTTGCAAATTCCACAAAAAGAGTGTTTCAAGTCTGCTGTGTGTAAAGGATCGTTCAACTCTGTGAGTTGAATACATACAACACAAGGAAGTTTCTGAGAATTCTTCTGTCTAGCATAATATGAAGAAATCCCTTTTCCAACGAAGGCCTCAAAGAGGTCTGAATATCTACTTGCAGACTTTACAAACAGAGTGTTTCCTAACTGCTCTGTGAAAAGAAAGGTTAAACTCTGTGAGTTGAACGCACACATCACAAAGGAGTTTCTGAGAATCATTCTGTCTAGTTTTGAAACGAAGATATTTCCTTTTCTGCCGTTGACCTTAAAGTGCTTGAAATGTACACTTGCAAATTGCACAAATAGGCTGTTTCAAATCTGCTCTGTCTAAGGGAACGTTCAACTCTGTGAGTTGAATGCGCACAACACAAGGAAGTTACTGGGAATTCTTCTGTCTAGCCTTACAGGAAAGAAACCCGTTTCCAACGAAGGCCTCTAAGTGGTCAAAATATCCACGTGCAGACTTTACAAACAGAGTGTTTCCAAACTGCTGAATGAAAAGAAAAGTTAAACTCTGAGAGTTGAACGCACACATCGCAGAGCAGTTTCTGAGAATGATTCTGTCTAGTTTTTCTTCGAAGATATTTCCTTTTCTACTATTGACCTCAAAGCGGCTGAAATCTCCACTTGCAAATTCCACAAAAAGAGTGTTTCAAGTCTGCTCTGTGTAAAGGATCGTTTAACTCTGTGAGTTGAATACACACAACACAAGGAAGTTACTGAGAATTCTTCTGTCTCGCATAATATGAAGAAATCCCGTTTCCAACGAAGGCCTCAAAGGGGTCTGAATATCCACTTGCAGCCTTTACAAACAGAGTGTTTCCTAACTGCTCTATGAAAAGAAAAGTTAAACTCTGTGAGTTGAACGCACGCATCACAAAGGAGTTTCTGAGAATCATTCTGTCTAGTTTCTATAGGAAGATATTTCCTATTCTACCATTGACCTCAAAGCGGCTGAAATCTCCACTTGCAAATTCCACAAAAGGAGTGTTTCAAGTCTGCTCTGTGTAAAGGATCGTTCAACTCTGTGAGTTGAAAACACACAACACAAGGAAGTTTCTGAGAATTCTTCTGTCTAGCAGAATATGAAGAAATCCCGCTTCCAACGAAGGCCTCAAAGAAGTCTGAATATCCACTTGCAGACTTTACAAACAGAATGTTTCCCAACTGCTCTATGAAAAGAAAGGTTGAACTCTGTGAGTTGAACGCACACATCACAAAGGAGTTTCTGAGAATCATTCTGTCTAGTTTTTATACGAAGATATTTCCTTTTCTACCATTGACCTCAAAGCGGCTGAAATCACCACTTGCCAATTGCACAAAAAGAGTGTTTCAAATCTGCTCTGTCTAAGGGAACGTTCAACTCTTGTGAGTTGAATGTACACAACACAAGGAAGTTACTGAGAATTCTTCTGTCTAACCTTACATGAAAAAAACTCGTTTCCAACGAAGGCCTCTAAGTGGTCAAATTATCCACGTGCAGACTTTACAAACAGAGTGTTTCCAAACTGCTGAATGAAAAGCAAAGTTAAACTCTGAGAGTTGAACGCACACATCGCAGAGCAGTTTCTGAGAATGATTCTGTCTAGTTTTTATACGAAGATATTTCCTTTTCGGCCTTTGGCCTCAAAGCGCTTGAAATCTCCACCTGCAAATTCCACAAAAAGAGTGTTTCAAATCTGCTCTGTGTAAATGAAAGTTCAACTCTGTGAGTTGAACACACACAACACAAGGAAGTTACTGGGAATTCTTCTGTCTAGCAGAACATGAAGAAATCCCGCTTCCAACGAAGGCCTCAAAGAAGTCTGAATATCCACTTGCAGACTTTACAAACAGAGTGTTTCCCAACTGCTCTATGAAAAGAAAGGTTGAACTCTGTGAGTTGAACGCACACATCACAAAGCAGTTTCTGAGAATCATTCTGTGTAGTTTCTATAGGAAGATATTTCCTATTCTACCATTGAACTCAAAGCGGCTGAAATCTCCACTTGCAAATTCCACCAAAAGAGTGTTTCAAGTCTGCTCTGTGTAAAGGATCGTTCAACTCTGTGAGTTGAATACACACAACACAAGGAAGTTCCTGAGAATTCCTCTGTCTAGCATAGTATGAAGAAATCCCGTTTCCAACGAAGGCCTCAAAGAGGTCTGAATATCCACTTACAGAATTGACAAACAGACTGTTTCCTAACTGCTCTATGAAAAGAAAGGTTAAACTCTGTGAGTTGAACGAACACATCACAACGCAGTTTGTGGGAATGATTCTGTCTAGTTTTGAAACGAAGATATTTCCTTTTCTGCCATTGACCTTAAAGCGCTTGAAATCTCCACTTGCCAATTGCACAAAAAGAGTGTTTCAAATCTGCTCTGTCTAAGGGAACGTTCAACTCTGTGAGTTGAATGTACACAACACAAGGAAGTTACTGGGAATTCTTCTGTCTAGCCTTACATGAAAAAAACCCGTTTCCAACGAAGGCCTCTAAGTGGTCAAATTATCCACGTGCAGACTTTACAAACAGAGTGTTTCCAAACTGCTGAATGAAAAGAAAAGTTAAACTCTGAGAGTTGAACGCACACATCGCAGAGCAGTTTCTGAGAATGCTTCTGTCTAGTTTTTATACAAAGATATTTCCTTTTCTGCCTTTGGCCCCAAAGCGCTTGAAATCTCCACTTGCAAATTCCACAAAAACAGTGTTTCAAATCAGCTCTCTCTAAATGAAAGTTCAACTCTGTCAGTTGAATACACACAACACAAGGAAAGTTACTGAGAATTCTTCTGTCTAGCCTTACATGAAAAAAAACCGTTTCCAACGAAGGCCTCAAAGAAGTCCAAATATCCACGTGCAGACTTTACAAACAGAGTGTTTCCTAACTGCTCTATGAAAAGAAAGGTTAAACTCTGTGAGTTGAACGCCCACATCACAAAGGAGTTTCTGAGAATCATTCTGTCCAGTTTCTATAGGAAGATATTTCCTATTCTACCATTGACCTCAAAGCGGCTGAAATCTCCACTTGCAAATTCCACAAAAAGAGTGTTTCAAGTCTGCTCTCTGTAAAGGATCGTTCAACTCTGTGAGTTGAATACACACAACACAAGGAAGCTACTGAGAATTCTTCTGTCTAGCAGAATATGAAGAAATCCCGTTTCCAACGAAGGCCTCAAAGAGCTCTGAATATCCACTTGCAGACTTTACAAACAGAGTGTTTCCTAACTGCTCTATGAAAAGAAAAGTTAAACTCTGTGAGTTGAACGCACAGATCACAAAGGAGTTTCTGAGAATCATTCTGTCTAGTTTTGAAACGAAGATATTTCCTTTTCTGCCGTTGACCTTAAAGCGCTTGAAATCTACACTTGCAAATTGCACAAATAGAGTGTTTCAAATCTGCTCTGTCTAAGGGAACGTTCAACTCTGTGAGTTGAATGCACACAACACAAGGAAGTTACTGGGAATTCTTCTGTCTAGCCTTACATGAAAAAAACCCGTTTCCAAGGAAGGCCTCTAAGTGGTCAAAATATCCACGTGCAGACTTTACAAACAGAGTGTTTCCAAACCGCTGAATGAAAAGAAAAGTTAAACTCTGAGAGTTGAACGCACACATCACGCAGCAGTTTCTGAGAATGATTTCTGTCTAGTTTTTATAGGAAGATATTTCCTTTTCTACCTTTGACTTCAAAGCGGCTGAAATCTCCACTTGCAAATTCCACAAAAAGAGTGTTACAAGTCTGCTCTGTGTAAAGGATCGTTCAACTCTGCGAGTTGAATACACACAACACAAGGAAGTTACTGAGAATTCTTCTGTCTAGCATAGTATGAAGAAATCCCGTTTCCAACGAAGGCCTCAAAGAGGTCTGAATATCCACTTGCAGACTTTACAAACAGAGTGTTTCCTAACTGCTCTATGAAAAGAAAGGTTAAACTCTGTGAGTTGAACGCACACATCACAAAGAAGTTTCTGAGAATCATTCTGTCTAGTCTTTATATGAAGATAGTTTCCTTTTCTACCATTGACCTCAAAGCGGCTGAAATCTCCACTTGCAAATTCCAAAAAAAGAGTGTTTCAAGTCTGCTCTGTGTAAAGGATCGTTCAACTCTGTGAGTTGAATACACACAACACAAGGAAGTTACTGAGAATTCTTCTGTCTAGCAGAATATGAAGAAATCCCGTTTCCAACGAACGCCACAAGATGTCAGAATATCCACTTACAGAATTGACAAACAGACTGTTTCCTAACTGCTCTATGAAAAGAAAGGTTAAACTCTGTGAGTTGAACGAACACATCACAACGCAGTTTCTGGGAATGATTCTGTCTAGTTTTTATACGAAGATATTTCCTTTTCTACCATTGACCTCAAAGCGGCTGAAATCACCACTTGCCAATTGCACAAAAAGAGTGTTTCAAATCTGCTCTGTCTAAGGGAACGTTCAACTCTTGTGAGTTGAATGTACACAACACAAGGAAGTTACTGAGAATTCTTCTGTCTAGCCTTACAGGAAGAAAACCCGTTTCCAACGAAGGCCTCTAAGTGGTCAAAATATCCACGTGCAGACTTTACAAACAGAGTGTTTCCAAACTGCTGAATGAAAAGAAAAGTTAAACCCTGAGAGTTGAACGCACACATCGCAGAGCAGTTTCTGAGAATGATTCTGTCTAGTTTTGAATCGAAGATATTTCCTTTTCTGCCATTGACCTTAATGCGCTTGAAATCTACACTTGCAAATTGCACAAATAGAGTGTTTCAAATCTGATCTCTCTAAATGAAAGTTCAACTCTGTCAGTTGAATACACACAACACAAGGAAGTTACGGAGAATTCTTCTGTCTAGCCTTATATGAAAAAAACCCGTTTCCAACGAAGGCCTCAAAGAGGTCTGAATATCCACTTGCAGACTTTACAAACAGAGTGTTTCCTAACTGCTCTATGAAAAGGAAGGTTAAACTGTGTGAGTTGAACGCACACATCACAAAGGAGTTTCTGAGAATCATTCTGTCTAGTTTTATAGGAAGATATTTCCTTTTCTACCTTTGACTTCAAAGCGGCTGAAATCTCCACTTGCAAATTCCACAAAAAGAGTGTTACAAGTCTGCTCTGTGTAAAGGATCGTTCAACTCTGTGAGTTGAATACACACAACACAAGGAAGTTACTGAGAATTCTTCTGTCTAGCATAATATGAAGAAATCCCGTTTCCAACGAAGGCCACAAAGAGGTCTGAATATCCACTTGCAGACTTTACAAACAGAGTGTTTCCTAACTGCTCTATGAACAGAAAGGTTAAACTCTGTGAGTTGAACGAACACATCACAACGCAGTTTGTGGGAATGATTCTGTCTAGTTTTGAAACGAAGATATTTCCTTTTCTGCCGTTGACCTTAAAGAGCTTGAAAACTACACTTGCAAATTGCACAAATAGAGTGTTTCAAATCTGCTCTGTCTAAGGGAACGTTCAACTCTGTGAGTTGAATGCACACAACACAAGGAAGTTACTGGGAATTCTTCTGTCTAGAATTACATGAAAAAAACCCGTTTCCAACGAAGGCCTCTAAGTGGACAAAATATCCACGTGCAGACTTTACAAACAGAGTGTTTCCAAACCGCTGAATGAAAAGAAAAGTTAAACTCTGAGAGTTGAACGCACACATCACGCAGCAGTTTCTGAGAATGATTCTGTCTAGTTTTTATACGAAGATATTTCCTTTTCTGCCTTTGACCTCAAAGCGCTTGAAATCTCCATTTGCAAATTCCACAAAAAGACTGTTTCAAATCTGCTCTGTGTAAATGAAAGTTCAACTCTGTGAGTTGAACACACACAACACAAGGAAGTTACTGGGAATTCTTCTTTCTAGCAGAATATGAAGAAATCCCGTTTCCAACGAAAGCCTCAAGGATGTCTGAATATTCACTTGCAGACTTTACAAACAGAGTGTTTCCTAACTGATCTATGAAAAGAAAGGTTAAACTCTGTGAGTTGAACGCACACATCACAAAGGAGTTTCTGAGAATCATTCTGTCTAGTTTTTCTACGAAGATATTTCCTTTTCTACTGTTGACCTCAAAGCGGCTGAAATCTCCACTTGCAAATTCCACAAAAAGAGTGTTTCAAGTCTGCTCTGTGTAAAGGATCGTTCAACTGTGTGAGTTGAATACACACAACACAAGGAAGTTACTGAGAATTCTTCTGTCTAGCAGAATATGAAGAAATCCCGTTTCCAACGAAGGCCACAAGATGTCAGAATATCCACTTATAGAATTTGCAAACAGACTGTTTCCTAACTGCTCTATGAAAAGAAACGTTAAACTCTGTGAGATGAACGAACACATCACAACGCAGCTTGTGGGAATGATTCTGTCTAGTTTTGAAACGGAGATATTTCCTTTTCTGCCATTGACCTTAAAGCGCTTGAAATCTCCACTTTCCAATTGCACAAAAAGAGTGTTTCAAATCTGCTCTGTCTAAGGGAACGTTCAACTCTGTGAGTTGAATGTACACAACACAAGGAAGTTACTGGGAATTCTTCTGTCTAGCCTTACATGAAAAAACCCGTTTCCAACGAAGGCCTCTAAGTGGTCAAAATATCCACGTGCAGACTTTACAAACAGAGTGTTTCCAAACTGCTGAATGAAAAGAAAAGTTAAACTCTGAGAGTTGAACGCACACATCACAGAGCAGTTTCTGAGAATGATTCTGTCTAGTTTTTATACGAAGATATTTCCTTTTCTACCATTGACCTCAACGCGGCTGAAATCTCCACTTGCAAATTCCACAAGAAGAGTGTTTCAAGTCTGCTCTGTGTAAAGGATCGTTCAACTCTGTGAGTTGAATACACACAACACAAGGAAGTTACTGAGAATTCTTCTGTCTAGCACAGTATGAAGAAATCCCGTTTCCAACGAAGGCCTCAAAGAGGTCTGAATATCCACTTGCAGAGTTTACAAACAGAGTGTTTCCTAACTGCTCTATGAAAAGAAAGGTTAAACTCTGTGAGTTGAACGCACACATCACAAAGGAGTTTCTGAGAATCATTCTGTCTAGTTTCTATAGGAAGATATTTCCTATTCTACCATTGACCTCAAAGCGGCTGAAATCTCCACTTGCAAATACCACAAAAAGAATGTTTCAAGTCTGCTCTGTGTAAAGGATCGTTCAATTCTGTGAGTTGAATACACACAACACAAGGAAGTTACTGAGAATTCTTCTTTCTAGCAGAATATGAAGAAATCCCGTTTCCAACGAAGGCCTCAAGGAGGTCTGAATATCCACTGGCAGACTTTACAAACAGAGTGTTTCCTAACTGCTCTATGAACAGAAAGGTTAAACTCTGTGAGTTGAACGAACACATCACAACGCAGTTTGTGGGAATGAATCTGTCTAGTTTTGAAACGAAGATATTTCCTTTTCTGCCATTGACCTTAAAGCGCTTGAAATCTCCATTTGCCAATTGCACAAAAAGAGTGTTTCAAATCTGCTCTGTCTAAGGGAACGTTCAACTCTGTGAGTTGAATGTACACAACACAAGGAAGTTACTGGGAAATCTTCTGACTAGCCTTACAGGAAAAAAACCCGTTTCCAACGAAGGCCTCTAAGTGGTCAAAATATCCACGTGCAGACTTTACAAACAGAGTGTTTCCAAACTGCTGAATGAAAAGAAAAGTTAAACTCTGAGAGTTGAACGCACACATCGCAGAGCAGTTTCTGAGAATGATTCTGTCTAGTTTTTATACGAAGATATTTCCTTTTCTGTCTTTGGCCTCAAAGCGCTTGAAATCTCCACTTGCAAATTCCACAAAAAGAGTGTTTCAAATCTGCTCTGTGTAAATGAGAGTTCAACTCTGTGAGTTGAACACACACAACACAAGGAAGTTACTGGGAATTCTTCTGTCAGGCATAATATGAAGAAAACCCGTTTCCAACGAAGGCCTCAAAGAGGTCTGAATATCCACTTGCAGAGTTTACAAACAGAGTGTTTCCTAACTGCTCTATGAAAAGAAAGGTTAAACTCTGTGAGTTGAACGCACACATCACAAAGGAGTTTCTGAGAATCATCTGTCTAGTTTTTCTACGAAGATATTTCCTTTTCTACTATTGACCTCAAAGCGGCTGAAATCTCCACTTGCAAATTCCACAAAAAGAGTGTTTCAAGTCTGCTCTGTGTAAAGGATCGTTCAACTCTGTGAGTTGAATACACACAACACAAGGAAGTTACTGAGAATTCTTTCTGTCTAGCAGAATATGAAGAAATCCTGTTTCCAACGAAGGCCACAAGATGTCAGAATATCCACTTACAGAATTGACAAACAGACTGTTTCCTAACTGCTCTATGAAAAGAAAGGTTAAACTCTGTGAGTTGAACGAACACATCACAACGCAGTTTGTGGGAATGATTCTGTCTAGTTTTTATAGGAAGATATTTCCTTTTCTACCTTTGACTTCAAAGCGGCTGAAATCTCCACTTGTAAATTCCACAAAAAGAGTGTTACAAGTCTGCTCTGTGTAAAGGATCGTTCAACTCTGTGAGTTGAATACACACAACACAAGGAAGTTACTGAGAATTCTTCTGTCTAGCCTTACATGAAAAAAACCGTTTCCAACGAAGGCCTCTAAGTGGTCAAATTATCCACGTGCAGACTTTACAAACAGAGTGTTTCCAAACTGCTGAATGAAAAGAAAAGTTAAACTCTGAGAGTTGAACGCACACATCGCAGAGCAGTTTCTGAGAATGATTCTGTCTAGTTTTGAAACGAAGATATTTCCTTTTCTGCCTTTGGCCTCAAAGCGCTTGAAATCTCCACTTGCATATTCCACAAAAAGAGTGTTTCAAATCTGCTCTGTGTAAATGAAAGTTCAACTCTGTGAGTTGAACACACACAACACAAGGAAGTTACTGGGAATTCTTCTGTCTAGCAGAATATGAAGAAATCCCGTTTCCACCGAAGGCCTCAAGGAGGTCTGAATATCCACTTGCAGACTTTACAAACAGAGTGTTTCCTAACTGCTCTATGAACAGAAAGGTTAAACTCTGTGAGTTGAACGCACACATCCCAAAGGAGTTTCTGAGAATCATTCTGTCTAGTTTTTCTACGAAGATATTTCCTTTTCTACTATTGACCTCAAAGCGGCTGAAACCTCCACTTGCAAATTCCACAAAAAGAGTGTTTCAAGTCTGCTCTGTGTAAAGGATCGTTCAACTCTGTGAGTTGAATACACACAACACAAGGAAGTTACTGAGAATTCTTCTGTCTAGCAGAATATGAAGAAATCCCGTTTCCAACGAAGGCCTCATAGAGGTCTGAATATCCACTTGCAGACTTTACAAACAGAGTGTTTCCTAACTGTTCTATGAAAAGAAAGGTTAAACTCTGTGAGTTGAACGCACACATCACAAAGGAGTTTCTGAGAATCGTTCTGTCTAGTTTTGAAACGAAGATATTTCCTTTTCTGCCATTGACCTTAAAGCGCTTGAAATCTACACTGGCAAATTGCACAAATAGAGTGTTTCAAATCTGCTCTGTCGAAGGGAACGTTCATCTCTGTGAGTTGAATGCACACAACACAAGGAAGTTACTGGGAATTTTTCTGTCTAGCCTTACATGAAAAAAACCCGTTTCCAACGAAGGCCTCTAAGTGTTCAAAATATCCACGTGCAGACTTTACAACCCGAGAGTTTCCAAACTGCTAAATGAAAAGAAAAGTTAAACTCTGAGAGTTGAACGCACACATCACAGAGCGGTTTCTGAGAATGATTCTGTCTAGTTTTTATACGAAGATATTTCCTTTTCTGCCTTTGGCCTCAAAGCGCTTGAAATCCCCACTTGCAAATTCCACAAAAAGAGTGTTTCAAATCTGCTCTGTGTAAATGAAAGTTCAACTCTGTGAGTTGAACACACACAACACAAGGAAGTTACTGGGAATTCTTCTGTCTAGCCTTATATGAAAAAAACCCGTTTCCAACGAAGGCCTCAAAGAGGTCTGAATATCCACTTGCAGACTTTACAAACAGATTGTTTCCTAACTGCTCTATGAAAAGAAAGGTTAAACTCTGTGAGTTGAACGCACACATCACAAAGGAGTTTCTGAGAATCATTCTGTCTAGTTTCTATAGGAAGATATTTCCTATTCTACCATTGACCTCAAAGCGGCTGAAATCTCCACTTGCAAATTCCACAAAAAGAATGTTTCAAGTCTGCTCTGTGTAAAGGATCGTTCAACTCTGTGATTTGAATACACACAACACAAGGAAGTTACTGAGAATTCTTCTGTCTAGCATAATATGAAGAAATCCCGTTTCCAACGAAGGCCTCAAATAGGTCTGAATATCCACTTGCAGACTTTACAAACAGAGTGTTTCCTAACTGCTCTGTGAAAAGAAAAGTTAAACTCTTTGAGTTGAACGCACACATCACAAAGGAGTTTCTGAGAATCATTCTGTCTAGTTTTGAAAGTAAGATATTTCCTTTTCTGCCATTGACCTTAAAGCGCTTGAAATCTCCACTTGCTAATTGCACAAAAAGAGTGTTTCAAATCTGCTCTGTCTAAGGGAACGTTCAACTCTGTGAGTTGAATGTACACAACACAAGGAAGTTACTGGGAATTCTTCTATCTAGCCTTACAGGAAAAAAACCCGTTTCCAACGAAGGCCTCTAAGTGGTCAAAATATCCACGTGCAGACTTTACAAACAGAGTGTTTCCAAACTGCTGAATGAAAAGAAAAGTTAAACTCTGAGAGTTGAACGCACACATCGCAGAGCAGTTTCTGAGAATGATTCTGTCTAGTTTTTATACGAAGATATTTCCTTTTCTGCCTTTGGCCTCAAAGCGCTTGAAATCTCTACTTGCAAATTCCACAAAAAGAGTGTTTCAAATCTGCTCTGTGTAAATCAAAGTTCAACTCTGTGAGTTGAACACACACAACACAAGGAAGTTACTGGGAATTCTTCTGTCTAGCAGAATATGAAGAAATCCCGTTTCCAACGAAGGCCTCAAGGAGGTCTGAATATCCACTTGCAGACTTTACAAACAGAGTGTTTCCTAACTGCTCTATGAAAAGAAAGGTTAAACTCTGTGAGTTGAACGCACACATCACAAAGGAGTTTGTGAGAATCATTCTGTCTAGTTTTTATAGGAAGATATTTCCTTTTCTACCTTTGACTTCAAAGCGGCTGAAATCTCCCCTTGCAAATTCCACAAAAAGAGTGTTACAAGTCTGCTCTGTGTAAAGGATCGTTCAACTCTGTGAGTTGAATACACACAACACAAGGAAAGTTACTGAGAATTCTTCTGTCTAGCCTTACATGAAAAAAACCCGTTTCCAACGAAGGCCTCAAAGAGGTCAAAATATCCACTTGCAGACTTTACAAACAGAGTGTTTCCTAACTACTCTATGAATAGAAAGGTTAAACTCTGTGAGTTGAACACACACTTCACACAGGAGTTTCTGAGAATCATTCTGTCTAGTTTTGAAACGAAGATATTTCCTTTTCTGCCGTTGACCTTAAAGCGCCTGAAATCTACACTTGCAAATTGCACAAATAGAGTGTTTCAAATCTGCTCTGTCTAAGGGAACGTTCAACTCTGTGAGTTGAATGCACACAACACAAGGAAGTTACTGGGAATTCTTCTGTCTAGCCTTACAGGAAAATAACCCGTTTCCAACGAAGGCCTCTAAGTGGTCAAAATATCCACGTGCAGACTTTACAAACAGAGTGTTTCCAAACTGCTGAATGAAAAGAAAAGTTAAACTCTGAGAGTTGAACGCACACATCGCAGAGCAGTTTCTGAGAATGATTCTGTCTAGTTTTTATACGAAGATATTTCCTTTTCTGCCTTTGGCCCCAAAGCGCTTGAAATCTCCATTTGCAAATTCCACAAAAACAGTGTTTCAAATCTGCTCTCTCTAAATGAAAGTTCAACTCTGTCAGTTGAATACACACAACACAAGGAAGTTACTGAGAATTCTTCTGTCTAGCCTTATTTGAAAAAAACCCGTTTCCAACGAAGGCCTCAAAGAGGTCTGAATATCCACTTGCAGACTTTACAAACAGAGTGTTTCCTAACTGCTCTATGAAACGAAAGGTTAAACTCTGTGAGTTGAGCGCACACATCTCAAAGGAGTTTCTGAGAATCATTCTGTCTAGTTTTTATAGGAAGATATTTCCTTTTCTACCTTTGACTTGAAAGCGGCTGAAATCTCCACTTGCAAATTCCACAAAAAGAGTGTTACAAGTCTGCTCTGTCTAAGGGAACGTTCAACTCTGTGAGTTGAATGTACACAACACAAGGAAGTTACTGGGAATTCTTCTGTCTAGCCTTACAGGAAAAAAACCCGTTTCCAACGAAGGCCTCTAAATGGTCAAAATATCCACGTGCAGACTTCACAAACAGAGTGTTTCCAAACTGCTGAATGAAAAGAAAAGTTAAACTCTGAGAGTTCAACGCACACATCGCAGAGCAGTTTCTGAGAATGATTCTGTCTAGTTTTGAAACGAAGATATTTCCTTTTCTGCCATTGACCTTAAAGCGCTTGAAATCTCCATTTGCCAATTGCACAAAAAGAGTGTTTCAAATCTGCTCTGTCTAAGGGAACAGTTCAACTCTGTGAGTTGAATGTACACAACACAAGGAAGTTACTGGGAATTCTTCTGTCTAGCCTTACATGAAAAAAACCCGTTTCCAACGAAGGCCTCTAAGTGGTCAAAATATCCACGTGCAGACTTTACAAACAGAGTGTTTCCAAACCGCTGAATGAAAAGAAAGGTTAAACTCTGAGAGTTGAACGCACACATCACGCAGCAGTTTCTGAGAATGATTCTGTCTAGTTTTTATACGAAGATATTTCCTTTTCTGCCTTTGGCCCCAAAGCGCTTGAAATCTCCAATTGCAAATTACACAAAAACAGTGTTTCAAATCTGCTCTCTCTAAATGAAAGTTCAACTCTGTCAGCTGAATACACACAACACAAGGAAGTTACTGAGAATTCTTCTGTCTAGCCTTATATGAAAAAAACCCGTTTCCAACGAAGGCCTCAAAGAGGTCTGAATATCCACTTGCAGACTTTACAAACAGAGTGTTTCCTAACTGCTCTATGAAAAGAAACGTTAAACTCTGTGAGTTGAACGCACACATTACAAAGGAGTTTCTGAGAATCATTCTGTCTAGTTTTTATACGAAGATATTTCCTTTTCTACCATAGACCTCAAAGCGGCTGAAATCTCCACTTGCAAATCCCACAAAAAGAGTGTTTCAAGTCTGCTCTGTGTAAAGGATCGTTCAACACTGTGAGTTGAAAACACACAACACAAGGAAGTTTCTGAGAATTCTTCTGTCTAGCAGAATATAAAGAAATCCCGTTTCCAACGAAGGCCACAAGATGTCAGAATATCCACTTACAGACTTTACAAACAGTGTGTTTCCTAACTGCTCTATGAACGGAAAGGTTAAACTCTGTGAGTTGAACGAAAACATCACAACGCAGTTTGTGGGAATGATTCTGTCTAGTTTTGAAACGAAGATATTTCCTTTTCTGCCATTGACCTTAAAGCGCTTGAAATCTCCACTTGCCAATTGCACAAAAAGAGTGTTTCAAATCTGCTCTGTCTAAGGGAACGTTCAACTCTGTGAGTTGAATGTACACAACACAAGGAATTTACTGGGAAATCTTCTGTCTAGCCTTACATGAAAAAAACCCGTTTCCAACGAAGGCCTCTAAGTGGTCAAAATTTCCACGTGCAGACTTTACAAACAGAGTGTTTCCAAACCGCTGAATGAAAAGAAAAGTTAAACTCTGAGAGTTGAACGCACACATCACGCAGCAGTTTTCTGAGAATGATTCTGTCTAGTTTTTATATGAAGATATTTCCTTTTCTGCCTTTGGCCCCAAAGCGCTTGAAATCTCCACTTGCAAATTCCACAAAAACAGTGTTTCAAATCTACTCTCTCTAAATGAAAGTTCAACTCTGTCAGTTGAATACACACAACACAAGGAAGTTACTGAGAATTCTTCTGTCTAGCAGAATATGAAGAAATCCCGCTTCCAACGAAGACCTCAAAGAAGTCTGAATATCCACTTGCAGACTTTACAAACAGAGTGTTTCCCAACTGCTCTATGAAAAGAAAGGTTGAACTCTGTGAGTTGAACGCACACATCACAAAGGAGTTTCTGAGAATCATTCTGTCTAGTTTCTATAGGAAGATATTTCCTATTCTACCATTGACCTCAAAGCGGCTTAAATCTCCACTTGCAAATTCCACAAAAAGTGTGTTTCAAGTCTGCTTTGTGTAAATGATCGTTCAACTCTGTGAGTTGAATACACAAAACACAAGGAAGTTACTGAGAATTCTTCTGTCTAGCAGAATATGAAGTAATCCCGTTTCCAACGAAGGCCACAAGATGTCAGAATATCCACTTACAGAATTTACAAACAGACTGTTTCCTAACTGCTCTATGAAAAGAAAGGTTAAACTCTGTGAGTTGAACAAACACATCACAACGCAGTTTGTGGGAATGATTCTGCCTAGTTTTGAAACGAAGATATTTCCTTTTCTGCCATTGACCTTAAAGCGCTTGAAATCTACACTTGCAAATTGCACAAATAGAGTGTTTCAAATCTGCTCTGTCTAAGGGAACGTTCAACTCTGTGAGTTGAATGCACACAACACAAGGAAGTTACTGGGAATTCTTCTGTCTAGCCTTACATGAAAAAAACCCGTTTCCAACCGAAGGCCTCTAAGTGGTCAAAATTTCCACGTGCAGACTTTACAAACAGAGTGTTTCCAAAGCGCTGAATGAAAAGAAAAGTTAAACTCTGAGAGTTGAACGCACACATCACGCAGCAGTTTCTGAGAATGATTCTGTCTAGTTTTTATACGAAGATATTTCCTTTTCTGCCTTTGGCCTCAAAGCGCTTGAAATCTCCATTTGCAAATTCCACAAAAAGAGTGTTCCAAATCTGCTCTGTGTAAATGAAAGTTCAACTCTGTGAGTTGAACACACACAACACAAGGAAGTTACTGGGAAATCTTCTGCCTAGCAGAATAAGAAGAAATCCCGTTTCCAAAGAAGGCCTCAAGGAGGTCTGAATATCCACTTGCAGACTTTACAAACAGAGTGTTTCCTAACTGCTCTATGAAAAGAAAGGTTAAACTCTGTGAGTTGAACGCACACATCACAAAGGAGTTTCTGAGAATCATTCTGTCTAGTCTTTATACGAAGAGATTTCCTTTTCTACCATTGACCTCAAAGCGGCTGAAATCTCCACTTGCAAATTCCACAAAAAGACTGTTTCAAGTCTGCTCTGTGTAAAGGATCGTTCAACTCTGTGAGTTGAATACACACAACACAAGGAAGTTACTGAGAATTCTTCTGTCTAGCATAATATGAAGAAATCCCGTTTCCAACGAAGGCCTCAAAGAGGTCTGAATATCCACTTGCAGACTTTACAAACAGAGTGTTTCCTAACTGCTCTATGAAAAGGAAAGTTAAACTCTGTGAGTTGAACACACACATCACAAAGGAGTTTCTGAGAATCATTCTGTCTAGTTTTGAAACGAAGATATTTCCTTTTCTGCCATTGACTTTAAAGCGCTTGAAATCTACACTTGCAAATTGCACAAATAGAGTGTTTCAAATCTGCTCTGTCTAAGGGAACGTTCAACTCTGTGAGTTGAATGCACACAACACAAGGAAGTTACTGGGAATTCTTTCTGTCTAGCCTTACATGCAAAAAACCCGTTTCCAACGAAGGCCTCTAAGTGGTCAAAATATCCACGTGCAGACTTTACAAACAGAGTGTTTCCAAACCGCTGAATGAAAAGAAAAGTTAAACTCTGAGAGTTGAACGCACACATCACGCAGCAGTTTCTGAGAATGATTCTGTCTAGTTTTTATACGAAGATATTTCGTTTTCTGCCTTTGGCCCCAAAGCGCTTGAAATCTCCACTTGCAAATTCCACAAAAACAGTGTTTCAAATCTGCTCTCTCTAAATGAAAGTTCAACTCTGTCAGTTGAATAAACACAACACAAGGAAGTTACTGAGAATTCTTCTGTCTAGCAGAATATGAAGAAATCCCGTTTCCAACGAAGGCCTCAAAGAGGTCTGAATATCCACTTGCAGACTTTACAAACAGAGTGTTTCCTAACTGCTCTATGAAAAGAAAGGTTAAACTCTGTGAGTTGAACACACACATCACAAAGGAGTTTCTGAGAATCGTTCTGTCTAGTTTCTATAGGAAGATATTTCCTATTCTACCATTGACCTCAAAGCGGCTGAAATCTCCACTTGCAAATTCCACAAAAAGAATGTTTCAAGTCTGCTCAGTGTAAAGGATCGTTCAACTCTGTGAGTTGAATACACACAACACAAGGAAGTTACTGAGAATTCTTCTGTCTAGCGAAATATGAAGAAATCCCGTTTCCAACGAAGGCCACAAGATGTCAGAATATCCACTTACAGACTTTACAAACAGAGTGTTTCCTAACTGCTCTATGAACAGAAAGGTTAAACTCTGTGAGTTGAACGAACACATCACAACGCAGTTTGTGGGAATGATTCTGTCTAGTTTTGAAACGAAGATATTTCCTTTTCTGCCTTTGACCTTAAAGCGCTTGAAATCTACACTTGCAAATTGCACAAATAGAGTGTTTCAAATCTGCTCTGTCTAAGGGAACGTTCAACTCTGTGAGTTGAATGCACACAACACAAGGAAGTTACTGGGAATTCTTCTGTCTAGCCTTACATGAAAAAAACCCGTTTCCAACGAAGGCCTCTAAGTGGTCAAAATTTCCACGTGCAGACTTTACAAACAGAGTGTTTCCAAACCGCTGAATGAAAAGAAAAGTTAAACTCTGAGAGTTGAACGCACACATCACGCAGCAGTTTCTGAGAATGATTCTGTCTAGTTTTTATACGAAGATATTTCCTTTTCTGCCTTTGGCCCCAAAGCGCTTGAAATCTCCACTTGCAAATTCCACAAAAACAGTGTTTCAAAACTACTCTCTCTAAATGAAAGTTCAACTCTGTCAGTTGAATACACACAACACAAGGGAAGTTACTGAGAATTCTTCTGTCTAGCATAATATGAAGAAATCCCGTTTCCAACGAAGGCCTCTAAGAGGTCTGAATATCCACTTGCAGACTTTACAAACAGAGTGTTTCCTAACTGCTCTATGAAAAGAAAGGTTAAACTCTGTGAGTTGAAAGCACCCATCACAAAGGAGTTTCTGAGAATCATTCTGTCTAGTTTTTATAGGAAGATATTTCCTTTTCTAACTTTGACTTCAAAGCGGCTGAAATCTCCACTTGCAAATTCCACAAAAAGAGTGTTACAAGTCTGCTCTGTGTAAAGGATCGTTCAACTCTGTGAGTTGAATACACACAACACAAGGAAGTTACTGAGAATTCTTCTGTCTAGCATAGTATGAAGAAATCCCGTTTCCAACGAAGGCCTCAAAGAGGTCTGATTATCCACTTGCAGACTTTACAAACAGAGTGTTTCCTAACTGCTCTATGAAAAGAAAGGTTAAACTCTGTGAGTTGGACGCACACATCACAAAGAAGTTTCTGAGAATCATTCTGTCTAGTTTTGAAACGAAGATATTTCCTTTTCTGCCATTGACCTTAAAGCGCTTGAAATCTCCATTTGCCAATTGCACAAAAAGAGTGTTTCAAATCTGCTCTGTCTAAGGGAACGTTCAACTCTGTGAGTTGAATGTACACAACAGAAGGAAGTTACTGGGAATTCTTCTGTCTAGCCTTACATGAAAAAAACCCGTTTCCAACGAAGGCCTCTAAGTGGTCAAGTTATCCACGTGCAGATTTTACAAACAGAGTGTTTCCAAACTGCTGAATGAAAAGAAAAGTTAAACTCTGAGCTTTGAACAGACACATCGCAGAGCAGTTTCTGAGAATGATTCTGTCTAGTTTTTATACGAAGAATATTTCCTTTTCTGACTTTGGCCCCAAAGCGCTTGAAATCTCCACTTGCAAATTCCACAAAAACAGTGTTTCAAATCTGCTCTCTCTAAATGAAAGTTCAAATCTGTCAGTTGAATACACACAACACAAAGAAGTTACTGAGAATTCTTCTGTCTAGCATAATATGAAGAAATCCCGTTTCCAACGAAGGCCTCAAAGGGGTCTGAATATCCACTTGCAGACTTTATAAACAGAGTGTTTACTAACTGCTCTATGAAAAGAAAGGTTGAACTCTGTGAGTTGAACACACACATCACAAAGGAGTTTCTGAGAATCATTCTGTCTAGTTTTTCTACGAAGATATTTCCTTTTCTACTATTGACCTCAAAGCGGCTGAAATCTCCACTTGCAAATTCTACAAATAGAGTGTTTCAAGTGTGCTCTGTGTAAAGGATCGTTCAACTCTGTGAGTTGAATACACATAACACAAGGAAGTTACTGAGAATTCTTCTGTCTAGCAGAATATGAAGAAATCCCGTTTCCAACGAAGGCCTCAAGGAGGTCTGAATATCCACTGGCAGACTTTACAAACAGAGTGTTTCCTAACTGCTCTATGAACAGAAAGGTTAAACTCTGTGAGTTGAACGAACACATCACAACGCGGTTTGTGGGAATGATTCTGTCTAGTTTTGAAACGAAGATATTTCCTTTTCTGCCGTTGACCTTAAAGCGCTTGAAATCTACACTTGCAAATTGCACAAATAGAGTGTTTCAAATCTGCTCTGTCTAAGGGAACGTTCAACTCTGTGACTTGAATGCACACAACACAAGGAAGTTACTGGGAATTCTTCTGTCTAGCCTTACATGAAAAAAACCCGTTTCCAACGAAGGCCTCTAAGTGGTCAAAATTTCCACATGCAGACTTTACAAACAGAGTGTTTCCAAACCGCTGAATGAAAAGAAAAGTTAAACTCTGAGAGTTGAACGCACACATCACGCAGCAGTTTCTGAGAATGATTTCTGTCTAGTTTTTATACGAAGATATTTCCTTTTCTGCCTTTGGCCTCAAAGCGCTTGAAATCTCCACTTGCAAATTCCACAAAAAGAGTGTTTCCAATCTGCTCTGTATAAATGAAAGTTCAACACTGTGAGTTGAACACACACAACACAAGGAAGTTACTGGGAATTCTTCTGTATAGCAGAATATGAAGAAATCCCGTTTCCAACGAAGGCCTCAAGGAGGTCTGAATATCCACTTGCAGACTTTACAGAGTGTTTCCTAACTGCTCTATGAAAAGAAAGGTTAAACTCTGTGAGTTGAACGCACACATCACAAAGGAGTTTCTGAGAATCATTCTGTCTAGTCTTTATACGAAGATATTTCCTTTTCTACAATTGACCTCAAAGCGGCTGAAATCTCCACTTGCAAATTCCACAAAAAGAATGTTTCAAGTCTGCTCTCTGTAAAGGATCGTTCAACTCTGTGAGTTGAATACACACAACAGAAGGAAGTTACTGAGAATTCTTCTGTCTAGCATAATATGAAGAAATCCCGTTTCCAACGAAGGCCTCAAAGAGGTCTGAATATCCACTTGCAGACTTTACAAACAGAGTGTTTCCTAACTGCTCTATGAAAAGAAAAGTTAAACTCTGTGTGTTGAACGTACACATCACAAAGGAGTTTCTGAGAATCATTCTGTCTAGTTTTGAAACGAAGATATTTCCTTTTCTGCCGTTGACCTTAAAGCGCTTGAAATCTACACTTGCAAATTGCACAAATAGAGTGTTTCAAATCTGCTCTGTCTAAGGGAACGTTCAACTCTGTGAGTTGAATGCACACAACACAAGGAAGTTACTGGGAATTCTTCTTTTTAGCCTTACAGGAAAAAAACCCGTTTCCAACGAAGGCCTCTAAGTGGTCAAAATATCCACGTGCAGACTTTACAAACAGAGTGTTTCCAAACTGCTGAATGAAAAGAAAAGTTAAACTCTGAGAGTTGAACGCACACATCGCAGAGCAGTTTCTGAGAATGATTCTGTCTAGTTTTTATACGAAGATATTTCCTTTTCTGCCTTTGGCCCCAAAGCGCTTGAAATCTCCACTTGCAAATTCCACAAAAACAGTGTTACAAATCTACTCTCTCTAAATGAAAGTTCAACTCTGTCAGTTGAATACACACAACACAAGGAAGTTACTGAGAATTCTTCTGTCTAGCATAATATGAAGAAATCCCGTTTCCAACGAAGGCCTCAAGGAGGTCTGAATATCCACTTGCAGACTTTACAAACAGAGTGTTTCCTAACTGCTCTATGAAAAGAAAGGTTAAACTGTGTGAGTTGAACGCACACATCACAAAGAAGTTTCTGAGAATCATTCTGTCTAGTTTCTATAGGAAGATATTTCCTATTCTACCATTGACCTCAAAGCGGCTGAAATCTCCACTTGCAAATTCCACAAAAAGAGTGTTTCAGGTCTGCTCTGTGTAAAGGATCGTTCAACTCTGTGAGCTGAATACACACAATACAAGGAAGTTACTGAGAAGTCTTCTGTCTAGCAGAATATGCAGAAATCCCGTTTCCAACGAAGGCCACAAGATGTCAGAATATCCACTTTCAGACTTTACAAACAGAGTGTTTCCTAACTGCTCTATGAACAGAAAGGTTAAACTCTGTGAGTTGAACGAACACTTCACAACGCAGTTTGTGGGAATGATTCTGTCTAGTTTTTATAGGAAGATATTTCCTTTTCTACCTTTGACTTTAAAGCGGCTGAAATCTCCACTTGCAAATTCCACAAAAAGAGTGTTACAAGTCTGCTCTGTCTAAGGGAACGTTCAACTCTGTGAGTTGAATGTACACAACACAAGGAAATTACTGGGAATTCTTCTGTCTAGCCTTACATGAAAAAAACCCGTTTCCAACGAAGACCTCTAAGTGGTCAAATTATCCACGTGCAGACTTTACAAACAGAGTGTTTCCAAACTGCTGAATGAAAAGATAAGTTAAACTCTGAGAGTTGAACGCACACTTCGCAGAGCAGTTTCTGAGAATGATTCTGTCTAGTTTGTATAAGAAGATATATCCTATTCTACCATTGACCTCAAAGCGGCTGAAATCTCCACTTTCAAATTCGACAAAAAGAGTGTTTCAAGCCTGCTCTCTGTAAAGGATCCTTCAACTCTGTGAGTTGAATACACACAACACAAGGAAGTTACTGAGAATTCTTCTGTCTAGCATAATATGAAGAAATCCCGTTTCCAACGAAGGCCTCAAAGAGGTCTGAATATACACTTGCAGACTTTACAAACAGAGTGTTTCCTAACTGCTCTATGAGAAGAAAAGTTAAACTCTGTGAGTTGAACGCACACATCACAAAAGATTTTCTGAGAATCATTCTGTCTAGTTTTTATAGGAAGTTATTTCCTTTTCTACCTTTGACTTCAAAGTGGCTGAAATCTCCACTTGCAAATTCCACAAAAAGAGTGTTACAAGTCTGCTCTGTGTAAAGGATCGTTCAACTCTGTGAGTTGAATACACACAACACAAGGAAGTTACTGAGAATTCTTCTGTCTAGCCTTACATGAAAAAAACCCGTTTCCAACGAAGGCCTCTAAGTGGTCAAGTTATCCATGTGCAGACTTTACAAACAGACTGTTTCCAAACTGCTGAATGAAAAGAAAAGTTAAACTCTGAGAGTTGAACGCACACATCGCAGAGCAGTTTCTGAGAATGATTCTGTCTAGTTTTGAAACGAAGATATTTCCTTTTCTGCCATTGACCTTAAAGCGCTTGAAATCTACACTTGCAAATTGCACAAATAGAGTGTTTCAAATCTGCTCTGTCTAAGGGAACGTTCAACTCTGTGAGTTGAATGCAAACAACACAAGGAAGTTACTGGGAATTCTTCTGTCTAGCCTTACATGAAAAAATCCCGTTTCCAACGAAGGCCTCTAAGTGGTCAAAATATCCACGTGCAGACTTTACAAACAGAGTGTTTCCAAACCGCTGAATGAAAAGAAAACTTACACTCTGTGAGTTGAACGCACACATCACGCAGCAGTTTCTGAGAATGATTCTGTCTAGTCTGTATACGAACATAGTTTCCTTTTCTACCATTGACCTCAAAGCGGCTGAAATCTCCACTTGCAAATTCCACAAAAAGAGTGTTTCAAGTCTGCTCTGTGTAAAGGATCGTTCAACTCTGTGAGGTGAATACACACAACACAAGGAAGTTACTGACAATTCTTCTGTCTAGCAGAATATGAAGAAATCCCGTTTCCAACGAAGGCCTCAAGGAGGTCTGAATATCCACTTGCAGACTTTACACACAGAGTGTTTCCTAACTGCTCTATGAAAAGAAAGGTTAAACTCTGTGAGTTGAACGCACACATCACAAAGGACGTTTCTGAGAATCATTCTGTCTAGTTTTTATATGAAGATATTTCCTTTTCTACCATTGACCTCAAAGCGGCTGAAATCTCCACTTACAAATTCCACAAAAAGAGTGTCTCAAGTCTGCTCTGTGTAAACGATCGTTCAACTCTTTGAGTTGAATACACACAACACAAGGAAGTTTCTGAGAATTCTTCTGTCTAGCAGAATATGAAGAAATCCCGTTTCCCACGAAGGCCACAAGATGTCAGAATATCCACTTACAGAATTTACAAACAGACTGTTTCCTAACTGCTCTACGAAAAGAAAGGTTAAACTCTGTGAGATGAACGAACACATCACAACGCAGTTTGTGGGAATGATTCTGTCTAGTTTTGAAACGAAGATATTTCCTTTTCTGCCATTGACCTTAAAGCGCTTGAAATCTCCACTTGCCAATTGCACAAAAAGAGTGTTTCAAATCTGCTCTGTCTAAGGGAACGTTCAACTCTGTGAGTTGAATGTACACAACACAAGGAAGTTACTGGGAATTCTTCTGTCTAGCCTTACAGGAAAAAAACCCGTTTCCAACGAAGGCCTCTAAGTGGTCAAATTATCCACGTGCAGACTTTACAAACAGAGTGTTTCCAAACTGCTGAATGATAAGAAAAGTTAAACTCTGAGAGTTGAACGCACACATCGCAGAGCAGTTTCTGAGAATGATTCTGTCTACTTTTTATACGAAGATATTTCGTTTTCTGCCTTTGGCCCCAAAGCACTTGAAATCTCCACTTGCAAATTCCACAAAAACAGTGTTTCAAATCTGCTCTCTCTAAATGAAAGTTCAACTCTGTCAGTTGAATACACACAACACAAGGAAGTTACTGAGAATTCTTCTGTCTAGCATAATATGAAGAAATCCCGTTTCCAACGAAGGCCTCAAAGAGGTCTGAATATCCACTTGCACACTTTACAAACAGAGTGTTTCCTAACTGCTCTATGAGAAGAAAAGTTAAACTCTGTGAGTTGAACGCACACACAGAAAAGATTTTCTGAGAATCATTCTGTCTAGTTTCTATAAGAAGACATTTCCTATTCTACCATTGACCTCAAAGCGGCTGAAATCTCCACTTGCAAATTCGACAAAAAGAGTGTTTCAAGCCTGCTCTCTGTAAAGGATCGTTCAACTCTGTGAGTTGAATACACACAACACAAGGAAGTTACTGAGAATTCTTCTGTCTAGGAGAATATGAAGAAATCCCGTTTCCAACGAAGGCCACAAGATGTCACAATATCCACTTACAGAATTGACAAACAGACTGTTTCCTAACTGCTCTATGAAAAGAAAGGTTAAACTCTGTGAGTTGAACGAACACATCACAACGCAGTTTGTGGGAATGATTCTGTCTAGTTTTGAAACGAAGATATCTCCTTTTCTGCCATTGATCTTAAAGCGCTTGAAATCTACACTTGCAAATTGCACAAATAGAGTGTTTCAAATCTGCTCTGTCTAAGGGAACGTTCAACTCTGTGAGTTGAATGCACACAACACATGGAAGTTACTGGGAATTCTTCTGTCTAGCCTTACATGAAAAAAACCCGTTTCCAACGAAGGCCTCTAAGTGGTCAAGTTATCCACGTGCAGACTTTAAAAACAGAGTGTTTCCAAACTGTTGAATGAAAAGAAAAGTTAAACTCTGAGAGTTGAACGCACACATCGCAGAGCAGTTTCTGAGAATGATTCTGTCTAGTTTTTATACTGAAGATATTTCCTTTTCTGCCTTTGGCCTCACAAGCGCTTGAAATCTCCACTTGCAAATTCCACAAAATGAGTGTTTCAAATCTGCTCTGTGTAAATGAAAGTTCAACTCTGTGAGTTGAACACACACAACACAAGGAAGTTACTGGGAATTCTTCTGTCTAGCATAATATGAAGAAATCCCGTTTCCAACGAAGGCCTCAAAGGGGTCTGAATATCCACTTGCAGACTTTACAAACAGAGTGTTTCCTAACTGCTCTATGAAAAGAAAGGTTAAACTCTGTGAGTTGAACGCACACATCACAAAGGAGTTTATGAGAATCATTCTGTCTAGTCTTTATATGAAGATAGTTTCCTTTTCTACCATTGACCTCAAAGCGGCTGAAATCTCCACTTGCAAATTCCACAAAAAGAGTGTTTCAAGTCTGCTCTGTGTAAAGGATCGTTCAACTCCTGTGAGTTGAATACACACAACACAAGGAAGTTACTGAGAATTCTTCTGTCTAGCATAATATGAAGAAATCCCGTTTCCAACGAAGGCGTCAAAGAGGTCTGAATATCCACTTGCAGACTTTACAAACAGAGTGTTTCCTAACTGCTCTATGAAAAGAAAAGTTAAACTCTGTGAGTTGAACGCACACATCACAAAGGAGTTTCTGAGAATCATTCTGTCTAGTCTTTATACGAAGATATTTCCTTTTCTACCATTGACCTCAAAGCGGCTGAAATCTCCACTTGTAAATTCCACAAAAAGAGTGTTTCAAGTCTGCTCTGTGTAAAGGATCGTTCAACTCTGTGAGTTGAATACACACAACACAAGGAAGTTACTGAGAATTCTTCTGTCTAGCCTTACATGAAAAAAACCCGTTTCCAACGAAGGCCTCTAAGTGGTCAAAATTTCCACATGCAGACTTTACAAACAGAGTGTTTCCAAACCGCTGAATGAAAAGAAAAGTTAAACTCTGAGAGTTGAACGCACACATCACGCAGCAGTTTCTGAGAATGATTCTGTCTAGTTTTTATACGAAGATATTTCCTTTTCTACCATTGACCTCAAAGCGGCTGAAATCTCCACCCTGCCAATTCCACAAAAAGAGTGTTTCAAGTCTACTCTGTGTAAAGGATCGTTGAACTCTGTGAGTTGAAAACACACAACGCAACGAAGTTTCTGAGAATTCTTCTGTCTAGCAGAATATGAAGAAATCCCGTTTCCAACGAAAGCCTCAAAGATGTCTGAATATCCACTTGCAGACTTTACAAACAGAGTGTTTCCTAACTGCTCTATGAAAAGAAAGGTTAAACTCTGTGAGTTGAACGCACACATCACAAAGGAGTTTCTTAGAATCATTCTGTCTAGTTTTTATACGAAGATATTTCCTTTTCTACCATTGACCTCAAAGCGGCTGAAATCTCCACTTGCAAATTACACAAAAAGAGTGTTTCAAGTCTACTCTGTGTAAAGCATCGTTCAACTCTGTGAGTTGAAAACACACAACACAAGGAAAGTTTCTGAGAATTCTTCTGTCTAGCAGAATATGAAGAAATCCCGTTTCCAACGAAGGCCACAAGATGTCAGAATATCCACTTACAGAATTTACAAACAGACTGTTTCCTAACTCCTCTATTAAAACAAAGGTTAAACTCTGTGAGTTGAACGAACACATCACAACGCAGTTTGTGGGAATGATTCTGTCTAGTTTTGAAACGAAGATATTTCCTTTTCTGCCATTGACCTTAAAGCGCTTGAAATCTCCACTTGCCAATTGCACAAAAAGAGTGTTTCAAATCTGCTCTGTCTAAGGGAACGTTCAACTCTGTGAGATGAATGTACACAACACAAGGAAGTTACTGGGAATTCTTCTGTCTAGCCTTACAGGAAAAAAACCCGTTTCCAACGAAGGCCTCTAAGTGGTCAAAATATCCACGTGCAGACTTTACAAACAGAGTGTTTCCAAACTGCTAAATGAAAAGAAAAGTTAAACTCTGAGAGTTGAACGCACACATCGCAGAGCAGTTTCTGAGAATGATTCTGTCTAGTTTTGAAACGAAGATATTTCCTTTTCTGCCTTTGGCCTCAAAACGCTTGAAATCTCCACTTGCAAATTCCACAAAAAGAGTGTTTCAAATCTGCTCTGTGTAAATGAAAGTTCAACTCTGTGAGTTGAACACACACAACACAAGGAAGTTACTGGGAATTCTTCTGTCTAGCCTTATATGAAAAAAACCCGTTTCCAACGAAGACCTCAAAGAGGTCTGAATATCCACTTGCAGACTTTACAAACAGAGTGTTTCCTAACTGCTCTATGAAAAGAAAGGTTAAAATCTGTGAGTTGAACACACACATCACAAAGGAGTTTCTGAGAATCATTCTGTCTAGTTTTTATACGAAGATATTTCCTTTTCTACCGTTGACCTCAAAGCGGCTGAAATCTCCACTTGCAAATTCCACAAAAAGAGTGTTTCAAGTCTGCTCTGTGTAAAGGATCGTTCAACTCTGTGAGTTGAATACACACAACACAAGGAAGTTACTGAGAATTCTTCTGTCTAGCAGAATATGAAGAAATCCCGTTTCCAACGAAGGCCACAAGATGTCAGAATATCCACTTACAGACTTTACAAACAGAGTGTTTCCTAACTGCTCTATGAACAGAAAGGGTTAAACTCTGTGAGTTGAACGAACACATCACAACGCTGTTTGTGGGAATGATTCTGTCTAGTTTTGAAACGAAGATATTTCCTTTTCTGCCGTTGACCTTAAAGCGCTTGAAATCTACACTTGGAAATTGCACAAATAGAGTGTTTCAAATCTGCTCTGTCTAAGGGAACGTTCAACTCTGTGAGTTGAATGCACACAACACAAGGAAGTTACTGGGAATTCTTCTGTCTAGCATAATATGAAGAAATCCCGTTTCCAACGAAGGCCTCAAGGAGGTCTGAATATCCACTTGCAGACTTTACAAACAGAGTGTTTCCTAACTGCTCTATGAAAAGAAAGGTTAAATTCTGTGAGTTGAACGCACACATCACAAAGGAGTTTCTGAGAATCATTCTGTCTAGTTTTTATACGAAGATATTTCCTTTTCTACCATTGACCTCAAAGCGGCTGAAATCTCCACTTGCAAATTACACAAAAAGAGTGTTTCAAGTCTGCTCTGTGTAAAGGATCGTTCAACTCTGTGAGTTGAATACACACAACACAAGGAAGTTACTGAGAATTCTTCTTTCTAGCAGAATATGAAGAAATCCCGTTTCCAACGAAAGCCTCAAGGATGTCTGAATATCCACTTGCAGACTTTACAAACAGAGTGTTTCCTAACTGCTCTATGAAAAGAAAGGTTAAACTCTGTGAGTTGAACGCACACATCACAAAGGAGTTTCTGATAATCATTCTGTCTAGTTTCTATAGGAAGATATTTCCTATTCTACCGTTGACCTCAAAGCGGCTGAATTCTCCACTTGCAAATTCCACAACAAGAGTGTTTCAAGTCTGTTCTGTGTAAAGGATCATTCAACTCTGTGAGTTGAATACACACAACACAAGGAAGTTACTGAGAATTCTTCTGTCTAGCAGAATATGAAGAAATCCCGTTTCCAACGAAGGCCACAAGATGTCAGAATATCCACTTACAGAATTTACAAACAGAGTGTTTCCTAACTGCTCTATGAAAAGAAAGGTTAAACTCTGTGAGTTGAACGCACACATCACAAAGGAGTTTCTGAGAATCATTCTGTCTAGTTTTGAAACGAAGATATTTCCTTTTCTGCCATTGACCTTAAAGCGCTTGAAATCTACACTTGCAAATTGCATAAATAGAGTGTTTCAAATCTGCTCTGTCTAAGGGAACGTTCAACTCTGTGAGTTGAATGCACACAACACAATGAAGTTACTGGGAATTCTTCTGTCTAGCCTTACGTGAAAAAAACCCGTTTCCAACGAAGGCCTCTAAGTGGTCAAGTTATCCACGTGCAGACTTTACAAACAGAGTGTTTCCAAACTGCTGAATGAAAAGAAAAATTAAACTCTGAGAGTTGAACGCACACATCGCAGAGCAGTTTCTGAGAATGATTCTGTCTAGTTTTTATACGAAGATATTTCCTTTTCTGCCTTTGGCCCCAAAGCGCTTGAAATCTCCACTTGCAAATTCCACAAAAACAGTGTTTCAAATCTGCTCTCTCTAAACGAAAGTACAACTCTGTCAGTTGAATACACAGAACACAAGGAAGTTACTGAGAATTCTTCTGTGTGCTTTTCATTTGAAGGTATTTCCTTTTCCACCATAGGCCGCAAAGGGCTCCAAATATCCCCTTGCAGATTCTGCAAAATGAGAGATTCAAAACTGCTCAATCAAAAGATAGGTTCAACTCTGTGAGTTGAATGCTCACATAACAAAGAAGTTTCTGAGAATCATTCTGTCTAGTTTTTCTGTGAAGATATTTCCTTTTCTACTATTGACCTCAAAGCGGCTGAAATCTCCACTTGCAAATTCCACAAAAAGAGTGTTTCAAGTCTGCTCTCTGTAAAGGATCGTTCAACTCTGTGAGTTGAATACACACAACACAAGGAAGTTACTGACAATTCTTCTGTCTAGCAGAATATGAAGAAATCCCGTTTCCTACGAAGGCCACAAGATGTCAGAGTATCCACTTACAGACTTTACAAACAGAGTGTTTCCTAACTGCTCTATGAACAGAAAGGTTAAACTCTGTGAGTTGAACGAACACATCACAACGCAGTTTGTGGGAATGATTCTGTCTAGTTTTGAAACGAAGATATTTCCTTTTCTGCCATTGACCTCAAAGCGCTTGAAATCTCCACTTGCCAATTGCACAAAAAGAGTGTTTCAAATCTGCTCTGTCTAAGGGAACGTTCAACTCTGTGAGTTGAATGTACACAACACAAGGAAGTTACTGGGAATTCTTCTGTCTAGCCTTATATGAAAAATAGCCGTTTCCAACGAAGGCCTCAAAGAGGTCTGAATATCCACTTGCAGACTTTACAAACAGAGTGTTTCCTAACTGCTCTATGAAAAGAAAGGTTAAACTCGGTGAGTTGAACGCACACATCACAAAGGAGTTTCTGAGAATCATTCTGTCTAGTTTTTATACGAAGATATTTCCTTTTCTGCCTTTGGCCTCAAAGCGCTTGAAATCTCCATTTGCAAATTCCACAAAAAGAGTGTTTCAAATCTGCTCTGTGTAAATGAAAGTTCAACTCTGTGAGTTGAACACACACAACACAAGAAAGTTACTGGGAATTCTTCTGTCTAGCAGAATATGAAGAAATCCCGTTTCCAACGAAGGCCTCAAAGAGGTCTGAATATCCACTTGCAGACTTTACAAACAGAGTGTTTCCTAATTGCTCTATGAAAAGAAAGGTTAAACTCTGTGAGTTGAACGCACACATCACAAAGGAGTTTCTGAGAATCGTTCTGTCTAGTTTCTATAGGAAGATATTTCCTATTCTACCATTGACCTCAAAGCGGCTGAAATCTCCACTTGCAAATTCCACAAAAAGAGTGTTTCAAGTCTACTCTGTGTAAAGCATCGTTCAACTCTGTGAGTTGAAAACACACAACACAAGGAAGTTTCTGAGAATTCTTCTGTCTAGCATAATATGAAGAAAACCCGTTTCCAACGAAAGCCTCAAAGATGTCTGAATATCCACTTGCAGACCTTACAAACAGAGTTTTTCCTAACTGCTCTATGAAAAGAAATGTTAAACTCTGTGAGTTGAACGCACACATCACAAAGGAGTTTCTGAGAATCATTCTGTCTAGTTTTTATACGAAGATATTTCCTTTTCTACCATTGACCTCAAAGCGGCTGAAATCACCACTTGCCAATTGCACAAAAAGAGTGTTTCAAATCTGCTCTGTCTAAGGGAACGTTCAACTCTGTGAGTTGAATGTACACAACACAAGGAAGTTACTGAGAATTCTCCTGTCTAGCCTTACATGAAAAAAACCCGTTTCCAACGAAGGCCTCCAAGTGGTCAAAATATCCACGTGCAGACTTTACAAAGAGAGTGTTTCCAAACTGCTGAATGAAAAGAAAAGTTAAACTCTGAGAGTTGAACGCACACATCACAGAGCAGTTTCTGAGAATGATTCTGTCTAGTTTTGAAACGAAGATATTTCCTTTTCTGCCTTTGGCCTCAAAGCGCTTGAAATCTCCACTTGCAAATTACACAAAAAGAGTGTTTCAAATCTGCTCTGTGTAAATGAAAGTTCAACTCTGTGAGTTGAACACACACAACACAAGGAAGTTACTGGGAATTCTTCTGTCTAGCATAATATGAAGAAATCCCGTTTCCAACGAAGTCCTCAAGGAGGTCTGAATATCCACTTGCAGACTTTACAAACAGAGTGTTTCCTAACTGCTCAATGAAAAGAAAGGTTAAACTCTGTGAGTTGAACGCACACATCACAAAGGAGTTTCTGAGAATCATTCGGTCTAGTTTCTATAGGAAGATATTTCCTATTCTACCATTGACCTCAAAGCGGCTGAAATCTCCACTTGCAAATTCCACAAAAAGAGTGTTTCAAGTCTGCTCTGTGTAAAGGATCGTTCAACTCTGTGAGTAGAATACACACAACACAAGGAAGTTACTGAGAATTATTCTGTCTAGCAGAATATGAAGAAATCCCGTTTCCAACGAAGGCCACAAGATATCAGAATATCCACTTACAGACTTTACAAACAGAGTGTTTCCTAACTGCTCTATGAACAGAAAGGTTAAACTCTGTGAGTTGGACGAACACATCACAACGCAGTTTGTGGGAATGATTCTGTCTAGTTTTTATACGAAGATATTTCCTTTTCTACCATTGACCTCAAAGCGGCTGAAATCACCACTTGCCAATTGCACAAAAAGAGTGTTTCAAATCTGCTCTGTCTAAGGGAACGTTCAACTCTGTGAGTTGAATGTACACAACACAAGGAAAGTTACTGGGAATTCTTCTGTCTAGCCTTACATGAAAAAAACCCGTTTCCAACGAAGGCCTCTAAGTGGTCAAATTATCCACGTGCAGACTTTACAAACAGAGTGTTTCCAAACTGCTGAATGAAAAGAAAAGTTAAACTCTGAGAGTTGAACGCACACATTCGCAGAGCAGTTTCTGAGAATGATTCTGTCTAGTTTTTATATGAAGATATTTCCTTTTCTGCATTTGGCCTCAAAGCGCTTGAAATCTCCACTTGCAAATTCCACAAAAAGAGTGTTTCAAATCTGCTCTGTGTAAATGAAAGTTCAACTCTGTGAGTTGAACACACACAACACAAGGAAGTTACTGGGAATTCTTCTGTCTAGCCTTATATGAAAAAAACCCTTTTCCAACGAAGGCCTCAAAGAGGTCTGAATATCCACTTGCAGACTTTACAAACAGAGTGTTTCCTAACTGCTCTATGAAAAGAAAGGTTAACCTCTGTGAGTTGAACGCACACATCACAAAGGAGTTTCTGAGAATCATTCTGTCTAGTTTTTATACGAAGATATTTCCTTTTCCACCATTGACCTCAAAGCGGCTGAAATCTCCACTTGCAAATTCCACAAAAAGAGTGTTTCAAGTCGGCTCTGTGTAAAGGATCGTTCAACTCTGTGAGTTGAATACACACAACACAAGGAAGTTACTGAGAATTCTTCTGTCTAGCACAATATGAAGAAATCCCGTTTCCAACGAAAGCCTCGAGGAGGTCTGAATATCCACTTGCAGACTTTACAAACAGAGTGTTTCCTAACTGCTCTATGAAAAGAAAGGTTAAACTCTGTGAGTTGAACGCACACGTCACAAAGAAGTTTCTGAGAATCATTCTGTCTAGTTTTTATACGAAGATATTTCCTTTTCTACCATTGACCTCAAAGCGGCTGAAATCACCACTTGCCAATTGCACAAAAAGAGTGTTTCAAATCTGCTCTGTCTAAGGGAACGTTCAACTCTGTGAGTTGAATGTACACAACACAAGGAAGTTACTGGGAATTCTTCTGTCTAGCCTTACAGGAAAAAAACCCGTTTCCAACGAAGGCCTCTAAGTGGTCAAATTATCCACGTGCAGACTTTACAAACAGAGTGTTTCCAAACTGTTGAATGAAAAGAAAAGTTAAACTCTGAGAGTTGAACGCACACATCGCAGAGCAGTTTCTGAGAATGATTCTTTCTAGTTTTTCTACGAAGATATTTCCTTTTCTACTATTGACCTCAAAGCGGTTGAAATCTCCAATTGCAAATTCCACAAAAAGAGTGTTTCAAGTCTGCTCTCTGTAAAGGATCGTTCAACTCTGTGACTTGAATACACACAACACAAGGAAGTTACTGAGAATTATTCTGTCTAGCAGAATATGAAGAAATCCCGTTTCCAACGAAGGCCTCAAAGGAGCTCTGAATATCCACTTGCAGACTTTACAAACAGAGTGTTTCCTAACTGCTCTATGAAAAGAAAAGTTAAACTCTGTGAGTTGAACGCACACATCACAAAGGAGTTTCTGAGAATCATTCTGTCTAGTATTTATACGAAGATATTTCCTTTTCTACCATTGACCTCAAAGTGGCTGAAATCTCCACTTGCAAATTCCACAAAACGAGTATTTCAAGTCTGCTCTGTGTAAAGGATCGTTCAACTCTGTGAGTTGAATACACACAACACAAAGAAGTTACTGAGAATTCTTCTGTCTAGCAGAATATGAAGAAATCCTGTTTCCAACGAAGGCCACAAGATGTCAGAATATCCACTTACAGAATTTACAAACAGACTGTTTCCTAAGTGCTCTATGAAAAGAAATGTTAAACTCTGTGAGTTGAACGAACACATCGCAACGCAGTTTGTGGGAATGATTCTATCTAGTTTTGAAACGAAGATATTTCCTTTTCTGCCGTTGACCTTAAAGCGCTTGAAATCTACACTTGCAAATTGCACAAATAGAGTGTTTCAAATCTGCTCTGTCTAAGGGAACGTTCAACTCTGTGAGTTGAATGCACACAACACAAGGAAGTTACTGGGAATTCTTCTGTCTAGCCTTACATGAAAAAAACCCGTTTCCAACGAAAGCCTCTAAGTGGTCAAAATATCCACGTGCAGATTTACAAACAGAGTGTTTCCAAACTACTGAATGAAAAGAAAAGTTAAACTCTGAGAGTTGAACGCACACATCACAGAGCAGTTTCTGAGAATGATTCTGTCTAGTTTCTATAAGAAGATATTTCCTATTCTACCATTGACCTCAAAGCGGCTGAAATCTCCACTTGCAAATTCCACAAATAGAGTGTTTCAAGTCTGCTCTGTGTAAAGCATCGTTCAACTCTGTGAGTTGAAGACACACAACACAAGGAAGTTTCTGAGAATTCTTCTGTATAGCAGAATATGAAGAAAACCCGTTTCCAACGAAAGCCTCAAAGATGTCTGAATATCCACTTGCAGACTTTACAAACAGAGTGTTTCCTAACTGCTCTATGAAAAGAAAGGTTAAAGTCTGTGAGTTGAACGCACACATCACAAAGGAGTTTCTGAGAATCATTCTGTCTAGTTTCTATAGGAAGATATTTCCTATTCTACCATTGACCTCAAAGCGGCTGAAATCTCCACTTGCAAATTCCACAAAAAGAGTGTTTCAAGTCTGCTCTGTGTAAAGGATCGTTCAACTCTCTGAGTTGAATACACACAACACAAGGAAGTTACTGAGAATTCTTCTGTCTAGCAGAATATGAAGAAATCCTGTTTCCAACGAAGGCCACAAGATGTCAGAATATCCACTTACAGAATTTACAAACAGACTGTTTCCTAACTGCTCTATGAAAAGAAAGGTTAAACTCTGTGAGTTGAACGAACACATCACAACGCAGTTTGTGGGAATGATTCTGTCTAGTTTTGAAACGAAGATATTTCCTTTTCTGCCATTGACCTTAAAGCGCTTGAAATCTCCACTTGCCAATTGCACAAAAAGAGTGTTTCAAATCTGCTCTGTCTAAGGGAACGTTCAACTCTGTGAGCTGAATGTACGCAACACAAGGAAGTTACTGGGAATTCTTCTGTCTAGCCTTACATGAAAAAAACCCGTGTCCAACGAAGGCCTCTAAGTAGTCAAATTATCCACGTGCAGACTTTACAAACAGAGTGTTTTCAAACTGCTGAATGAAAAGAAAAGTTAAACTTCTGAGAGTTGAACGCACACATCGCAGAGCAGTTTCTGAGAATGATTCTGTCTAGTTTTGAAACGAAGATATTTCCTTTTCTGCCTTTGGCCTCAAAGCGCTTGAAATCTCCACTTGCAAATTCCACAAAAAGAGTGCTTCAAATCTGCTCTGTGTAAATGAAAGTTCAACTCTGTGAGTTGAACACACACAACACAAGGAAGTTACTGGGAATTCTTCTGTCTAGCATAATATGAAGAAATCCCGTTTCCAACGAAGCCCTCAAAGGGGTCTGAATATTCACTTGCAGACTTTATAAACAGAGTGTTTACTAACTGCTCTATGAAAAGAAAGGTTAAACTCTGTGAGTTGAACACACACATCACAAAGGAGTTTCTGAGAATCATTCTGTCTAGTTTCTATAGGAAGATATTTCCTATTCTAACATTGACCTCAAAGTGGCTGAAATCTCCACTTGCAAATTCCACAAAAAGAGTGTTTCAAGTCTGCTCTGTGTAAAGGATCGTTCAACTCTGTGAGTTGAATACACACAACACAAGGAAGTTACTGAGAATTCTTCTGTCTAGCAGAATATGAAGAAATCCCGTTTCCAACGAAGGCCACAAGATGTCAGAATATCCACTTACAGAATTTACAAACAGACTGTTTCCTAACTGCTCTACGAAAAGAAAGGTTAAACTCTGTGAGATGAACGAACACATCACAACGCAGTTTGTGGGAATGATTCTGTCTAGTTTGGAAACGAAGATATTTCCTTTTCTGCCATTGACCTTAAAGCGCTTGAAATCTCCATTTGCCAATTGCACAAAAAGAGTGTTTCAAATCTGCTCTGTCTAAGGGAACGTTCAACTCTGTGAGTTGAATGTACACAACACAAGGAAGTTACTGGGAATTCTTCTGTCTAGCCTTACATGAAAAAAACCCGTTTCCAACGAAGGCCTCTAAGTGGTCAAAATTTCCACGTGCAGACTTTACAAACAGAGTGTTTCCAAACCGCTGAATGAAAAGAAAAGTTCAACTCTGAGAGTTGAACGCACACATCACGCAGCAGTTTCTGAGAATGATTCTGTCTAGTTTTTATACGAAGATATATCCTTTTCTGCCTTTGGCCTCAAAGCGCTTGAAATCTCCACTTGCAAATTCCACAAAAAGAATGTTTCAAATCTGCTCTGTCTAAATGAAAGTTCAACTCTGTCAGTTGAATACACACAACAAAAGGAAGTTACTGAGAATTCTTCTGTATAGCAGAATAAGAAGAAATCCCGTTTCCAACGAAAGCCTCAAAGATGTCTGAATATCCACTTGCAGACTTTACAAACAGAGTGTTTCCTAACTGCTCTATGAAAAGAAAGGTTAAACTCTGTGAGTTGAACGCACACATCACAAAGTAATTTCTGAGAATCATTCTGTCTACTTTCTATAGGAAGATATTTCCTATTCTACCATTGACCTCAAAGCGGCTGAAATCTCCACTTGCAAATTCCACAAAAAGAGTGTTTCAAGTCTGCTCTGTGTAAAGGATCGTTCAACTCTGTGAGTTGAATACACACAACACAAGGAAGTTACTGAGAATTCTTCTGTCTAGCATAATATGAAGAAATCCCGTTTCCAACGAAGGCCTCAAGGAGGTCTGAATATCCACTTGCAGACTTTACAAACAGAGTGTTTCCTAACTGCTCTATGAAAAGAAAGGTTAAACTCTGTGAGTTGAACGCACAAATCACAAAGGATTTTCTCAGAATCATTCTGTCTAGTTTTGAAACTAAGACATTTCCTTTTCTGCCATTGACCTTAAAGCGCTTGATATCTACACTTGCAAATTGCACAAATAGAGTGTTTCAAATCTGCTCTGTCTAAGGGAACGTTCAACTCTGTGAGTTGAATGCACACAACACAAGGAAGTTACTGGGAATTCTACCGTCTAGCCTTACATGAAAAAAAACCCGTTTCCAACGAAGGCCTCTAAGTGGTCAAAATATCCACGTGCAGACTTTACAAACAGAGTGTTTCCAAACTGCTGAATGAAAAGAAAAGTTAAACTTTGAGAGTTGAACGCACACATCACAGAGCAGTTTCTGAGAATGATTCTGTCTAGTTTTTATACGAAGATATTTCCTATTCTACCATTGATCTCAAAGCGGCTGAAATCTCCACTTGCAAATTCCACAAGAAGAGTGTTCCAAGTATGCTCTGTGTAAAGGATCGTTCAACTCTGTGAGTTGAATACACACAACACAAGGAAGTTACTGAGAATTCTTCTGTATAGCAGAATATGAAGAAATCCCATTTCCAACGAAGGCCTCAAGGAGGTCTGAATATCCACTTGCAGACTTTACAAACAGAGTGTTTCCTAACTGCTCTATGAAAAGAAAGGTTAAACTCTGTGAGTTGAACGCAGACATCACAAAGGAGTTTCTGAGAATCACTCTGTCTAGTTTCTATAGAAAGATATTTCCTATTCTACCATTGACCTCAAAGCGGCTGAAATCTCCACTTGCAAATTCCACAAAAAGAGTGTTTCAAGTCTGCTCTGTGTAAAGGATCGTTCAACTCTGTGAGTTGAATACACAGAACACAAGGAAGTTACTGAGAATTCTTCTGTCTAGCACAGTATGAAGAAATCCCGTTTCCAACGAAGGCCACAAGATGTCAGAATATCCACTTACAGAATTTACAAACAGACTGTTTCCTAACTGCTCTACGAAAAGAAAGGTTAAACTCTGTGAGATGAACGAACACATCACAACGCAGTTTGTGGGAATGATTCTGTCTAGTTTTGAAAAGAAGATATTTCCTTTTCTGCCGTTGACCTTAAAGCGCTTGAAATCTACACTTGCAAATTGCACAAATAGAGTGTTTCAAATCTGCCCTGTCTAAGGGAACGTTCCACTCTGTGAGTTGAATGCACACAACACAAGGAAGTTACTGGGAATTCTTCTGTCTAGCCTTACATGAAAAAAACCCGTTTCCAACGAAGGCCTCTAAGTGGTCAAAATTTCCACGTGCAGACTTTACAAACAGAGTGTTTCCAAACCGCTGAATGAAAAGAAAAGTTAAACTCTGAGACTTGAACGCACACATCACGCAGCAGTTTCTGAGAATGATTCTGTCTAGTTTTTATACGAAGATATTTCCTTTTCTGCCTTTGGCCCCAAAGCGCTTGAAATCTCCACTTACAAATTCCACAAAAACAGTGTTTCAAATCTGCTCTCTCTAAATGATAGTTCAACTCTGTCAGTTGAATACACACAACACAAGGAAGTTACTGAGAATTCTTCTGTCTAGCAGAATATGAAGAAATCCCGTTTCCAACGAAGGCCTCAAGGAGGTCTGAATATCCACTTGCAGACTTTACAAACAGAGTGTTTCCTAACTGCTCTATGAAAAGAAAGGTTAAACTCTGTGAGTTGAACGCACACATCACAAAGGAGTTTCTGACAATCATTCTGTCTAGTCTTTATACGAAGATATTTACTTTTCTACCATTGACCTCAAAGCGGCTGAAATCTCCACTTGCAAATTCCACAAAAAGAGTGTTTCAAGTCTGCTCTGTGTAAAGGATCATTCAACTCTGTGAGTTGAATAAACACAACCCAAGGAAGTTACTGAGAATTCTTCTGTCTAGCAGAATATGAAGAAATCCCGTTTCCAACGAAGGCCACAAGGATGTCAGAATATCCACTTACAGAATTTACAAACAGACTGTTTCCTAACTGCTCTATGAAAAGAAAGGTTAAACTCTGTGAGTTGAACGAACACATCACAACGCAGTTTGTGGGAATGATTCTGTCTAGTTTTGAAACGAAGATATTTCCTTTTCTGCCATTGACCTTAAAGCGCTTGAAATCTCCATTTGCCAATTGCACAAAAAGAGTGTTTCAAATCTGCTCTGTCTAAGGGAACGTTCAACTCTGTGAGTTGAATGTACACAACACAAGGAAGTTACTGGGAATTCTTCTGTCTACCCTTACATGAAAAAAACCCGTTTCCAACGAAGGCCTCTAAGTGGTCAAAATATCCACGTGCAGACTTTACAAACAGAGTGTTTCCAAACTGCTGAATGAAAACAAAAGTTAAACTCTGAGAGTTGAACGCACACATCACAGAGCATTTTCTGAGAATGATTCTGTCTAGTTTTCAAACGAAGATATTTCCTTTTCTGCCTTTGGCCTCAAAGCGCTTGAAATCTCCACTTGCAAATTCCACAAAAAGAGTGTTTCAAATCTGCTCTGTGTAAATGAAAGTTCAACTCTGTGAGTTGAACACACACAACACAAGGAAGTTACTGGGAATTCTTCTGTCTAGGAGAATATGAAGAAACCCCGCTTCCAACGAAGGCCTCAAAGAAGTCTGAATATCCACTTGCAGACTTTACAAAGAGAGTTTTTCCCAACTGCTCTATGAAAAGAAAGGTTGAACTCTGTGAGTTGAACGCACACATCACAAAGGAGTTTCTGAGAATCATTCTGTCTAGTTTCTATAGGAAGATATTTCCTATTCTACCATTGACCTCAAAGCGGCTGAAATCTCCACTTGCAAATTCCACAAAAAGAGTGTTTCAAGTCTGCTCTGTGTAAAGGATCGTTCAACTCTGTGAGTTGAATACACACAACACAAGGAAGTTTCTGAGAATTCTTCTGTATAGCAGAATATGAAGAAATCCCGTTTCCAACGAAGGCCTCAAGGAGGTCTGAATATCCACTTGCAGACTTTACAAACACAGTGTTTCCTAACTGCTCTATGAAAAGAAAGGTTAAACTCTGTGAGTTGAACGCAGACATCACAAAGGAGTTTCTGAGAATCACTCTGTCTAGTTTTTATACGAAGATATTTCCTTTTCTACCACTGACCTCAAAGCGGCTGAAATCTCCACCCTGCCAATTCCACAAAAAGAGTGTTTCAAGTCTACTCTGTGTAAAGGATCGTTGAACTCTGTGAGTTGAAAACACACAACACAACGAAGTTTCTGAGAATTCTTCTGTCTAGCCTTACATGAAAAAACCCGTTTCTAACGAAGGCCTCTAAGTGGTCAAAATATCCACGTGCAGACTTTACAAACAGAGTGTTTCCAAACCGTTGAATGAAAAGAAAAGTTAAACTCTGAGAGTTGAACGCACACATCACGCAGCAGTTTCTGAGTATGATTCTGTCTAGTTTTTATACGAAGATATTTCCTTTTCTGCCTTTGGCCCCAAAGCGTTTGAAATCTCCACTTGCAAATTCCACAGAAACAGTGTTTCAAATGTGCTCTCTCTAAATGAAAGTTCAACTCTGACAGTTGAATACACACAACACAAGGAAGTTACTGAGAATTCTTCTGTCTAGCAGAATATGAAGAAATCCCGTTTCCAACGAAAGCCTCAAGGATGTCTGAATATCCACTTGCAGACTGTACAAACAGAGTGTTTCCTAACTGCTCTATGAAAAGAAAGGTTAAACTCTGTGAGTTGAACGCACACATCACAAAGGAGTTTCTGAGAATCATTCTGTCTAGTTTTTATAGGAAGATATTTCCTTTTCTACCTTTGACTTCAAAGCGGCTGAAATCTCCACTTGCAAATTCCACAAAAAGAGTGTTACAAGTCTGCTCTGTGTAAAGGATCGTGCAACTCTGTGAGTTGAATACACACAACACAAGGAAGTTACTGAGAATTCTTCTGTCTAGCAGAATATGAAGAAATCCCGTTTCCAACGAAGGCCTCAAGGAGGTCTGAATATCCACTGGCAGACTGTACAAACAGAGTGTTTCCTAACTGCTCTATGAACAGAAAGGTTAAACTCTGTGAGTTGAACGAACACATCACAACGCAGTTTGTGGGAATGATTCTCTCTAGTTTTGAAACGAAGATATTTCCTTTTCTGCCGTTGACCTTAAAGCGCTTGAAATCTACACTTGGAAATTGCACAAATAGAGTGTTTCAAATCTGCTCTGTCTAAGGGAACGTTCAACTCTGTGAGTTGAATGCACACAACACAAGGAAGTTACTGGGAATTCTTCTGTCTAGCCTTACATGAAAAAAACCCGTTTCCAACGAAGGCCTCTAAGTGGTCAAATTATCCACGTGCAGACTTTACAAACAGAGTGTTTCCAAACTGCTGAATGAAAAGCAAAGTTAAACTCTGAGAGTTGAACGCACACATCACAGAGCAGTTTCTGAGAATGATTCTGTCTAGTTTTTATACGAAGATATTTCCTTTTCTGCCTTTGGCCTCAAAGCAATTGAAATCTCCACTTGCAAATTCCACAAAAAGAGTGTTTCAAATCTGCTCTGTGTAAATGAAAGTTCAACTCTGTGAGTTGAACACACACAACACAAGGAAGTTACTGGGAATTCTTCTGTCTAGCCTTATATGAAAAAAACCCGTTTCCAACGAAGGCCTCAAAGAGGTCTGAATATCCACTTGCAGACTTTACAAACAGAGTGATTCCTAACTGCTCTATGAAAAGAAAGGTTAAACTCTGTGAGTTGAACGCACACATGTCAAAGGAGTTTCTGAGAATCATTCTGTCTAGTTTTTATAGGAAGAAATTTCCTTTTCTACTTTGACTTCAAAGCGGCTGAAATCTCCACTTGCAAATTCCACAAAAAGAGTGTTACAAGTCTGCTCTGTGTAAAGGATCGTTCAACTCTGTGAGTTGAATACACACAACACAAGGAAGTTACTGAGAATTCTTCTGTCTAGCAGAATATGAAGAAATCCCGTTTCCAACGAAGGCCACAAGATGTGAGAATATCCACTTACAGACTTTACAAACAGAGTGTTTCCTAACTGCTCTATGAACAGAAAGGTTAAACTCTGTGAGTTGAACGAACACATCACAACGCAGTTTGTGGGAATGATTCTGTCTAGTTTTGAAACGAAGATATTTCCTTTTCTGCCTTTGAACTTAAAGCGCTTGAAATCTCCATTTGCCAATTGCACAAAAAGAGTGTTTCAAATCTGCTCTGTCTAAGGGAACGTTCAACTCCGTGAGTTGAATGTACACAACACAAGGAAGTTACTGGGAATTCTTCTGTCTAGCCTTACATGAAAAAAAACCCGTTTCCAACGAAGGCCTCTAAGTGGTCAAAATATCCACGTGCAGTCTTTACAAACAGAGTTTTTCCAAACCGCTGAATGAAAAGAAAAGTTAAACTCTGAGAGTTGAACGCACACATCACGCAGCAGTTTCTGAGAATGATTCTGTCTAGTTTTTATACGAAGATATTTCCTTTTCTGCCTTTGGCCCCAAAGCGCTTGTAATCTCCACTTGCAAATTCCACAAAAACAGTGTTTCAAATCTGCTCTCTCTAAATGAAAGTTCAACTCTGTCAGTTGAATACACACAACACAAGGAAGTTACTGAGAATTCTTCTGTCTAGCAGAATATGAAGAAATCCCCGTTTCCAACGAAGGCCTCAAAGAGGTCTGAATATCCACTTGCAGACTTTACAAACAGAGTGTTTCCTAACTGCTCTATGAAAAGAAAGGTTAAACTCTGTGAGTTGAACGCACACATCACAAAGGAGTTTCTGAGAATCGTTCTGTCTAGTTTTTATAGGAAGATATTTCCTTTTCTACCTTTGACTTCAAAGCGGCTGAAATCTCCACTTGCAAATTCCACAAAAAGAGTGTTACAAGTCTGCTCTGTGTAAAGGATCGTTCAACTTCTGTGAGTTGAATACACACAACACAAGGAAGTTACTGAGAATTCTTCTGTCTCGCAGAATATGAAGAAATCCCGTTTCCAACGAAGGCCACAAGATGTCAGAATATCCACTTACAGACTTTACAAACAGAGTGTTTCCTAACTGCTCTATGAACGGAAAGGTTAAACTCTGTGAGTTGAACGTACACATCACAACGCAGTTTGTGGGAATGATTCTGTCTAGTTTTGAAACGAAGATATTTCCTTTTCTGCCGTTGACCTTAAAGAGCTTGAAAACTACACTTGCAAATTGCACAAATAGAGTGTTTCAAATCTGCTCTGTCTAAGGGAACGTTCAACTCTGTGAGTTGAATGCACACAACACAAGGAAGTTACTGGGAATTCTTCTGTCTAGCCTTACATGAAAAAAACCCGTTTCCAACGAAGGCCTCTAAGTGGTCAAAATTTCCACGTGCAGACTTTACAAACAGAGTGTTTCCAAACCGCTGAATGAAAAGAAAAGTTAAACTCTGAGAGTTGAACGCACACATCACGCATCAGTTTCTGAGAATGTTTCTGTCTAGTTTTTATACGAAGATATTTCCTTTTCTGCCTTTGGCCCCAAAGCGCTTGAAATCTCCACTTGCAAATTCCACAAAAACAGTGTTTCAAATCTGCTCTCTCTAAATGAAAGTTCAACTCTGTCAGTTGAATACACACTACACAAGGAAGTTACTGAGAATTCTTCTGTGTAGCACAGTATGAAGAAATCCCGTTTCCAACGAAGGCCTCAAAGAGGTGTGAATATCCACTTGCAGAGTTTACAAACAGAGTGTTTCCTAACTGCTCTATGAAAAGAAAGGTTAAACTCTGTGAGTTGAACGCACACATCACCAAGAAGTTTCTGAGAATCATTCTGTCTAGTCTTTATACGAAGATATTTACTTTTCTACCATTGACCTCAAAGCGGCTGAAATCTCCACTTGCAAATTCCACAAAAAGAGTGTTTCAAGTCTGCTCTGTGTAAAGGATCGTTCAACTCTGTGAGTTGAATAAACACAACACAAGGAAGTTACTGAGATTTCTTCTATCTAGCATAATATGAAGAAATACCGTTTCCAACGAAGGCCTCTAAGAGGTGTGAATATCCACTTGCAGAGTTTACAAACAGAGTGTTTCCTAACTGCTCTATGAAAAGAAAGGTTAAACTCTGTGAGTTGAACGAACACAGCACAACGCAGTTTGTGGGAATGATTCTGTCTAGTTTTGAAACGAAGATATTTCCTTTTCTGCCATTGACCTTAAAGCGTTTGAAATTTCCACTTGCAAATTGCACAAAAAGAGTGTTTCAAATCTGCTCTGTCTAAATGAAAGTTCAAATCTGTCAGTTGAATACACACAACACAAGCAATTTAAAGGGAATTCTTCTGTCTAGCCTTATATGAAAATAACCCGTTTCCAACGAAGGCCTCAAAGAGGTCTGAATATCCACTTGCAGACTTTACAAACAGAGTGTTTCCTAACTGCTCTATGAAAAGAAAGGTTAAACTCTGTGAGTTGAACGCACACATTACAAAGGAGTTTCTGAGAATCATTCTGTCTAGTTTTTATACGAAGATATTTCCTTTTCTGCCTTTGGCCTCAAAGCGCTTGAAATCTCCACTTGCAAATTCCACAAAAAGTGTGTTTCAAGTCCGCTCTGTGTAAAGGATCGTTCAACTCTGTGAGTTGAATACACACAACACAAGGGAAGTTACTGAGAATTCTTCTGTCTAGCACAGTATGAAGAAATCCCGTTTCCAACGAAGGCCTCAAAGAGGTCTGAATATCCACTTGCAGACTTTACAAACAGAGTGTTTCCTAACTGCTCTATGAAAAGAAAGGTTAAACTCTGTGAGTTGAACGCACACATCACAAAGTAGTTTCTGAGAATCATTCTGTCTAGTTTCTATAGGAAGATATATCCTATTCTACCATTGACCTCAAAGCGGCTGAAATCTCCACTTGCAAATTCCACAAAAAGAGTGTTTCAAGACTGTTCTGTGTAAAGGATCATTCAACTCTGTGAGTTGAATACACACAACACAAGGGAAGTTACTGAGAATTCTTCTGTCTAGCAGAATATGAAGAAATCCCGTTTCCAACGAAGGCCACAAGTTGTCAGAATATCCACTTACAGACTTTACAAACAGAGTGTTTCCTAACTGCTCTATGAACAGAAAGGTTAAACTCTGTGAGTTGAACGAACACATCACAACGCGGTTTGTGGGAATGATTCTGTCTAGTTTTGAAACCAAGATATTTCCTTTTATGCCATTGACCTTAAAGCGCTTGAAATCTCCACTTGCCAATTGCACAAAAAGAGTATTTCAAATCTGCTCTGTCTAAGGGAACGTTCAACTCTGTGAGTTGAATGTACACAACACAAGGAAGTTACTGGGAATTCTTCTGTCTAGCCTTACATGAAAAAAACCCGTTTCCAACGAAGGCCTCTAAGTGGTCAAAATTTCCACGTGCAGACTTTACAAACAGAGTGTTTCCAAACCGCTGAATGAAAAGAATAGTTAAACTCTGAGAGTTGAACGCACACATCACGCAGCAGTTTCTGAGAATGATTCTGTCTAGTTTTTATACGAAGATATTTCCTTTTCTGCTTTTGGCCTCAAAGCGCTTGAAATCTCCATTTGCAAATTCCACAAAAAGAGTGTTTCAAATCTGCTCTGTGTAAATGAAAGTTCAACTCTGTGAGTTGAACACACACAACACAAGGAAGTTACTGGGAATTCTTCTGTCTAGCATAATATGAAGAAATCCCGTTTCCGACGAAGGCCTGAAAGAGGTCTGAATATCCACTTGCAGACTTTACAAACAGAGTGTTTCCAAACTGCTCTATGAAAAGAAAAGTTAAACTCTGTGAGTTGAACGCACACATCACAAAGGATTTTCTGAGAATCATTCTGTCTAGTTTTTCTACGAAGATATTTCCTTTTCTACTATTGACCTCAAAGCGGCTGAAATCTCCACTTGCAAATTCCACAAAAAGAGTGTTTCAAGTCTGCTCTGTGTAAAGGATCATTCAACTCTGTGAGTTGAATACACACAACACAAGGAAGTTACTGAGAATTCTTCTGTCTAGCAGAATATGAAGAAATCCCGTTTCCAACGAAGGCCACAAGATGTCAGAATATCCACTTACAGAATTGACAAACAGACTGTTTGCTAACTGCTCTATGAAAAGAAAGGTTAAACTCTGTGAGTTGAACGAACACATCACAACGCAGTTTGTGGGAATGATTCTGTCTAGTTTTGAAACGAAGATATTTACTTTTCTGCCATTGACCTTAAAGCGCTTGAAATCTCCACTTGCCAATTGCACAAAAAGAGTGTTTCAAATCAGCTCTGTCTAAGGGAACGTTCAAATCTGTGTGTTGAATGTACACAACACAAGGAAGTTACTGGGAATTCTTCTGTCTAGCCTTACAGGAAAGAAACCCGTTTCCAACGAAGGCCTCTAAGTGGTCAAAATATCCACGTGCAGACTTTACAAACAGAGTGTTTCCAAACTGCTGAATGAAAAGAAAAGTTAAACTCTGAGAGTTGAACGCACATATCGCAGAGCAGTTTCTGAGAATGATTCTGTCTAGTTTTTCTACGAAGATATTTCCTTTTCTGCCTTTGGCCCCAAAGCGCTTGGAATCTCCACTTGCAAATTCCACAAAAACAGTGTTTCAAATCTGCTCTCTCTAAATGAAAGTTCAACTCTGTCAGTTGAATACACACAACACAAGGAAGTTCCTGAGAATTCTTCTGTCTAGCCTTATATGAAAAAAACCCGTTTCCAACGAAGGCCTCAAACAGGTCTGAATATCCACTTGCAGACTTTACAAACAGAGTGTTTCCTAACTGCTCTATGAAAAGAAAGGTTAAACTCTGTGAGTTGAACGCACACATCACAAAGGAGTTTCTGAGAATCATTTCTGTCTAGTTTCTATAGGAAGATATTTCCTATTCTAACATTGACCTCAAAGCGGCTGAAATCTCCACTTGCAAATTCCACAAAAAGAGTGTTTCAAGTCTGCTCTGTGTAAAGGATCGTTCAACTCTGTGAGTTGAATACACACAACACAAGGGAAGTTACTGAGAATTCTTCTGTCTATCAGAATATGAAGAAATCCCGTTTCCAACGAAGGCCTCAAGGAGGTCTGAATATCCACTTGCAGACTTTACAAACAGAGTGTTTCCTAACTGCTCTATGAACAGAAAGGTTAAACTCTGTGAGTTGAACGCACACGTCACAAAGGAGTTTACTGAGAATCATTCTGTCTAGTTTTGAAACGAAGATATTTCCTTTTCTGCCGTTGACCTTAAAGCGCTTGAAATCTACACTTGCAAATTGCACAAATAGAGTGTTTCAAATCTGCTCTGTCTAAGGGAACGTTCAACTCTGTGAGTTGAATGCACACAACACAAGGAAGTTACTGGGAATTCTTCTGTCTAGCCTTACATACAAAAAACCCGTTTCCAACGAAGGCCTCTAAGTGGTCAAAATATCCACGTGCAGACTTTACAAACAGAGGGTTTCCAAACCGCTGAATGAAAAGAAAAGTTAAACTCTGAGAGTTGAACGCACACATCACGCAGCAGTTTCTGAGAATGATTCTGTCTAGTTTCTATAGGAAGATATTTCCTATTCTACCATTGACCTCAAAGCGGCTGAAATCTCCACTTGCAAATTCCACAAAAAGAGTGTTTCAAGTCTGCTCTGTGTAAAGGGTCGTTCAACTCTGTGAGTTGAATACACACAACACAAGGAGGTTACTGAGAATTCTTCTGTCTAGCAGAATATGAAGAAATCCCGCTTCCAACGAAGGCCTCAAAGAAGTCTGAATATCCACTTGCAGACTTTACAAACAGAGTGTTTCCCAACTACTCTATTAAAAGAAAGGTTGAACTCTGTGAGTTGAACGCACACATCACAAAGGAGATTCTGAGAATCATTCTGTCTAGTTTCTATAGGAAGATATTTCCTATTCTACCATTGAACTCAAAGCGGCTGAAATCTCCACTTGCAAATTCCACAAAAAGAGTGTTTCAAGTCTGCTCTGTGTAAAGGATCGTGCAACTCTGTGAGTTGAATACACACAACACAAGGAAGTTACTGAGAATTCTTCTGTCTAGCAGAATATGAAGAAATCCCGTTTCCAACGAAGGCCACAAGATGTCAGAATATCCACTTACAGACTTTACAAACAGTGTGTTTCCTAACTGCTCTATGAACGGAAAGGTTAAACTCTGTGAGTTGAACGAACACATCACAACGCAGTTTGTGGGAATGATTCTGCCTAGTTTTGAAACGAAGATATTTCCTTTTCTGCCATTGACCTTAAAGCGCTTGAAATCTCCACTTGCCAATTGCACAAAAAGAGTGTTTCAAATCTGCTCTGTCTAAGGGAACGTTCAACTCTGTGAGTTGAATGTACACAACACAAGGAAGTTACTGGGAATTCTTCTGTCTAGCCTTACATGAAAAAAACCCGTTTCCAACCAAGGCCTCTAAGTGGTCAAAATATCCACGTGCAGACTTTACAAACAGAGTGTTTCCAAACTGCTGAATGAAAAGAAAAGTTAAACTCTGAGAGTTGAACGCATACATCGCAGAGCAGTTTCTGAGAATGATGCTGTCTAGTTTTGAAACGAAGATATTTCCTTTTCTGCCTTTGGCCTCAAAGCGCTTGAAATCTCCACTTGCAAATTCCACAAAAAGAGTGTTTCAAATCTGCTCTGGGTAAATGAAAGTTCAACTCTGTGAGTTGAACACACACAACACAAGGAAGTTACTGGGAATTCTTCTGTCTAGCATAATATGAAGAAATCCCGTTTCCAACGAAGGCCTCAAAGAGGTCTGAATATCCACTTGCAGACATTACAAACAGAGTGTTTCCTAACTGCTCTATGAAAAGAAAGGTTAAACTCTGTGAGTTGAACGCACACATCACAAAGGAGTTTCTGAGAATCATTCTGTCTAGTTTCTATAGGAAGATACTTCCTATTCTACCATTGACCTCAAAGCGGCTGAAATCTCCACTTGCAAATTCCACAACAAGAGTGTTTCAAGTATGCTCTGTGTAAAGGATCGTTCAACTCTGTGAGTTGAATACACACAACACAAGGAAGTTACTGAGAATTCTTCTGTCTAGCATAATATGAAGAAATCCCGCTTCCAACGAAGGCCTCAAGGAGGTCTGAATATCCACTTGCAGACTTTACAAACAGAGTGTTTCCTAACGGCTCTATGAAAAGAAAGGTGAAACTCTGTGAGTTGAACGCACACATCACAAAGGAGTTTCTGAGAATCATTCTGTCTAGTTTTGAAACGAACATATTTCCTTTTCTGCCGTTGACCTTAAAGCGCTTGAAATCTACACTTGCAAATTGCACAAATAGAGTGTTTCAAATCTGCTCTGTCTAAGGGAACGTTCAACTCTGTGAGTTGAATGCACACAACACAAGGAAGTTACTGGGAATTCTTCTGTCTAGCCTTACATGAAAAAAACCCGTTTCCAACGAAGGCCTCTAAGTGGTCAAAATATCCACGTGCAGACTTTACAAACAGAGTGTTTCCAAACCGCTGAATGAAAAGAAAAGTTAAACTCAGAGAGTTGAACGCACACATCACGCAGCAGTTTCTGAGAATGATTCTGTCTAGTTTCTATAAGAAGATATTTCCTATTCTACCATTGACCTCAAAGCGGCTGAAATCTCCACTTGCAAATTCGACAAAAAGAGTGTTTCAAGCCTGCTCTCTGTAAAGGATCTTTCAACTCTGTGAGTTGAATACACACAACACAAGGAAGTTACTGAGAATTCTTCTGTCTAGCATAATATGAAGAAATCCCGTTTCCACCGAAGGCCTCAAAGAGGTCTGAATATCCACTTGCAGACTTTACAAACAGAGTGATTCCTAACTGCTCTATGAAAAGAAAAGTGAAACTCTGTGAGTTGAACGCACACATCACAAAGGAGTTTCTGAGAATCATTCTGTCTAGTCTTTATACGAAGATATTTCCTTTTCTACCATTGACCTCAAAGCGGCTGAAATCTCCACTTGCAAATTCCATAAAAAGAGTGTTTCAAGTCTGCTCTGTGTAAAGGATCGTTCAACTCTGTGAGTTGAATACACACAACACAAGGAAGTAACTGAGAATTCTTCTGTCTTGCAGAATATGAAGAAATCCCGTTTCCAACGAAGGCCACAAGATGTCAGAATATCCACTTACAGACTTTACAAACAGAGTGTTTCCTAACTGCTCTATGAACAGAAAGGTTAAACTCTGTGAGTTGAACGAACACATCACAACGCAGCTTGTGGGAATGATTCTGTCTAGTTTTGAAACGAAGATATTTCCTTTTCTGCCATTGAACTTAAAGCGCTTGAAATCTCCATTTGCCAATTGCACAAAAAGAGTGTTTCAAATCTGCTCTGTCTAAGGGAACGTTCAACTCTGTGAGTTGAATGTACACAACACAAGGAAGTTCCTGGGAATTCTTCTGTCTAGCCTTACATGAAAAAAACCCGTTTCCAACGAAGGCCTCTAAGTGGTCAAAATATCCACGTGCAGACTTTACAAACAGAATGTTTCCAAACCGCTGAATGAAAAGAAAAGTTAAACTCTGAGAGTTGAACGCACACATCACGCAGCAGTTTCTGAGAATGATTCTGTCTAGTTTTTATACGAAGATATTTCGTTTTCTGCCTTTGGCCTCAAAGCGCTTGAAATCTCCATTTGCAAATTCCACAAAAAGAGTGTTTCAAATCTGCTCTGTGTAAATGAAAGTTCAACTCTGTGAGTTGAACACACACAACACAAGGAAGTTACTGGGAATTCTTCTGTCTGGCATAATAAGAAGAAATCCCGTTTCCAAAGAAGGCCTCAAGCAGGTCTGAATATCCACTTGCAGACTTTACAAACAGAGTGTTTCCTAACTGCTCTATGAAAACAAAGGTTAAACTCTGTGAGTTGAACGCACACATCACAAAGGAGTTTCTGAGAATCATTCTGTCTAGTTTCTATAGGAAGATATTTCCTATTCTACCATTGACCTCAAAGCGGCTGAAATCTCCACTTGCAAATTCCACAAGAAGAGTGTTTCAAGTATGCTCTGTGTAAAGGATCGTTCAACTATGTGAGTTGAATACACACAATACAAGGAAGTTACTGAGAATTCTTCTGTCTAGCCTTACATGAAAAAAACCCGTTTCCAACGAAGGCCTCTAAGTGGTCAAGTTATCCACGTGCAGACTTTACAAACAGAGTGTTTCCAAACTGCTGAATGAAAAGAAAAGTTAAACTCTGAGAGTTGAAAGCACACATCGCAGAGCAGTTTCTGAGAATGATTCTGTCTAGTTTTGAAACCAAGATATTTCCTTTTCTGCCGTTGACCTTAAAGAGCTTGAAAACTACACTTGCAAATTGCACAAATAGAGTGTTTCAAATCTGCTCTGTCTAAGGGAACGTTCAACTCTGTGAGTTGAATGCACACAACACAAGGAAGTTACTGGGAATTCTTCTGTCTAGCCTTACATGAAAAAAACCCGTTTCCAACGAAGGCCTCTAAGTGGTCAAGTTATCCACGTGCAGACTTTACAAACAGAGTGTTTCCAAACTGCTGAATGAAAAGAAAAGTTAAACTCTGAGAGTTAAACGCACACATCGCAGAGCAGTTTCTGAGAATGATTCTGTCTAGTTTTTATACGAAGATATTTCCTTTTCTGCCTTTGGCCGCAAAGCGCTTGAAATCTCCATTTGCAAATTCCACAAAAAGAGTGTTTCAAATCTGCTCTGTGTAAATGAAAGTTCAACTCTGTGAGTTGAACACACACAACACAAGGGAAGTTACTGGGAATTCTTCTGTCTAGCATAATATGAAGAAATCCCGTTTCCAACGAAGGCCTCAAGGAGGTCTGAATATCAACTTGCAGACTTTACAAACAGAGTGTTTCCTAACTGCTCTATGAAAAGAAAGGTTAAACTCTGTGAGTTGAACGCACACATCTCAAAGGAGTTTCTGAGAATCATCTGTCTAGTTTCTATAGGAAGATATTTCCTATTCTACCATTGACCTCAAAGCGGCTGAAATCTCCACTTGCAAATTCCACAAAAGGAGTGTTTCAAGTCTGCTCTGTGTAAAGGATCGTTCAACTCTGTGAGTTGAAAACACACAACACAAGGAAGTTTCTGAGAATCTTCTCTGTCTAGCAGAATATGAAGAAATCCCGTTTCCAACGAAAGCCTCAAGGAGGTCTGAATATCCACTTGCAGACTTTACAAACAGAGTGTTTCCTAACTGCTCTATGAACAGAAAGGTTAAACTCTGTGAGTTGAACGAACACATCACAACGCAGTTTGTGGGAATGATTCTGTCTAGTTTTGAAACGAAGATATTTCCTTTTCTGCCATTGACCTTAAAGCGCTTGAAATCTCCATTTGCCAATTGCACAAAAAGAGTGTTTCAAATCTGCTCTGTCTAAGGGAACGTTCAACTCTGTGAGTTGAATGTACACAACACAAGGAAGTTACTGGGAATTCTTCTGTCTAGCCTTACATTAAAAAAAACCCGTTTCCAACGAAGACCTCTAAGTGGTCAAAATATCCACGTGCAGACTTTACAAACAGAGTGTTTCCAAACCGCTGAATGAAAAGAAAAGTTAAACTCTGAGAGTTGAACGCACACATCACGCAGCAGTTTCTGAGAATGATTCTGTCTAGTTTTTATACGAAGATATTTCCTTTTCTATCATTGACATCAAAGCGGCTGAAATCTCCACTTGCAAATACCACAAAAAGAGTGTTTCAAATCTGCTCTGTGTAAATGAAAGTTCAACTCTGTGAGTTGAATACACACAACACAAGGAAGTTACTGGGAATTCTTCTGTCTAGCCTTATATGAAAAAATCCCGTTTCCAAGGAAGGCCTCAAAGAGGTCTGAATATCCACTTGCAGACTTTACAAGCAGAGTGTTTCCTAACTGCTCTATGAAAAGGAAGGTTAAACTCTGTGAGTTGAACGCACACATCACAAAGGAGTTTCTGAGAATCATTCTGTCTAGTTTTTATAGGAAGATATTTCCTTTTCTACCATTGACTTCAAAGCGGCTGAAATCTCCACTTGCAAATTCCACAAAAAGAGTGTTACAAGTCTGCTCTGTGTAAAGGATCGGTCAACTCTGTGAGTTGAATACACACAACACAAGGAAGTTACTGAGAATTCTTCTGTCTAGCCTTACATGAAAAAAACCCGTTTCCAATGAAGGCCTCTAAGTGGTCAAATTATCCACGTGCAGACTTTACAAACAGAGTGTTTCCAAACTGCTGAATGAAAAGAAAAGTTAAACTCTGAGAGTTGAACACACACATCGCAGAGCAGTTTCTGAGAATGATTCTGTCTAGTTTTGAAACGAAGATATTTCCTTTTCTGCCATTGACCTTAAAGCGCTTGAAATCTCCACTTGCCAATTGCACAAAAAGAGTGTTTCAAATCTGCTCTGTCTAAGGGAACGTTCAACTCTGTGAGTTGAATGTACACAACACAAGGAAGTTACTGGGAATTCTTCTGTCTAGCCTTACATGAAAAAAACCCGTTTCCAACGAAGGCCTCTAAGTGGTCAAATTATCCACGTGAAGACTTTACAAACAGAGTGTTTCCAAACTGCTGAATGAAAAGAAAAGTTAAACTCTGAGAGTTGAACGCACACATCGCAGAGCAGTTTCTGAGAATGATTCTGTCGAGTTTTTATACGAAGATATTTCCTTTTCTGCCTTTGGCCTCAAAGCGCTTGAAATCTCCATTTGCAAATTCCACAAAAAGAGTGTTTCAAATCTGCTCTGTGTAAATGAAAGTTCAACTCTGTGAGTTGAACACAGCCAACACAAGGAAGTTACTGGGAATTCTTCTCTCTAGCCTTATATGAAAAAAACCCGTTTCCAACGAAGGCCTCAAAGAGGTCTGAATATCCACCTGCAGACTTTACAAACAGAGTGATTCCTAACTGCTCTATGAAAAGAAAGGTTAAACTCTGTGAGTTGAACACACACATCTCAAAGGAGTTTCTGAGAATCATTCTGTCTAGTTTTTATAGGAAGATATTTCCTTTTCTACCTTTGACTTCAAAGCGGCTGAAATCTCCACTTGCAAATTCCACAAAAAGAGTGTTACAAGTCTGCTCTGTGTAAAGGATCGTTCAACTCTGTGAGTTGAATACACTCAACACAAGGAAGTTACTGAGAATTCTTCTGTCTAGCAGAATATGAAGAAATCCCGTTTCCAACGAAGGCCACAAGGATGTCAGAATATCCACTTACAGAATTTACAAACAGACTGTTTCCTAACTGCTCTATGAAAAGAAAGGTTAAACTCTGTGAGTTGAACGAACACATCACAACGCAGTTTGTGGGAATGATTCTGTCTAGTTTTGAAACCAAGATATTTCCTTTTCTGCCGTTGACCTTAAAGAGCTTGAAAACTACACTTGCAAATTGCACAAATAGAGTGTTTCAAATCTGCTCTGTCTAAGGGAACGTTCAACTCTGTGAGTTGAATGCACACAACACAAGGAAGTTACTGGGAATTCTACTGTCTAGCCTTACAGGAAAAAAACCCGTTTCCAACGAAGGCCTCTAAGTGGTCAAAATATCCACGTGCAGACTTTACAAACAGAGTGTTTCCAAACTGCTGAATGAAAAGAAAAGTTAAACTCTGAGAGTTGAACACACACATCGCAGAGCAGTTTCTGAGAATGATTCTGTCTAGTTTTGAAACGAAGATATTTCCTTTTCTGCCTTCGGCCTCAAAGCGCTTGAAATCTCCACTTGCAAATTCCACAAAAAGAGTGTTTCAAATCTGCTCTGTGTAAATGAAAGTTCAACTCTGTGAGTTGAACACACACAACACAAGGGAAGTTACTGGGAATTCTTCTTTCTAGCAGAATATGAAGAAATCCCGCTTCCAACGAAGGCTTCAAAGAAGTCTGAATATCCACTTGCAGACTTTACAAACAGAGTGTTTCCTAACTGCTCTATGAAAAGAAAGGTTAAACTCTGTGAGTTGAACGCACACATCACAAAGGAGTTTCTGACAATCATTCTGTCTAGTTTTTATAGGAAGATATTTCCTTTTCTACCTTTGACTTCAAAGCAGCTGAAATCTCCACTTGCAAATTCCACAAAAAGAGTGTTACAAGTCTGCTCTGTGTAAAGGATCGTTCAACTCTGTGAGTTGAATACACACAACACAAGGAAGTTACTGAGAATTCTTCTGTCTAGCCTTACATGAAAAAAACCCGTTTCCAACGAAGGCCTCTAAGTGGACAAATTATCCACGTGCAGACTTTACAAACAGAGTGTTTCCAAACTGCTGAATGAAAAGAAAAGTTAAACTCTGAGAGTTGAACGCACACATCGCAGAGCAGTTTCTGAGAATGATTCTGTCTAGTTTTGAAACGAAGATATTTCCTTTTCTGCCATTGACCTTAAAGCGGTTGAAATCTACACTTGCAAATTGCACAAATAGAGTGTTTCAAATCTGCTCTGTCTAAGGGAACGTTCAACTCTGTGAGTTGAATGCACACAACACAAGGAAGTTACTGGGAATTCTTCTGTCTAGCCGTACATGAAAAAAACCCGTTTCCAACGAAGGCCTCTAAGTGGTCAAGTTATCCACGTGCAGACTTTACAAACAGAGTGTTTCCAAACTTCTGAATGAAAAGAAAAGTTAAACTCTGAGAGTTGAACGCACACATCGCAGAGCAGTTTCTGAGAATGATTCTGTCTAGTTTTTATACGAAGATATTTCCTTTTCTGCCTTTGGCCTCAAAGCGCTTGAAATCTCCACCTGCAAATTCCACAAAAAGAGTGTTTCAAATCTGCTCTGTGTAAATCAAAGTTCAACTCTGTGAGTTGAACACACACAACACAAGGAAGTTACTGGGAATTCTTCTGTCTAGCCTTATATGAAAAAAACCCGTTTCCAACGAAGGCCTCAAAGAGGTCTGAATATCCACTTGCAGACTTTACAAACAGAGTGTTTCCTAACTGCTCTATGAAAAGAAAGGTTAAACTCTGTGAGTTGAACGCACACATCACAAAGGAGATTCTGAGAATCATTCTGTCTAGTTTCTATAGGAAGATATTTCCTATTCTAACATTGACCTCAAAGCGGCTGAAATCTCCACTTGCAAATTCCACAAAAAGAGTGTTTCAAGTCTGCTCTGTGTAAAGGATCGTTCAACTCTGTGAGTTGAATACACACAACACAAGGAAGTTTCTGAGAATTCTTCTGTCTAGCAGAATATGAAGAAATCCCGTTTCCAACGAAGGCCTCAAAGAGGTCTGAATATCCACTTGCAGACTTTACAAACAGAGTGTTTCCTAACTGCTCCATGAAAAGAAAGGCTAAACTCTGTGAGTTGAGCGCACACATCACAAAGGAGTTTCTGAGAATCATTCTGTCTAGTTTCTATAGGAAGATATTACCTATTCTACCATTGACCTCAAAGCGGCTGAAATCTCCAGTTGCAAATTCAACAAAAAGTGTGTTTCAAGTCTACTCTGTGTAAAGCATCGTTGAACTCTGTGAGTTGAATACACACAACACAAGGAAGTTACTGAGAATTCTTCTGTCTAGCCTTACATGAAAAAAACCCGTTTCCAACGAAGGCCTCTAAGTGGTCAAAATGTCCACGTGCAGACTTTACAAACAGAGTGTTTCCAAACCGCTGAATGAAAAGAAAAGTTAAACTCTGAGAGTTGAGCGCACACATCACGCAGCAGTTTCTGAGAATGATTCTGTCTAGTTTTTATACGAAGATATTTCGTTTTCTACCTTTGGCCGCAAAGCGCTTGAAATCTCCACTTGCAAATTCCACAAAAACAGTGTTTCAAATCTGCTCTCTCTAAATGAAAGTTCAACTCTGTGAGTTGAATACACACAACACAAGGAAGTTACTGAGAATTCTTCTGTCTAGCCTTATATGAAAAAAAACCGTTTCCAACGAAGGCCTCAAAGAGGGCTGAATATCCACTTGCAGACTTTACAAACAGAGTGTTTCCTAACTGCTCTATGAAAAGAAAGGTTAAACTCTGTGAGTTGAACGCACACATCACAAAGGAGTTTCTGAGAATCATTCTGTCTAGTTTTTATACGAAGATATTTCCTTTTCTACCATTGACCTCAAAGCGGCTGAAATCTCCACTTGCAAATTCCACAAAAAGAGTGTGTCAAGTCTGCTCTGTGTAAAGGATCGTTCAACTCTGTGAGTTGAATACACACAACACGCGGAAGTTACTGAGAATTCTTCTGTCTAGCAGAATATGAAGAAATCCCGTTTCCAACGAAGGCCACAAGATGTCAGAATATCCACTTACAGAATTTACAAACAGACTGTTTCCTAACTGCTCTATGAAAAGAAAGGTTAAACTCTGTGAGTTGAACGAGCACATCACAACGCAGTTTTTGGGAATGATTCTGTCTAGTTTTTATACGAAGATATTTCCTTTTCTACCTTTGACCTCAAAGCGGCTGAAATCACCACTTACCAATTGCACAAAAAGAGTGTTTCAAATCTGCTCTGTCTAAGGGAACGTTCAACTCTGTGAGTTGAATGTAGACAACACAAGGAAGTTACTGGGAATTCTTCTGTCTAGCCTTACAGGAAAAAAACCCGTTTCCAACGAAGGCCTCTAAGTGGTCAAAATATCCACGTGCAGACTTTACAAACAGAGTGTTTCCAAACTGCTGAATGAAAAGAAAAGTTAAACTCTGAGAGTTGAACGCACACATCGCAGAGCAGTTTCTGAGAATGGTTCTGTCTAGTTTTTATACGAAGAGATTTCCTTTTCTACCATTGACCTCAACGCGGCTGAAATCTCCAATTGCAAATTCCACAAAAAGAGTGTTTCAAGTCCGCTCTGTGTAAACGATCGTTCAACTCTGTGAGTTGAATACACACAACACAAGGAAGTTACTGAGAATTCTTCTGTCTAGCACAGTATGAAGAAATCCCGTTTCCAACGAAGGCCTCAAAGTAGGTCTGAATATCCACTTGCAGAGTTTACAAACAGAGTGTTTCCTAACTGCTCTATGAAAAGAAAGGTTAAACTCTGTGAGTTGAACGCACACATCACAAAGAAGTTTCTGAGAATCATTCTGTCTAGTTTTTATAGGAAGATATTTCCTTTTCTACATTTGACTTCAAAGCGGCTGAAATCCCCACTTGCAAATTCCACAAAAAGAGTGTTACAAGTCTGCTTTGTGTAAAGGATCGTTCAACTGTGTGAGTTGAATACACACAACACAAGGAAGTTACTGAGAATTCTTCTTTCTGGCAGAATATGAAGAAATCCCGTTTCCAACGAAAGCCTCAAGGATGTCTGAATATCCACTTGCAGACTTTACAAACAGAGTGTTTCCTAACTGCTCTATGAAAAGAAAGGGTAAACTCTGTGAGTTTAACGCACACATCACAAAGGAGTTTCTCAGAATCATTCTGTCTAGTTTTTATACGAAGATATTTCCTTTTCTACCATTGACCTCAAAGCGGCTGAAATCACCACTTGCCAATTGCACAAAAAGAGTGTTTCAAATCTGCTCTGTCTAAGGGAACGTTCAACTCTGTGAGTTGAATGTACACAACACAAGGAAGTTACTGGGAATTCTTCTGTCTAGCCTTACAGGAAAAAAACCCGTTTCCAACGAAGGCCTCTAAGTGGTCAAAATATCCACGTGCAGACTTTACAAACAGAGTGTTTCCAAACTGCTGAATGAAAAGAAAAGTTAAACTCTTGAGAGTTGAACGCACACATCGCAGAGCAGTTTCTGAGAATGATTCTGTCTAGTTTTTATACGAAGATATTTCCTTTTCTGCCTTTGGCCTCAAAGCGCTTGAAATCTCCACCTGCAAATTCCACAAAAAGAGTGTTTCAAATCTGCTCTGTGTAAATGAAAGTTCAACTCTGTGAGTTGAACACACACAACACAAGGGAAGTTACTGGGAATTCTTCTGTCTAGCCTTATATGAAAAAAACCCGTTTCCAACGAAGGCCTCAAAGAGGACTGAATATCCACTTGCAGACTTTACAAGCAGAGTGTTTCCTAACTGCTCTATGAAAAGAAAGGTTAAACTCTGTGAGTTGAACGCACACATCACAAAGGAGTTTCTGAGAATCATTCTGTCTAGTCTTTATATGAAGGTAGTTTCCTTTTCTACCATTGACCTCAAAGCGGCTGAAATCTCCACTTGCAAATTCCACAAAAAGAGTGTTTCAAGTCTGCTCTGTTTAAAGGATCGTTCAACTCTGTGAGTTGAATACACACAACACAAGGAAGTTACTGAGAATTCTTCTGTCTAGCAGAATATGGAGAAATCCCGTTTCCAACGAAGGCCTCAAAGAGGTCTGAATATCCACTTGCAGACTTTACAAACAGAGTGTTTCCTAACTGCTCTATGAAAAGAAAGGTTAAACTCTGTGAGTTCAACGCACACATCACAAAGGAGTTTCTGAGAATCGTTCTGTCTAGTTTTGAAACGAAGATATTTCCTTTTCTGCCTTTGACCTTAAAGCGCTTGAAATCTACACTTGCAAATTGCACAAATAGAGTGTTTCAAATCTACTCTGTCTAAGGGAACGTTCAACTCTGTGATTTGATTGCACACAACACAAGGAAGTTACTGGGAATTCTTCTGTCTAGCCTTACATGAAAATAACCCGTTTCCAACAAAGGCCTCTAAGTGGTCAAATTATCCACGTGCAGACTTTACAAACAGAGTGTTTCCAAACTGCTGAATGAAAAGAAAAGTTAAACTGTGAGAGTTGAACGCACACATCGCAGAGCAGTTTCTGAGAATGATTCTGTCTAGTTTTTATACGAAGATATTTCCTTTTCTGCCTTTGGCCTCAAAGCGCTTGAAATCTCCATTTGCAAATTCCACAAAAAGAGTGTTTCAAATCTGCTCTGTGTAAATGAAAGTTCAACTCTGTGAGTTGAACACACACAACACAAGGAAGTTACTGGGAAATCTTCTGTCTAGCACAGTATGAAGAAATCCCGTTTCCAACGAAGGCCTGAAAGAGGTCTGAATATCCACTTGCAGAGTTTACAAACAGAGTGTTTCCTAACTGCTCTATGAAAAGAAAGGTTAAACTCTGTGAGTTGAACGCACACATCACAATGAAGTTTCTGAGAATCATTCTGTCTAGTTTTTATACGAAGATATTTCCTTTTCTACCATTGACCTCAACGCGGCTGAAATCTCCACTTGCAAATTCCACAAAAAGAGTGTTTCAAGTCTGCTCTGTGTAAACGATCGTTCAACTCCGTGAGTTGAATACACACAACACAAGGAAGTTACTGAGAATTCTTCTGTCTAGCAGAATATGAAGAAATCCCGTTTCCAACGAAGGCCACAAGATGTCAGAATATCCACTTACAGAATTTACAAACAGACTGTTTCCTAACTGCTCTATGAAAAGAAAGGTTAAACTTCTGTGAGTTGAACGAACACATCACAACGCAGTTTGTGGGAATGATTTCTGTCTAGTTTTGAAACGAAGATATTTCCTTTTCTGCCGTTGACCTTAAAGCGCTTGAAATCTACACTTGCAAATTGCACAGAGTGTTTCAAATCTGCTCTGTCTAAGGGAACGTTCAACTCTGTGAGTTGAATGCACACAACACAAGGAAGTTACTGGGAATTCTTCTGTCTAGCCTTACAGGAAAAAAACCCGTTTCCAACGAAGGCCTCTAAGTGGTCAAGTTATCCACGTGCAGACTTTACGAACAGAGTGTTTCCAAACTGCTGAATGAAAAGAAAAGTTAAACTCTGAGAGTTGAACGCACACATCGCAGAGCAGTTTCTGAGAATGATTCTGTCTAGTTTTTATACGAAGATATTTCCTTTTCTGCCTTTGGCCTCAAAGCGCTTGAAATCTCCATTTGCAAATTCCACAAAAAGAGTGTTTCAAATCTGCTCTGTGTAAATGAAAGTTCAACTCTGTGATTTGAACACACACAACACAAGGAAGTTACTGGGAATTCTTCTGTCTAGCCTTACATGAAAAAAACCCGTTTCCAATGAAGGCCTCAAAGAAGTCCAAATATCCACGTGCAGCCTTTACAAACAGAGTGTTTCCTAACTGCTCTATGAAAAGAAAGGTTAAACTCTGTGAGTTGAACGCACACATCACAAAAGAGTTTCTGAGAATCATTCTGTCTAGTTTCTATAAGAAGATACTTCCTATTCTACCATTGACCTGAAAGCGGCTGAAATCTCCACTTGCAAATTCGACAAAAAGAGTGTTTCAAGCCTGCTCTCTGTAAAGGATCCTTCAACTCTGTGAGTTGAATACACACAACACAAGGAAGTTACTGAGAATTATTCTGTCTAGCACAGTATGAAGAAATCCCGTTTCCAACGAAGGCCTCAAAAAGGTCTGAATATCCACTTGCAGAGTTTACAAACAGAGTGTTTCCTAACTGCTCTATGAAAAGAAAGGTTAAACTCTGTGAGTTGAACGCACACATCACAAAGAAGTTTCTGAGAATCATTCTGTCTAGTTTTTATACGAAGATATTTCCTTTTCTACCATTGACCTCAAAGCAGCTGAAATCTCCACTTGCAAATTCCACAAAAAGAGTGTTTCAAATCTGCTCTGTGTAAACCGTCGTTCAACTGTGTGAGTTGAATACACACAACACAAGGAAGATTCTGAGAATTCTTCTGTCTAGCCTTACATGAAAAAAACCCGTTTCCAACGAAGGCCTCTAAGTGGTCAAATTATCCACGTGGAGACTTTACAAACAGAGTGTTTCCAAACTGCTGAATGAAAAGAAAAGTTAAACTCTGAGAGTTGAACACACACATCGCAGAGCAGTTTCTGAGAATGATTCTGTCTAGTTTTTATACAAAGATATTTCCTTTTCTGCCTTTGGCCTCAAAGCGCTTGAAATCTCCACTTGCAAATTCCACAAAAAGAGTGTTTCAAATCTGCTCTGTGTAAATGAAAGTTCAACTCTGTGAGTTGAACACACACAACACAAAGAAGTTACTGGGAATTCTTCTGTCTAGCATAATATGAAGAAATCCCGTTTCCAACGAAGGCCTCAAAGGGGTCTGAATATCCACTTGGAGACTTTATAAACAGAGTGTTTACTAACTGCTCTATGAAAAGAAAGGTTAAACTCTGTGAGTTGAACACACACATCACAAAGGAGTTTCTGAGAATCATTCTTTCTAGTTTTTATAGGAAGTTATTTCCTTTTCTACCTTTGACTTCAAAGCGGCTGAAATCTCCACTTGCAAATTCCACAAAAAGAGTGTTACAAGTCTGCTCTGTGTAAAGGATCGTTCAACTCTGTGAGTTGAATACACACAACACAAGGAAGTTACTGAGAATTCTTCTGTCTAGCATAGTATGAAGAAATCCCGTTTCCAACGAAGGCCTCAAAGAGGTGTGAATATCGACTTGCAGAGTTTACAAACAGAGTGTTTCCTAACTGCTGTATGAAAAGAAAGGTTAAACTCTGTGAGTTGAACGCACACATCACAATGAAGTTTCTGAGAATCATTCTGTCTAGTTTTTATACGAAGATATTTCCTTTTCTACCATTGACCTCAAAGCGGCTGAAATCACCACTTGCCAATTGCACAAAAAGAGTGTTTCAAATCTGCTCTGTCTAAGGGAACGTTCAACTCTGTGAGTTGAATGTACACAACACAAGGAAGTTACTGGGAATTCTTCTGTCTAGCCTTACAGGAAAAAAACCCGTTTCCAACGAAGGCCTCTAAGTGGTCAAAATATCCACATGCAGAGTTTACAGAGTGTTTCCAAACTGCTGAATGAAAAGAAAAGTTAAACTCTGAGAGTTGAACGCACACATCGCAGAGCAGTTTCTGAGAATGATTCTGTCTAGTTTTTATACGAAGATATTTCCTTTTCTGCCTTTGGCCCCAAAGCGCTTGAAATCTCCACTTGCAAATTCCACAAAAACAGTGTTTCAAATCTGCTCTCTCTAAAAGAAAGTTCAACTCTGTCAGTTGAATACACACAACACAAGGAAGTTACTGAGAATTCTTCTGTCTAGCATAATATGAAGAAATCCCGTTTCCAACGAAGGCCTCAAAGGGGTCTGAATATCCACTTGCAGACGTTATAAACAGAGTGTTTACTAACTGCTCTATGAAAAGAAAGGTTAAACTCTGTGAGTTGAACACACACATCACAAAGGAGTTTCTGAGAATCATTCTGTCTAGTTTTTCTACGAAGATATTTCCTTTTCTACTATTGACCTCAAAGCGCCTGAAATCTCCACTTGCAAATTCCACAAAAAGAGTGTTTCAAGTCTGCTCTGTGTAAAGGATCGTTCAACTCTGTGAGTTGAATACACACAACACAAGGAAGTTACTGAGAATTCTTCTGTCTAGCAGAATATGAAGAATATCCCGTTTCCAACGAAGGCCACAAGATGTCAGAATATCCACTTACAGAATTGACAAACAGACTGTTTCCTAACTGCTCTATGAAAAGAAAGGTTAAACTCTGTGAGTTGAACGAACACATCACAACGCAGTTTGTGGGAATGATTCTGTCTAGTTTTGAAACGAAGATATTTCCTTTTCTGCCATTGACCTTAAAGCGCTTGAAATCTCCATTTGCCAATTGCACAAAAAGAGTGTTTCAAATCTGCTCTGTCTAAGGGAACGTTCAACTCTGTGAGTTGAATGTACACAACACAAGGAAGTTACTGGGAATTCTTCTGTCTAGCCTTACAGGAAAAAAACCCGTTTCCAACGAAGGCCTCTAAGTGCTCAAAATATCCACGTGCAGACTTTACAAACAGAGTGTTTCCAAACTGCTGAATGAAAAGAAAAGTTAAACTCTGAGAGTTGAACGCACACATCGCAGAGCAGTTTCTGAGAATGATTCTGTCTAGTTTTTATACGAAGATATTTCTTTTTCTGCCTTTGGCCCCAAAGCGCTTGAAATCTCCACTTGCAAATTCCACAAAAACAGTGTTTCAAATCTGCTCTCTCTAAATGAAAGTTCAACTCTGTCAGTTGAATACACACAACACAAGGAAGTTACTGAGAATACTTCTGTCTAGCATAATATGAAGAATCCCGTTTCCAACGAAGGCCTCAAAGAGGTCTGAATATCCACTTGCAGACTTTACAAACAGAGTGTTTCCTAACTGCTCTATGAAAAGAAAAGTTAAACTCTGTGAGTTGAACGCACACATCACAAAGGAGTTTCTGAGAATCATTTTGTCTAGTTTCTATACGAAGATATTTCAATTTCTACCATTAACCTCAAAGAGGCTGAAATCTCCGCTTGCAAATTCCACAAAAAGAGTGTTTCAAGTCTGCCCTGTGTAAAGGATCGTTCAACTCTGTGAGTTCAATGCACACAACACAAGGAAGTTACTGAGAATTCTTCTGTCTAGCAGAATATGAAGAAATCCCGTTTCCAACGAAGGCCTCAAAGAGGTCTGAATATCCACTTGCACACTTTACAAACAGAGTGTTTCCTAACTGCTCTATGAAAAGAAAGGATAAACTCTGTGAGTTGAACTCACACATCACAAAGGAGTTTCTGAGAATCATTCTGTCTAGTTTTGAAACGAAGATATTTCCTTTTCTGCCATTGACCTCAAAGCGCTTGAAATCTCCACTTGCCAATTGCACAAAAAGAGTGTTTCAAATCTGCTCTGTCTAAGGGAACGTTCAACTCTGTGAGTTGAATGTACACAACACAAGGAAGTTACTGGGAATTCTTCTGTCTAGCCTTACAGGAAAAAAACCCGTTTCCAACGAAGGCCTCTAAGTGGTCAAGTTATCCACGTGCAGACTTTACAACCAGAGTGTTTCCAAACTGCTGAATGAAAAGAAAAGTTAAACTCTGAGAGTTGAACGCACACATCGCAGAGCAGTTTCTGAGAATGATTCTGTCTAGTCTTTATATGAAGATATTTCCTTTTCTACCATTGACCTCAAAGCGGCTGAAATCTCCACTTACAAATTCCACAAAAAGAGTGTCTCAAGTCTGCTCTGTGTAAACGATCGTTCAACTCTGTGAGTTGAATACACACAACACAAGGAAGTTTCTGAGAATTCTTCTGTATAGCAGAATATGAAGAAATCCCGTTTCCAACGAAGGCCTCAAGGAGGTCTGAATATCCACTTGCAGACTTTACAAACAGAGTGTTTCCTAACTGCTCTATGAAAAGAAAGGTTAAACTCTGTGAGTTGAACGCAGACATCCCAAAGGAGTTTCTGAGAATCACTCTGTCTAGTTTCTATAGGAAGATATTTCCTATTCTACCATTGACCTCAAAGCGGCTGAAATCTCCACTTGCAAATTCCACAAAAAGAGTGTTTCAAGTCTGCTCTGTGTATAGGATCGTTCAACTCTGTGAGTTGAATAAACACAACACAAGGAAGTTACTGAGAATTCTTCTGTCTAGCAGAAAATGAAGAAATCCCGTTTCCAACGAAGGCCACAAGATGTCAGAATATCCACTTACAGACTTTACAAACACAGTGTTTCCTAACTGCTCTATGAACAGAAAGGTTAAACTCTGTGAGTTGAACGAACACATCACAACGCAGTTTGTGGGAATGATTCTGTCTAGTTTTGAAACGAAGATATTTCCTTTTCTGCCATTGACCTTAAAGCGCTTGAAATCTCCATTTGCCAATTGCACAAAAAGAGTGTTTCAAATCTGCTCTGTCTAAGGGAACGTTCAACTCTGTGAGTTGAATGTACACAACACAAGGAAGTTACTGGGAATTCTTCTGTCTAGCCTTACAGGAAAAAAACCCGTTTCCAACGAAGGCCTCTAAGTGGTCAAGTTATCCACGTGCAGAATTTACAAACAGAGTGTTTCCAAACTGCTGAATGAAAAGAAAAGTTAAACTCTGAGAGTTGAACGCACACATCGCAGAGCAGTTTCTGAGAATGATTCTGTCTAGTTTCTATAGGAAGATATTTCCTATTCTACCATTGACCTCAAAGCGGCTGAAATCTCCACTTGCAAATTCCACAAAAAGAGTGTTTCAAGTCTGCTCTGTGTAAAGGATCGTTCAACTCTGTGAGTTGAATACACACAACAGAAGGAAGTTACTGAGAATTCTTCTGTCTAGCAGAATATGAAGAAATCCCGTTTCCAACGAAAGCCTCAAAGATGTCTGAATATCCACTTGCAGACTTTACAAACAGAGTGTTTCCTAACTGCTCTATGAAAAGAAAGGTTAAACTCTGTGAGTTGAACGCACACATCACAAAGGAGTTTCTGAGAATCATTCTGTCTAGTCTTTATACGAAGATAGTATCCTTTTCTACCATTGACCTCAAAGCGGCTGAAATCTCCACTTGCAAATTCCACAAAAAGAGTGTTTCAAGTCTGCTCTGTGTAAAGGATCGTTCAACTCTGTGAGTTGAATGCACACAACACAAGGAAGTTACTGAGAATTCTTCTTTCTAGCAGAATATGAAGAAATCCCGTTTCCAACGAAAGCCTCAAGGATGTCTGAATATCCACTTGCAGACTTTACAAACAGAGCGTTTCCTAACTGCTCTATGAAAAGAAAGGTTAAACTCTGTGAGTTGAACGCACACATCACAAAGGAGTTTCTGAGAATCATTCTGCCTAGTTTTGAAACGAAGATATTTCCTTTTCTGCCATTGACCTTAAAGCGCTTGAAATCTCCACTTGCCAATTGCACAAAAAGAGTGTTTCAAATCTGCTCTGTCTAAGGGAACGGTTCAACTCTGTGAGTTGAATGTACACAACACAAGGAAGTTACTGGGAATTCTTCTGTCTAGCCTTACATGAAAAAAACCCGTTTCCAACGAAGGCCTCTAAGTGGTCAAATTATCCACGTGCAGACTTTACAAACAGAGTGTTTCCAAACTGCTGAATGAAAAGAAAAGTTAAACTCTGAGAGTCGAACGCACACATCGCACGAGCAGTTTCTGAGAATGATTCTGTCTGGTTTTTATACGAAGATATTTCCTTTTCTGCCTTTGGCCTCAAAGCGCTTGAAATCTCCATTTGCAAATTCCACAAAAAGAGTGTTTCAAATCTGCTCTGTGTAAATGAAAGTTCAACTCTGTGAGTTGGACACACACAACACAAGGAAGTTACTTGGAATTCTTCTGTCTAGCATAATATGAAGAAATCCCGTTTCCAACGAAGGCCTCAAAGGGGTCTGAATATCCACTTGCAGACTTTATAAACAGAGTGTTTACTAACTTCTCTATGAAAAGAAAAGTTAAACTCTGTGTGTTGAACGCACACATCACAAAGGAGTTTCTGAGAATCATTCTGTCTAGTCTTTATACGAAGATATTTCCTTTTCTACCATTGACCTCAAAGCGGCTGAAATCTCCACTTGCAAATTCCACAAAAAGAGTGTTTCAAGTCTGCTCTCTGTAAAGGATCGTTCAACTCTGCGAGTTCAATACACACAACACAAGGAAGTTACTGAGAATTCTTCTGTCTAGCAGAATATGAAGAAATCCCGTTTCCAACGAAGGCCTCAAAGAGGTCTGAATATCCACTTGCAGACTTTACAAACAGACAGTTTCCTAACTGCTCTATGAAAAGAAAGGTTAAACTCTGTGAGTTGAACGCACACATCACAAAGGAGTTTCTGAGAATCGTTCTGTCTAGTTTTGAAAATAAGATATTTCCTTTTCTGCCATTGACCTTAAAGCGCTTGAAATCTCCACTTGCCAATTGCACAAAAAGAGTGTTTCAAATCTGCTCTGTCTAAGGGAACGTTCAACTCTGTGAGTTAAATGTACACAACACAAGGGAAGTTACTGGGAATTCTTCTGTCTAGCCTTACATGAAAAAAACCCGTTGCCAACGAAGGCCTCTAAGTGGTCAAATTATGCACGTGCAGACTTTACAAACAGAGGGTTTCCAAACTGCTGAATGAAAAGAAAAGTTAAACTCTGAGAGGTGAACGCACACATCGCAGAGCAGTTTCTGAGAATCATTCTGTCTAGTTTTTATACGAAGATATTTCCTTTTCTGCCTTTGGCCCCAAAGCGCTTGAAATCTCCACTTGCAAATTCCACAAAACAGGGTTTCAAATCTGCTCTCTCTAAATGAAAGTTCAACTCTGTCAGTTGAATACACACAACACAAGGAAGTTACTGAGAATTCTTCTGTCTAGCCTTACATGAAAAAAACCCGTTTCCAACGAAGGCCTCAAAGAGGTCTCAATATCCACTTGCAGACTTTACAAACAGAGTGTTTCCTAACTGCTCTATGAAAAGAAAGGTTAAACTCTGTGAGTTGAACGTACACATCACAAAGGAGTTTCTGAGAATCATTCTGTCTAGTTTTTATAGGAAGTTATTTCCTTTTCTACCTTTGACTTCAAAGCGGCTGAAATCTCCACTTGCAAATTCCACAAAAAGAGTGTTACAAATCTGCTCTGTGTAAAGGATCGTTCAACTCTGTGAGTTGAATACACACAACACAAGGAAGTTACTGAGAATTCTTCTGTCTAGCAGAATTCGAAGAAATCCTGTTTCCAACGAAGGCCACAAGATGTCAGAATATCCACTTACAGACTTTACAAACAGAGTGTTTCCTAACTGCTCTATGAACAGAAAGGTTAAACTCTGTGAGTTGAACGAACACGTCACAACGCAGTTTGTGGGAATGATTCTGTCTAGTTTTGAAACGAAGATATTTCCTTTTCTGCCATTGACCTTAAAGCGCTTGAAATCTACACTTGCAAATTGCACAAATAGAGTGTTTCAAATCTGCTCTGTCTAAGGGAACGTTCAACTCTGTGAGTTGAATGCACACAACACAAGGAAGTTACTGGGAATTCTTCTCTCTAGCCTTACAGGAAAAAAAACCCGTTTCCAACGAAGGCCTCTAAGTGGTCAAAATATCCACGTGCAGACTTTACAAACACAGTGTTTCCAAACTGCTGAATGAAAAGAAAAGTTAAACTCTGAGAGTTGAACGCACACATCGCAGAGCAGTTTCTGAGAATGATTCTGTCTAGTTTTGAAACGAACATATTTCCTTTTCTGCCTTTGGCCTCAAAGCGCTTGAAATCTCCACTTGCAAATTCCACAAAAAGAGTGTTTCAAATCTGCTCTGTGTAAATGAAAGTTCAACTCTGTGAGTTGAACACACACAACACAAGGAAGTTACTGGGAATTCTTCTGTCTAGCAGAATATGAAGAAATCCCATTTCCAACGAAGGCCTCAAGGAGGTCTGAATATCCACTTGCAGACTTTACAAACAGAGTGTTTCCTAACTGCTCTATGAAAAGAAAGGTTAAACTCTGTGAGTTGAACGCACACATCACAAAGGAGTTTCTGAGAATCATTCTGTCTAGTTTTTATAGGAAGATATTTCCTTTTCTACCTTTGACCTCAAAGCGGCTGAAATCTCCACTTGCAAATTCCACAAAAAGAGTGTTACAAGTCTGCTCTGTGTAAAGGATCGTTCAACTCTGTGAGTTGAATACACACAACACAAGGAAGTTACTGAGAATTCTTCTGTCTAGCAGAATATGAAGAAATCCCGTTTCCAACGAAGGCCAAAAGATGTCAGAATATCCACTTACAGACTTTACAAACAGAGTGTTTCCTAACAGCTCTATGAACAGAAAGGTTAAACTCTGTGTGTTGAACGCACACATCACAAAGGAGTTTATGAGAATCATTCTGTCTAGTTTTGAAACGAAGAATATTTCCTTTTCTGCCATTGACCTTAAAGCGCTTGAAATCTCCATTTGCCAATTGCACAAAAAGAGTGTTTCAAATCTGCTCTGTCTAAGGGAACGTTCAACTCTGTGAGTTGAATGTACACAACACAAGGAAGTTACTGGGAATTCTTCTGTCTAGCCTTACATGAAAAAAACCCGTTTCCAACGAAGGCCTCTAAGTGGTCAAAATATCCACGTGCAGACTTTACAAAGAGAGTGTTTCCAAACCGCTGAATGAAAAGAAAAGTTAAACTCTGAGAGTTGAACGCACACATCACGCAGCAGTTTCTGAGAATGATTCTGTCTAGTTTTTATACGAAGATATTTCCTTTTCTGCCTTTGGCCTCAAAGCGCTTGAAATCTCCACCTGCAAATTCCACAAAAAGAGTGTTTCAAATCTGCTCTGTGTAAATGAAAGTTCAACTCTGTCAGTTGAACACACACAACACAAGGAAGTTACTGGGAATTCTTCTGTCTAGCCTTATATGAAAAAAACCCGTTTCCGAAGAAGGCCTCAAAGAGGTCAGAATATCCACTTGCAGACTTTACAAACAGAGTGTTTCCTAACTGCTCTATGAAAAGAAAGGTTAAACTCTGTGAGTTGAACACACACATCACAAAGGAGTTTCTGAGAATCATTCTGTCTAGTTTTTATAGGAAGATATTTCCTTTTCTACCTTTGACTTCAAAGCGGCTGAAATCTCCACTTGCAAATTCCACAAAAAGAGTTTTACAAGTCTGCTCTGTGTAAAGGATCGTTCAACTCTGTGAGATGAATACACACAACACAAGGAAGTTACTGAGAATTCTTCTGTCTAGCCTTACATGAAAAAAACTCGTTTCCAACGAAGGCCTCTAAGTGGTCAAGTTATCCACGTGCAGACTTTACAAACAGAGTGTTTCCAAACTACTGAATGAAAAGAGAAGTTAAACTCTGAGAGTTGAACGCACACATCGCAGAGCAGTTTCTGAGAATGATTCTGTCTAGTTTTGAAACGAAGATATTTCCTTTTCTGCCATTGACCTTAAAGCGCTTGAAATCTACACTTGCAAATTGCACAAATAGAGTGTTTCATATCTGCTCTGTCTAAGGGAACGTTCAACTCTGTGAGTTGAATGCACACAACACAAGGAAGTTACTGGCAATTCTTCTTGTCTAGCCTTACAGGAAAAAAACCCGTTTCCAACGAAGGCCTCTAAGAGGTCAAAATATCCACGTGCAGACTTTACAAACAGAGTGTTTCCAAACTGCTGAATGAAAAGAAAAGTTAAACTCTGAGAGTTGAACGCACACATCGCAGAGCAGTTTCTGAGAATGATTCTGTCTAGTTTTTATACGAAGATATTTCCTTTTCTGCCTTTGGCCCCAAAGCGCTTGAAATCTCCACTTGCAAATTCCACAAAAACAGTGTTTCAAATCTGCTCTCTCTAAATGAAGGTTCAACTCTGTCAGTTGAATACACACAACACAAGGAAGTTACTGAGAATTCTTCTGTCTAGCATAATATGAAGAAATCCCGTTTCCAACGAAGGCCTCAAAGAGGTCTGAATATCCACTTGCAGACTTTACAGAGTGTTTCCTAACTGCTCTATGAAAAGACAAGTTAAACTCTGTGAGTTGAACGCACACATCACAAAGGAGTTTCTGAGAATCATTCTGTCTAGTCTTTATACGAAGATATTTCCTTTTCTACCATTGACCTCAAAGCGGCTGAAATCTCCACTTGCAAATTCCCCAAAAAGAGTGTTTCAAGTCTGCTCTGTGTAAAGGATCGTTCAACTCTGTGAGTTGAATACACACAACACAAGGAAGTTACTGAGAATTCTTCTGTCTAGCAGAATATGAAGAAATCCCGTTTCCAACGAAGGCCTCAAGGAGGTCTGAATATCCACTTGCAGACTTTTCAAACAGAGTGTTTCCTAACTGCTCTATGACAAGAAAGGTTAAACTCTGTGAGTTGAACGCACACATCACAAAGGAGTTTATGAGAATCATTCTGTCTAGTTTTGAAACGAAGATATTTCCTTTTCTGCCATTGACCTTAAAGCGCTTGAAATCTCCACTTGCCAATTGCACAAAAAGAGTGTTTCAAATCTGCTCTGTCTAAGGGAACGTTCAACTCTGTGAGTTGAATGTACACAACGCAAGGAAGTTACTGGGAATTCTTCTGTCTAGCCTTACATGAAAAAAACCCGTTTCCAACGAAGGCCTCTAAGTGGTCAAATTATCCACGTGCAGACTTTACAAACAGAGTGTTTCCAAACTGCTGAATGAAAAGCAAAGTTAAACTTTGAGAGTTGAACGCACACATCGCAGAGCAGTTTCTGAGAATGATTCTGTCTAGTTTTTATACAAAGATATTTCCTTTTCTGCCTTTGGCCTCAAAGCGCTTGAAATCTCCATTTGCAAATTCCACAAAAAGAGTGTTTCAAATCTGCTCTGTGTAAATGAAAGTTCAACTCTGTGAGTTGAACACACACAACACAAGGAAGTTACTGGGAATTCTTCTGTCTAGCATAATATGAAGAAATCCCGTTTCCAACGAAGGCTTCAAAGAGGTCTGAATATCCACTTGCAGACTTTACAAACAGAGTGTTTCCTAACTGCTCTATGAAAAGAAAAGTTAAACTCTTTGAGTTGAACGCACACATCACAAAGGAGTTTCTGAGAATCATTCTGTCTAGTCTTTATACGAAGATATTTCCTTTTCTACCATTGACCTCAAAACCCCTGAAATCTCCACTTGCAAATTCCACAAAAAGAGTGTTTCAAGTCTGCTCTCTGTAAAGGATCGTTCAACTCTGTGAGTTGAATACACACAACACAAGGAAGTTACTGAGAATTCTTCTGTCTAGCAGAATATGAAGAAATCCCGTTTCCAACGAAGGCCACAAGATGTCAGAATATCCACTTACAGAATTTACAAACATAGTGTTTCCTAACTGCTCTATGAAAAGAAAGGTTAAACTCTGTGAGATGAACGAACACATCACAACACAGTTTGTGGGAATGATTCTGTCTAGTTTTGAAACGAAGATATTTCCTTTTCTGCCATTGACCTTAAAGCGCTTGAAATCTACACTTGCAAATTGCACAAATAGAGTGTTTCAAATCTGCTCTGTCTAAGGGAACGTTCAACTCTGTGAGTTGAATGCACAAAACACAAGGAAGTTACTGGGAATTCTTCTGTCTACCCTTACATGAAAAAAACCCGTTTCCAACGAAGACCTCTAAGTGGTCAAATTATCCACGTGCAGACTTTACAAACAGAGTGTTTCCAAACTGCTGAATGAAAAGAAAAGTTAAACTCAGAGAGTTGAACGCACACATCGCATAGCAGTTTCTGAGAATGATTCTGTCTAGTTTTTATACGAAGATATTTCCTTTTCTGCCTTTGGCCTCAAAGCGCTTGAAATCTCCATTTGCAAATTCCACAAAAAGAGTGTTTCAAATCTGCTCTGTGTAAATGAAAGTTCAACTCTGTGAGTTGAACACACACAACACATGGAAGTTACTGGGAATTCTTCTGTCTAGCCTTATATGAAAAAAACCCGTTTCCAACGAAGGCCTCAAAGAGGTCTGAATATCCACTTAGAGACTTTACAAACAGAGTGTTTCCTAACTGCTCTATGAAAAGAAAGGTTAAACTCTGTGAGTTGAACGCACACATCACAAAGGAGTTTCTGAGAATCATTCTGTCTAGTTTTTCTACGAAGATATTTCCTTTTCTACTATTGACCTCAAAGCGGCTGAAATCTCCACTTGCAAATTCCACAAAAAGAGTGTTTCAAGACTGCTCTGTGTAAAGGATCGTTCAACTCTGTGAGTTGAATACACACAACACAAGGAAGTTACTGAGAATTCTTCTGTGTAGCAGAATATGAAGAAATCCCGTTTCCAACGAAGGCCTCAAAGAGGTCTGAATATCCACTTGCAGACTTTACAAACAGAGTGTTTCCTAACTGCTCTATGAAAAGAAAGGTTAATCTCTGTGAGGTGAACGCACACATCACAAAGGAGTTTCTGAGAATCATTCTGTCTATTTTCTATAGGAAGATATTTCCTATTCTACCATTGACCTCAAAGCGGCTGAAATCTCCACTTGCAAATTCCACAAAAAGAGTGTTTCAAGTCTGCTCTCTGTAAAGGATTCGTTCAACTCTGTGAGTTGAATACACACAACACAAGGAAGTTACTGAGAATTCTTCTGTCTAGCCTTACATGAAAAAATCCCGTTTCCAACGAAGGCCTCTAAGTGGTCAAAATATCCACGTGCAGACTTTACAAACAGAGTGTTTCCAAACCGCTGAATGACTAGAAAAGTTAAACTCTGAGAGTTGAACGCACACATCACGCAGCAGTTTCTGAGAATGATTCTGTCTAGTTTTGAAACGAAGATATTTCCTTTTCTGCCTGTGGCCTCAAAGCGCTTGAAATCTCCACTTGCAAATTCCACAAAAAGAGTGTTTCAAATCTGCTCTGTGTAAATGAAAGTTCAACTCTGTGAGTTGAACACACACAACACAAGGAAGTTACTGGGAATTCTTCTGTCTAGCAGAATATGAAGAAATCCCGTTTCCAACGAAGGCCTCAAGATGTCAGAATATGCACTTACAGACTTTACAAACAGAGTGTTTCCTAACTGCTCTATGAACAGAAAGGTTAAACTCTGTGTGTTGAACGCACACATCACAAAGGAGTTTATGAGAATCATTCTGTCTATTTTCTGTAGGAAGCATATTTCCTATTCTACCTTTGACCTCAAAGCGGCTGAAATCTCCACTTGCAAATTCCACAAAAAGAGTGTTTCAAGTCTGCTCTCTGTAAAGGATCGTTCAACTCTGTGAGTTGAATACACACAACACAAGGAAGTTACTGAGAATTATTCTGTATAGCAGAATATGAAGAAATCCCGTTTCCAACGAAGGCCACAAGATGTCAGAATATCCACTTACAGAATTTACAAACAGACTGTTTCCTAACTGCTCTATGAAAAGAAAGGTTAAACTCTGTGAGTTTACCGAACACCTCACAACGCAGTTTGTGGGAATGATTCTGTCTAGTTTTAATACGAAGATATTTCCTTTTATACCATTGACCTCAAAGCGGCTAAAATCACCACTTGCCAATTGCACAAAAAGAGTGTTTCAAATCTGCTCTGTCTAAGGGAACGTTCAACTCTGTGAGTTGAATGTACACAACACAAGGAAGTTACTGGGAATTCTTCTGTCTAGCCTTACAGGAAAGAAACCCGTTTCCAACGAAGGCCTCTAAGTGGTCAAAATATCCACGTGCAGACTTTACAAACAGAGTGTTTCCAAACTGCTGAATGAAAAGCAAAGTTAAACTCTGAGAGTTGAACGCACACATCGCAGAGCAGTTTCTGAGAATGATTCTGTCTAGTCTTTATACGAAGATATTTCCTTTTCTACCACTGACCTCAAAGCGGCATGAAATCTCCACTTGCAAATTCCACAAAAAGAGTGTTTCAAGCTCTGCTCTCGTGTAAAGGATCGTTCAACTCTGTGAGTTGAATACACACAACACAAGGAAGTTACTGAGAATTCTTCTGTCTAGCATAATATGAAGAAATCCCGTTTCCAACGAAGGCCTCAAAGAGGTCTGAATATCCACTTGCAGACGTTACAAACAGAGTGTTTCCTAACTGCTCTATGAAAAGAAAAGTTAAACTCTGTGAGTTGAACGCACACATCACAAAGGAGTTTCTGAGAATCATTCTGTCTAGTCTTTATATGAAGATAGTTTCCTTTTCTACTATTGACCTCAAAGCGGCTGAAATCTCCACTTGCAAATTCCACAAAAAGAGTGTTTCAAGTCTGCTCTGTGTAAAGGATCGTTCAACTCTGTGAGTTGAATACACACAACACAAGGAAGTTACTGAGAATTCTTCTGTCTAGCAGAATATGAAGAAATCCCGTTTCCAACGAAGGCCACAAGATGTCAGAATATCCACTTACAGACTTTACAAACAGAGTGTTTCCTAACTGCTCTATGAACAGAAAGGTTAAACTCTGTGAGTTGAACGAACACATCACAACACAGTTTGTGGGAATGATTCTGTCTAGTTTTGAAACGAAGATATTTCCTTTTCTGCCATTGACCTTAAAGCGCTTGAAATCTCCACTTGCCAATTGCACAAAAAGAGTGTTTCAAATCTGCTCTGTCTAAGGGAACGTTCAACTCTGTGAGTTGAACCGTACACAACACAAGGAAGTTACTGGGAATTCTTCTGTCTAGCCTTACAGGAAAAAAACCCGTTTCCAACGAAGGCCTCTAAGTGGTCAAAATATCCACGTGCAGACTTTACAAACAGAGTGTTTCCAAACTGCTGAATGAAAAGAAAAGTTAAACTCTGAGAGTTGAACGCACACATCGCAGAGCAGATTCTGAGAATGATTCTGTCTAGTTTTGAAACGAAGATATTTCCTTTTCTGCCTTTGGCCTCAAAGCGCTTGAAATCTCCACTTGCAAATTCCACAAAAAGAGTGTTTCAAATCTGCTCTGGGTAAATGAATGTTCAACTCTGTGAGTTGAACACACACAACTCAAGGAAGTTACTGGGAATTCTTCTGTCTAGCATAATATGAAGAAATCCCGTTTCCAACGAAGGCCTCAAAGAGGTCTGAATATCCACTTGCAGACTTTACAAACAGAGTGTTTCCTAACTGCTCTATGAAAAGAAAAGTTAAACTCTGTGAGTTGAACGCACACATCACAAAGGAGTTTATGAGAATCATTCTGTCTAGTCTTTATACGAAGATATTTCCTTTTCTACCATTGACCTCAAAGCGGCTGAAATCTCCACTTTCAAATTCCACAAAAAGAGTGTTTCAAGTCTGCTCTGTGTAAAGGATCGTTCAACTCTGTGAGTAGAATACACACAACACAAGGAAGTCACTGAGAATTCTTCTGTCTAGCAGAATATGAAGAAATCCCGTTTCCAACGAAGGCCACAAGATGTCAGAATATCCACTTACAGAATTGACAAACAGACTGTTTCCTAACTGCTCTATGAAAAGAAAGGTTAAACTCTGTGAGTTGAACGAACCCATCACAACGCAGTTTGTGGGAATGATTCTGTCTAGTTTTGAAACGAAGATATTTCCTTTTCTGCCGTTGACCTGAAAGCGCTTGAAATCTACACTTGCAAATTACACAAATAGACTGTTTCAAATCTGCTCTGTCTAAGGGAACGTTCAACTCTGTGAGTTGAATGCACACAACACAAGGAAGTTACTGGGAATTCTTCTGTCTACACTTACATGAAAAAAACCCGTTTCCAACGAAGGCCTCTAAGTGGTCAAAATATCCACGTGCAGACTTTACAAACAGAGTGTTTTCAAACTGCTGAATGAAAAGAAATGTTAAACTCTGAGAGTTGAACGCACACATCACAGAGGATTTTCTGAGAATGATTCTGTCTAGTTTTTATGCGAAGATATTTCCTTTTCTGCCTTTGGCCTCAAAGCGCTTGAAATCTCCACTTGCAAATTCCACAAAAAGAGTGTTTCAAATCTGCTCTGTGTAAATGAAAGTTCAACTCTGTCAGTTGAACACACACAACACAAGGAAGTTACTGGGAATTCTTCTGTCAAGCCTTATATGTAAAAAACCCGTTTCCAACGAAGGCCTCAAAGAGGTCTGAATATCCACTTGCAGACTTTACAAACAGAGTGTTTCCTAACTGCTCTATGAAAAGAAAGGTTAAACTCTGTGAGTTGAACGCACACATCACAAAGGAGTTTCTGAGAATCATTCTGTCTAGTTTTTATACGAAGATATTTCCTTTTCTACCATGGACCTCAAAGCGGCTGAAATCTCCACTTGCAAATTCCACAAAAAGAGTGTTTCAAGTCTGCTCTGTGTAAAGGATCGTTCAACTCTGTGAGTTGAATACACACAACACAAGGGAAGATTCTGAGAATTCTTCTGTCTAGCAGAATATGAAGAAATCCCGTTTCCAACGAAGGCCTCAAGGAGGTCTGAATATCCACTTGCAGACTTTACAAACAGAGTGTTTCCTAACTGCTCTATGAACAGAAAGGTTAAACTCTGTGAGTTGAACAAACACATCACAACGCAGTTTGTGGGAATGATTCTGTCTAGTTTTGAAACGAAGATATTTCCTTTTCTGCCATTGACCTTAAAGCGCTTGAAATCTCCACTTGCCAATTGCACAAAAAGAGTGTTTCAAATCTGCTCTGTCTAAGGGAACGTTCAACTCTGTGAGTTGAATGTACACAACACAAGGAATTTACTGGGAAATCTTCTGTCTAGCCTTACATGAAAAAAAACCCGTTTCCAACGAAGGCCACTAAGTGGTCAAAATATCCACGTGCAGACTTTACAAACAGAGTGTTTCCAAACCGCTGAATGACAAGAAAAGTTAAACTCTGAGAGTTGAACGCACACATCACGCAGCAGTTTCTGAGAATGATTCTGTCTAGTTTTTATACGAAGATATTTCCTTTTCTACCATTGACCTCAACGCGGCTGAAATCTCCACTTGCAAATTCCTCAAAAAGTGTGTTTCAAGTCCGCTCTGTGTAAAGGATCGTTCAACTCTGTGAGTTGAATACACACAACACAAGGAAGTTACTGAGAATTCTTCTGTCTAGCAGAATATGAAGAAATCCCGCTTCCAACGAAGGCCTCAAAGAAGTCTGAATATCCACTTGCAGACTTTACAAACAGAGTGTTTCCCAACTGCTCTATGAAAAGAAAGGTTTAACTCTGTGAGTTGAACGCACATATCACAAAGGAGTTTCTGAGAATCATTCTGTCTAGTTTCTATAGGAAGATATTTCCTATTCTACCATTGAACTCAAAGCGGCTGAAATCTCCACTTGCAAATTCCACAAATAGAGTGTTTCAAGTCTGCTCTGTGTAAAGGATCGTTCAACTCTGTGAGTTGAATACACACAACACAAGGAAGTTACTGAGAGTTCTTCTGTCTAGCAGAATATGAAGAAATCCCGTTTCCAACGAAGGCCTCAAGGAGGTCTGAATACCCACTTGCAGACTTTACAAACAGAGTGTTTCCTAACTGCTCTATGAACAGAAAGGTTAAACTCTGTGAGTTGAACGAACACATCACAACGCAGTTTGTGGGAATGATTCTGTCTAGTTTTGAAACGAAGATATTTCCTTTTCTGCCATTGACCTTAAAGCGCTTGAAATCTACACTTGCAAATTGCACAAATAGAGTGTTTCAAATCTGCTCTGTCTAAGGGAACGTTCAACTCTGTGAGTTGAATTCACACAACACAATGAAGTTACTGGGAATTCTTCTGTCTAGCCTTACATGCAAAAAACCCGTTTCCAACTAAGGCCTCTAAGTGGTCAAAATATCCACGTGCAGACTTTACAAACAGAGTGTTTCCAAACCGCTGAATGAAAAGAAAAGTTAAACTCTGAGAGTTGAACGCACACATCACGCAGCAGTTTCTGAGAATGATTCTGTCTAGTTTTTATACGAAGATATTTCCTTTTCTGCCTTTGGCCTCAAAGCGCTTGAAATCTCCACTTGCAAATTCCACAAAAAGAGTGTTTCAAATCTGCTCTGTGTAAATGAAAGTTCAACTCACAGAGTTGAACACACACAACACAAGGAAGTTACTGGGAATTCTTCTGTCTTGGAGAATATGAAGAAATCCCATTTCCAACCAAGGCCACAAAATGTCAGAATATCCACTTACAGACTATATAAACAGAGTGTTTACTAACTGCTCTATGAAAAGAAAGGTTAAACTCTGTGAGTTGAACACACACATCACAAAGGAGTTTCTGAGAATCATTCTGTCTAGTTTCTATAGGAAGATATTTCCTATTCTACTTTTGACCTCAAAGCGGCTGAAATCTCCACTTGCAAATTCCACAAAAAGTGTTTCAACTCTGCTCTCTGTAAAGGATCGTTCAACTCTGTGAGTTGAATGCACACAACACAAGGAAGTTACTGAGAATTATTCTGTCTAGCAGAATATGAAGAAATCCCGTTTCCAACGAAGGCCACAAGATGTCAGAATATCCACTTACAGAATTGACAAACAGACTGTTTCCTAACTGATCTATGAAAAGAAAGGTTAAACTCTGTGAGTTGAACGAACACATCACAACGCAGTTTGTGGGAATGATTCTGTCTAGTTTGAAACGAAGATATTTCCTTTTCTGCCATTGACCTCAAAGCGCTTGAAATCTCCACTTGCCAATTGCACAAAAAGAGTGTTTCAAATCTGCTCTGTCTAAGGGAACGTTCAACTCTGTGAGTTGAATGTACACAACACAAGGAAGTTACTGGGAATTCTTCTGTCTAGCCTTACAGGAAAGAAACCCGTTTCCAACGAAGGCCTCTAAGTGGTCGAAATATCCACGTGCAGACTTTACAAACAGAGTGTTTCCAAACTGCTGAATGAAAAGAAAAGTTAAACTCTGAGAGTTGAACGCACACATCGCAGAGCAGTTTCTGAGAATGATTCTGTCTAGTTTTTATACGAAGATATTTCCTTTTCTGCCTTTGGCCTCACAGCGCTTGAAATCTCCACTTGCAAATTCCACAAAAAGAGTGTTTCAAATCTGCTCTGTGTAAATGAAAGTTCAACTCTGTGAGTTGAACACACACAACACAAGGAAGTTACTGGGATTTCTTCTGTCTAGCATAATATGAAGAAATCCCGTTTCCAACGAAGGCCTCAAGGAGGTCTGAATATCCACTTGCAGACTTTACAAACAGAGTGTTTCCTAACTGCTCTATGAAAAGAAAGGTTAAACTGTGTGAGTTCAACGCACACATCACAAAGGAGTTTCTGAGAATCATTCTGTCTAGTCTTTATACGAAGATATTTTCTTTTCTACCATTGACCTCAAAGCGGCTGAAATCTCCACTTGCAAATTCCACAAAAAGAGTGTTTCAAGTCTGCTCTGTGTAAAGGATCGTTCAACTCTGTGAGTTGAATACACACAACACAAGGAAGTTACTGAGAATTCTTCTGTCTAGCAGAATATGAAGAAATCCCGTTTCCAACGAAGACCTCAAGGAGGTCTGAATATCCACTTACAGACTTTAGAGAGTGTTTCCTAACTGCTCTATGAACGGAAAGGTTAAACTCTGTGAGTTGAACGAACACATCACAACGCAGTTTGTGGGAATGATTCTGTCTAGTTTTGAAACGAAGATATTTCCTTTTCTGCCATTGACCTTAAAGCGCTTGAAATCTACACTTGCAAATTGCACAAATAGAGTGTTTCAAATCTGCTCTGTCTAAGGGAACGTTCAACTCTGTGAGTTGAATGCACACAACACAAGGAAGTTACTGGGAATTCTTCTGTCTAGCCTTACATGAAAAAAAACCCGTTTCCAACGAAGGCCTCTAAGTGGTCAAAATATCCACCTGCAGTCTTTACAAACAGAGTGTTTCCAAACCGCTGAATGAAAAGAAAAGTTAAACTCTGAGAGTTGAACGCACACATCACGCAGCAGTTTCTGAGAATGATTCTGTCTAGTTTTTATACGAAGATATTTCCTTTTCTGCCTTTGGCCCCAAAGCGCTTGAAATCTCCACTTGCAAATTCCATAAAAACAGTGTTTCAAATCTGCTCTCTCTAAATGAAAGTTCAACTCTTTCAGTTGAATACACACAACACAAGGAAGTTACTGAGAATTCTTTTGTCTAGCATAATATGAAGAAATCCCGTTTCCAACGAAGGCCTCAAGGAGGTCTGAATATCCACTTGCAGACTTTACAAACAGAGTGTTTCCTAACTGCTCTATGAAAAGAAAGGTTAAACTCTGTGAGTTGAACGCACACATCACAAACGAGTTTCTCAGAATCATTCTGTCTAGTTTTTATAGGAAGATATTTCCTTTTCTACCTTTGACTTCAAAGCGGCTGAAATCTCCACTTGCAAATTCCACAAAAAGAGTGTTACAAGTCTGCTCTGTGTAAAGGATCGTTCAACTCTGTGAGTTGAATACACACAACACAAGGAAGGTACTGAGAATTCTTCTGTCTAGCAGAATATGAAGAAATCCCGTTTCCAACGAAGGCCACAAGATGTCAGAATATCCACTTACAGACTTTACAAACAGCGTGTTTCCTAACTGCTCTATGAACAGAAAGGTTAAACTCTGTGAGTTGAACGTACACATCACAACGCAGTTTGTGGGAATGATTCTGTCTAGTTTTGAAACGAAGATATTTCCTTTTCTGCCATTGACCTTAAAGCGCTTGAAATCTCCATTTGCCAATTGCACAAAAAGAGTGTTTCAAATCTGCTCTGTCTAAGGGAACGTTCAACTCTGTGAGTTGAATGTACACAACACAAGGAAGTTACTGGGAATTCTTCTGTCTAGCCTTACAGGAAAAAAACCCGTTTCCAACGAAGGCCTCTAAGTGGTCAAGTTATCCACGTGCAGACTTTACAAACAGAGTGTTTCCAAACTGCTGAATGAAAAGAAAAGTTAAACTCTGAGAGTTGAACGCACACATCGCAGAGCAGTTTCTGAGAGTGATTCTGTCTAGTTTTTATACGAAGATATTTCCTTTTCTGCCTTTGGCCTCAAAGCGCTTGAAATCTCCACTTGCAAATTCCACAAAAAGAGTGTTTCAAATCTGCTCTGTGTAAATGAAAGTTCAACTCTGTGAGTTGAACACACACAACACAAGGAAGTTACTCGGAATTCTTCTGTCTAGCATAATATGAAGAAATCCCGTTTCCAACGAAGGCCTCAAGGAGGTCTGAATATCCACTTGCAGACTTTACAAACAGAGTGTTTCCTAACTGCTCTATGTAAAGAAAGGTTAAACTCTGTGAGTTGAACGCTTACATCACAAAGGAGTTTCTGAGAATCATTCTGTCTAGTTTTTATACGAAGATATTTCCTTTTCTACCATTGACCTCAAAGCAGCTGAAATCTCCACTTGCAAATTCCACAAAACGAGTGTTTCAAGTCTGCTCTGTGTAAAGGATCGTTCAACTCTGTGAGTTGAATACACACAACACAAGGAAGTTACTGAGAATTCTTCTGTCTAGCAGAATATGAAGAAATCCCGTTTCCAACGATGGCCACAAGATGTCAGAATATCCACTTACAGACTTTAAAAACAGAGTGTTTCCTAACTGCTCTATGAACAGAAAGGTTAAACTCTGTGAGTTGAACGAACACATCACAACGCAGTTTGTGGGAATGATTCTGTCTAGTTTTGAAACGAAGATATTTCCTTTTCTTCCATTGACCTTAAAGCGCTTGAAATCTACACTTGCAAATTGCACAAATAGAGTGTTTCAAATCTGCTCTGTCTAAGGGAACGTTCAACTCTGTGAGTTGAATGCACCCAACACAAGGAAGTTACTGGGAATTCTTCTGTCTAGCCTTACATGAAAAAAACCCGTTTCCAACGAAGGCCTCTAAGTCGTCAAAATATCCACGTGCAGACTTTACAAACAGAGTGTTTCCAAACCGCTGAATGAAAAGAAAAGTTAAACTCTGAGAGTTGAACGCACACATCACGCAGCAGTTTCTGAGAATGATTCTGTCTAGTTTTGAAACGAAGATATTTCCTTTTCTGCCTTTGGCCTCAAAGCGCTTGAAATCTCCACTTGCAAATTGCACAAAAAGAGTGTTTCAAATCTGCTCTGTGTAAATGAAAGTTCAACTCTGTGAGTTGAACACACACAACACAAGGGAAGTTACTGGGAATTCTTCTGTCTAGCATAATATGAAGAAATCCCGTTTCCAACGAAGGCCTCAAATGGGTCTGAATATCCACTTGCAGACTTTATAAACAGAGTGTTTACTAACTGCTCTATGAAAAGAAAGGTTAAACTCTGTGAGTTGAACACACACATCACAAAGGAGTTTCTGAGAATCATTCTGTCTAGTTTCTATAGGAAGATATTTCCTATTCTACCATTGAACTCAAAGCGGCTGAAATATCCACTTGCAAATTCCACAAAAAGAGTGTTTCAAGTCTGCTCTGTGTAAAGGATCGTTCAACTCTGTGAGTTGAATACACACAACACAAGGAAGTTACTGAGAATTCTTCTTTCTAGCAGAATATGAAGAAATCCCGTTTCCAACGAAAGCCTCAAGGATGTCTGAATATCCACTTGCAGACTTTACAAACAGAGTGTTTCCTAACTGCTCTATGAAAAGAAAGGTTAAACTCTGTGAGTTGAACCCACACATCACAAAGGAGTTTCTGAGAATCATTCTGTCTAGTTTTGAAACGAAGATATTTCCTTTTCTGCCATTGACCTTAAAGCGCTTGAAATCTCCATTTGCCAATTGCACAAAAAGAGTGTTTCAAATCTGCTCTGTCTAAGGGAACGTTCAACTCTGTGAGTTGAATGTACACAACACAAGGAAGTTACTGGGAATTCTTCTGTCTAGCCTTACATGAAAAAAACCCGTTTCCAACGAAGGCCTCTAAGTGGTCAAAATATCCACGTGCAGACTTTACAAACAGAGTGTTTCCAAACCGCTGAATGAAAAGAAAAGTTAAACTCTTGAGAGTTGAACGCACACATCACGCAGCAGTTTCTGAGAATGATTCTGTCTAGTTTTTATACGAAGATATTTCCTTTTCTGCCTTTGGCCCCAAAGCGCTTGAAATCTCCACTTGCAAATTCCACAAAAACAGTGTTTCAAATCTGCTCTTTCTAAATGAAAGTTCAACTCTGTCAGTTGAATACACACAACACAAGGAAGTTACTGAGAATTCTTCTGTCTAGCATAATATGAAGAAATCCCGTTTCCAACGAAGGCCTCAAAGGGGTCTGAATATCCACTTGCAGACTTTATAAACAGAGTGTTTACTAACTGCTCTATGAAAAGAAAGGTTAAACTCTGTGAGTTGAACGCACACATCACAAAGGAGTTTATGAGAATCATTCTGTCCAGTTTTTATACGAAGATATTTCCTTTTCTACAATTGACCTCAAAGCGGCTGAAATCTCCACTTGCAAATTCCACAAAAAGACTGTTTCAAGTCTGCTCTGTGTAAAGAATCGTTGAACTCTGTGAGTTGAATACAGACAACACAAGGAAGTTACTGAGAATTCTTCTGTCTAGCATAATATGAAGAAATCCCGTTTCCAACGAAGGCCTCAAGGAGGTCTGAATATCCATTTGCAGACTTTACAAACAGAGTGTTTCCTAACTGCTCTATGAAAAGAAAGGTTAAACTCTGTGAGTTGAACGCACACATCACAAAGGAGTTTCTGAGAATCATTCTGTCTAGTTTTTATACGAAGATATTTCCTTTTCTACCATTGACCTCAAAGCGGCTGAAATCACCACTTGCCAATTGCACAAAAAGAGTGTTTCAAATCTGCTCTGTCTAAGGGAACGTTCAACTCTGTGAGTTGAATGTACACAACACAAGGAAGTTACTGGGAATTCTTCTGTCTAGCCTTACAGGAAAGAAACCCGTTTCCAACGAAGGCCTCTAAGTGGTCAAAATATCCACGTGCAGACTTTACAAACAGAGTGTTTCCAAACTGCTGAATGAATAGAAAAGTTAAACTCTGAGAGTTGAACGCACACATCGCAGAGCAGTTTCTGAGAATGATTCTGTCTAGTTTTGAAACGAAGATATTTCCTTTTCTGCCTTTGGCCTCAAAGCGCTTGAAATCTCCACTTGCAAATTCCACAAAAAGAGTGTTTCAAATCTGCTCTGTGTAAATGAAAGTTCAACTCTGTGAGTTGAACACACAAAACACAAGGAAGTTACCGGGAATTCTTCTGTCTAGCCTTATATGAAAAAAACCCGTTTCCAACGAAGGCCTCAAAGAGGTCTGAATATCCACTTGCAGACTTTACAAACAGAGTGTTTCCTATCTGCTCTATGAAAAGAAAGGTGAAACTCTGTGAGTTGAACACACACATCACAAAGGAGTTTCTGAGAATCATTTCTGTCTAGTTTTTGTACGAAGATATTTCCTTTTCTACCATGGACCTCAAAGCGGCTGAAATCTCCACTTGCAAATTCCACAAAAAGAGTGTTTCAAGTCTGCTCTGTGTAAAGGATCGTTCAACTCTGTGAGTTGAATACACACAACACAAGGAAGATTCTGAGAATTCTTCTGTCTAGCAGAATAGGAAGAAATCCCTTTTCCAACGAAGGCCACAAGATGTCAGAATATCCACTTACAGACTTTACAAACAGAGTGTTTCCTAACTGCTCTATGAACAGAAAGGTTAAACTCTGTGAGTTGAACGCACACATCACAAAGGGGTTTCTGAGAATCATTCTGTCTAGTTTTTATAGGAAGATATTTCCTTTTCTACATTTGACTTCAAAGCGGCTGAAATCTCCACTTGCAAATTCCACAAAAGGAGTGTTACAAGTCTGCTCTGTGTAAAGGATCGTTCAACTGTGTGAGTTGAATACACACAACACAAGGAAGTTACTGAGAATTCTTCTGTCTAGCCTTACATGAAAAAAACCCGTTTCCAACGAAGGCCTCTAAGTGGTCAAAATATCCACGTGCAGACTTTACAGACAGAGTGTTTCCAAACCGCTGAATGAAAAGAAAAGTTAAACTCTGAGAGGTGAACGCACACATCACGCAGCAGTTTCTGAGAATGATTCTGTCTAGTTTTTATACGAAGATATTTCCTTTTCTGCCTTTGGCCCCAAAGCGCTTGAAATCTCCACTTGCAAATTCCACAAAAACAGTGTTTCAAATCTACTCTCTCTAAATGAAAGTTCAAATCTGTCAGTTGAATACACACAACACAAGGAAGTTACTGAGAATTCTTCTGTCTAGCATAATATGAAGAAATCCCGTTTCCAACGAAGGCCTCAAAGGGGTCTGAATATCCACTTGCAGACTTTATAAACAGAGTGTTTACTAACTGCTCTATGAAAAGAAAGGTTAAACTCTGTGAGTTGAACACACACACCACAAAGGAGTTTCTGAGAATCATTCTGTCTAGTTTCTATAGGAAGATATTTCCTATTCTACCATTGACGTCAAAGCGGCTGAAATCTCCACTTGCAAATTCCACAAAAAGAGTGTTTCAAGTCTGCTCTGTGTAAAGGATCGTTCAACTCTGTGAGTTGAATACACACAACACAAGGCAGTTACTGAGAATTCTTCTGTCTAGCAGAATATGAAGAAATCCCGTTTCCAACGAAGGCCACAAGATGTCAGAATATCCACTTACAGAATTTACAAACAGAGTGTTTCCTAACTGCTCTATGAAAAGAAAGGTTAAACTCTGTGAGTTGAACGAACACATCACAACGCAGTTTGTGGGAATGATTCTGTCTAGTTTTGAAACGAAGATATTTCCTTTTCTGCCATTGACCTTAAAGCCCTTGAAATCTCCACTTGCCAATTTCACAAAACGAGTGTTTCAAATCTGCTCTCTCTAAGGGAACGTTCAACTCTGTGAGTTGAATGTACACAACACAAGGAAGTTACTGGGAATTATTCTGTCTAGCCTTACAGGAAAAAAACCTGTTTCCAACGAAGGCCTCTAAGTGGTCAAGTTATCCACGTGCAGACTTTACAAACAGAGTGTTTCCAAACTGCTGAATGAAAAGAAAAGTTAAACTTTGAGAGTTGAACGCACACATCGCAGAGCAGTTTCTGAGAATGATTCTGTCTAGTTTTGAAACGAAGACTATTTCCTTTTCTGCCTTTGGCCTCAAAGCGCTTGAAATCTCCACTTGCAAATTCCACAAAAAGAGTGTTTCAAATCTGCTCTGTGTAAATGAAAGTTCAACTCTGTGAGTTGAACACACACAACACAAGGAAAGTTACTGGGAATTCTTCTGTCTAGCATAATATGAAGAAATCCCGTTTCCAACGAAGGCCTCAAAGGGGTCTGAATATCCACTTGCAGACTTTATAAACAGTGTTTACTAACTGCTCTATGAAAAGAAAGGTTAAACTCTGTGAGTTGAACACACACATCACAAAGGAGTTTCTGAGAATCATTCTGTCTAGTTTTTATACGAAGATATTTCCTTTTCTACCATTGACCTCAAAGCGGCTGAAATCTCCACTTGCAAATTCCACAAAAAGAGTGTTTCAAATCTGCTCTGTGTAAACCATCGTTCAACTGTGTGAGTTGAATACACACAACACAAGGAAGATTCTGAGAATTCTTCTGTCTAGCAGAATATGAAGAAATCCCGTTTCCAACGAAGGCCACAAGATGTCAGAATATCCACTTACAGAATTTACAAACAGACTGTTTCCTAACTGCTCTACGAAAAGAAAGGTTAAACTCTGTGAGATGAACGAACACATCACAACGCAGTTTGTGGGAATGATTATCTGTCTAGTTTTGAAACGAAGATATTTCCTTTTCTGCCATTGACCTTAAAGCGCTAGAAATCTCCACTTGCCAATTGCACAAAAAGAGTGTTTCAAATCAGCTCTGTCTAAGGGAACGTTCAACTCTGTGAGTTGAATGTACACAACACAAGGAAGTTACTGGGAATTCTTCTGTCTAGCCTTACTGGAAAAAAACCCGTTTCCAACGAAGGCCTCAAAGAGGTCAAAATATCTACTTGCAGACTTTACAAACAGAGTGATTCCTAACTACTCTATGAAAAGAAAGTTTAAACTCTGTGAGTTGAACGCACACATCACAAAGAAGTTTCTGAGAATCATTCTGTCTAGTTTTTATACGAAGATATATCCTTTTCTGCATTTGGCCCCAAAGCGCTTGAAATCTCCAATTGCAAATTCCACAAAAACAGTGTTTCAAATCTTCTCTCTCTAAATGAAAGTTCAACTCTGTCAGTTGAATACACACAACACAAGGAAGTTACTGAGAATTCTTCTGTCTAGCATAATATGAAGAAATCCCGTTTCCAACGAAGGCCTCAAAGAGGTCTGAATATCCACTTGCAGACTTTACAAACAGTGTGTTTCCTAACGGCTCTATGAACAGAAAGGTTAAACTCTGTGAGTTGAACGCACACATCACAAAGGAGTTTCTGAGAATCATTCTGTCTAGTTTCTATAGGAAGATATTTCCTATTCTACCATTGACCTCAAAGCGGCTGAAATCTCCACTTGCAAATTCCACAAAAAGAGTGTTTCAAGTCTGTTCTGTGTAAAGGATCATTCAACTCTGTGAGTTGAATACACACAACACAAGGAAGTTACTGAGAATTCTTCTGTCTACCAGAATATGAAGAAATCCCGTTTCCAACGAAGGCCACAAGATGTCAGAATATCCACTTAGAGAATTTACAAACAGACTGTTTCCTAACTGCTCTATGAAAAGAAAGGTTAAACTCTGTGAGTTGAACGAACACATCACAACGCAGTTTGTGGGAATGATTCTGTCTAGTTTTGAAACGAAGATATTTCCTTTTCTGCCATTGACCTTAAAGCGCTTGAAATCTACACTTGCAAATTGCACAAATAGAGTGTTTCAAATCTGCTCTGTCTAAGGGAACGTTCAACTCTGTGAGTGGAATGCACACAACACAAGGAAGTTACTGGGAATTCTTCTGTCTAGCCTTACATGAAAAAAACCCGTTTCCAACGAAGGCCTCTAAGTGGTCAAAATATCCACGTGCAGACTTTACAAACAGAGTGTTTCCAAACCGCTGAATGAAAAGAAAAGTTAAACTCTGAGAGTTTAACGCACACATCACGCAGCAGTTTCTGAGAATGATTCTGTCTAGTTTTTATACGAAGATATTTCCTTTTCTGCCTTTGGCCTCAAAGCGCTTGAAATCTCCACTTGCAAATTCCACAAAAAGAGTGTTTCAAATCTACTCTGTGTAAATGAAAGTTCAACTCTGTGAGTTGAACACACACAACACAAGGAAGTTACTGGGAATTCTTCTGTCTAGTTTTTATAGGAAGTTATTTCCTTTTCTACCTTTGACTTCAAAGCGGCTGAATTCTCCACTTGCAAATTCCACAAAAAGAGTGTTACAAGTCTGCTCTGTGTAAAGGATCGTTCAACTCTGTGAGTTGAATACACACAACACAAGGAAGTTACTGAGAATTCTTCTGTCTAGCGGAATATGAAGAAATCCCGTTTCCAACGAAGGCCACAAGATGTCAGAATATCCACTTACAGAATTGACAAACAGACTGTTTCCTAACTGCTCTATGAAAAGAAAGGTTAAACTCTGTGAGTTGAACGAACACATCACAATGCAGTTTGTGGGAATGATTCTGTCTAGTTTTGAAACGAAGATATTTCCTTTTCTGCCATTGACCTTAAAGCGCTTGAAATCTACAATTGCAAATTGCACAAATAGAGTGTTTCAAATCTCCTCTGTCTAAGGGAACGTTCAACTCTGTGAGTTGAATGCACACAACACAAGGAAGTTACTGGGAATTCTTCTGTCTACCCTTTCATGAAAAAAACCCGTTTCCAACGAAGGCCTCTAAGTGGTCAAAATATCCACGTGCAGACTTTACAAACAGAGTGTTTCCAAACTGCTGAATGAAAACAAAAGTTAAACTCTGAGAGTTGAACGCACACATCACAGAGCATTTTCTGAGAATGATTCTGTCTAGTTTTTATACGAAGATATTTCCTTTTCTGCCTTTGGCCCCAAAGCGCTTGAAATCTCCACTTGCAAATTCCACAAAAACAGTGTTTCAAATCTGCTCTCTCCAAATGAAAGTTCAACTCTGTCAGTTGAATACACACAACACAAGGAATTTACTGAGAATTCTTCTGTCTAGCATAATATTTAGAAATCCCGTTTACAACGAAGGCCTCAAGGAGGTCTGAATATCCACTTGCAGACTTTACAAACAGAGTGTTTCCTAACTGCTCTATGAAAAGAAAGGTTAAACTCTGTGAGTTGAACGCAGACATCACAAAGGAGTTTCTGAGAATCACTCTGTCTAGTTTCTATAGGAAGATATTTCCTATTCTACCTTTGACCTCAAAGCGACAGAAATCTCCACTTGCAAATTCCACAAAAAGTGTTTCAAGTCTGCTCTCTGGAAAGGATCGTTCAACTCTGTGAGTTGAATACACACAACACAAGGAAGTTACTGAGAATTCTTCTGTCTAGCAGAATATGAAGAAATCCCGTTTCCAACGAAGGCCACAATATTTCAGAATATACTCTTACAGAATTTACAAACAGACTGTTTCCTAACTGCTCTATGAAAAGAAAGGTTAAACTCTGTGAGTTGAACGAACACCTCACAACGCAGTTTGTGGGAATGATTCTGTCTAGTTTTGAAACGAAGATATTTCCTTTTCTGCCATTGACCTTAAAGCGCTTGAAATCTCCACTTGCCAATTGCACAAAAAGAGTGTTTCAAATCTGCTCTAAGGGAACGTTCAACTCTGTGAGTTGAATGTACACAACACAAGGAAGTTACTGGGAATTCTTCTGTCTAGCCCTACATGAAAAAAACCCGTTTCCAACGAAGGCCTCTAAGTGGTCAAAATATCCACGTGCAGACTTTACAAACAGAGTGTTTCCAAACCGCTGAATGAAAAGAAAAGTTAAACTCTGAGAGTTGAACGCACACATCACGCAGCAGTTTCTGAGAATGATTCTGTCAAGTTTTTATACGAAGTTATTTCCTTTTCTGCCTTTGGCCCCAAAGCGCTTGAAATCTCCACTTGCAAATTCCACAAAAACAGTGTTTCAAATCTGCTCTCTCTAAATGAAAGTTCAACTCTGTCAGTTGAATACACACAACAGAAGGAAGTTACTGAGAATTCTTCTGTCTAGCAGAATATGAAGAAATCCCGTTTCCAACGAAGGACTCAAGGAGGTCTGAATATCCACTTGCAGACTTTACAAACAGAGTGTTTCCTAACTGCTCTATGAAAAGAAAGGTTAAACTCTGTGAGTTGAACGCACACATCACAAAGGAGTTTATGAGAATCATTCTGTCTAGTTTTTATACGAAGATATTTCCTTTTCTACCATTGACCTCAACGCGGCTGAAATCTGCACTTGCAAATTCCACAAAACGAGTGTTTCAAGTCCGCTCTGTGTAAAGGATCGTTCAACTCTGTGAGTTGAATACACACAACACAAGGAAGTTACTGAGAATTCTTCTGTCTAGCAGAATATGAAGAAATCCCGTTTCCAACGAAGGCCACAAGATGTCAGAATATCCACTTACAGACTTTACAAACAGAGTGTTTCCTAACTGCTCTATGAACAGAAAGGTTAAACTCTGTGAGTTGAACGAACACATCACAACGCAGTTTGTGGAAATGATTCTGTCTAGTTTTGAAACCAAGATATTTCCTTTTCTGCCGTTGACCTTAAAGAGCTTGAAAACTACACTTGCAAATTGCACAAATAGAGTGTTTCAAATCTGCTCTGTCTAAGGGAACGTTCAACTCTGTGAGTTGAATGCACACAACACAAGGAAGTTACTGGGAATTCTTCTGGCTAGCCTTATAGGAAAAAAACCCCTTTCCAACGAAGGCCTCTAAGTGGTCAAAATATCCACGTGCAGACTTTACAAACAGAGTGTTTCCAAACTGCTGAATGAAAAGAAAAGTTAAACTCTGAGAGTTGAACGCACACATCGCAGAGCAGTTTCTGAGAATGATTCTGTCTAGTTTTTATACGAAGATATTTCCTTTTCTGCCTTTGGCCTCAAAGCGCTTGAAATCTCCACTTGCAAATTCCACAAAAAGAGTGTTTCAAATGTGCTCTGTGTAAATGAAAGTTCAACTCTGTGAGTTGAACACACACAACACAAGGAAGTTACTGGGAATTCTTCTTTCTGGCAGAATATGAAGAAATCCCGTTTCCAACGAAAGCCTCAAGGATGTCTGAATATCCACTTGCAGACTTTACAAACAGAGTGTTTCCTAACTGCTCTATGAAAAGAAAGGTTAAACTCTGTGAGTTGAACGCACACATCACAAAGGAGTTTCTGAGAATCATTCTGTCTAGTTTTGAAACGAAGATATTTCCTTTTCTGCCTTTGGCCTCAAAGCGCTTGAAATCTCCACTTGCAAATTCCACAAAAAGAGTGTTTCAAGTCTGCTCTGTGTAAAGGATCGTTCAACTCTGTGAGTTGAATACACACAACACAAGGAAGATTCTGAGAATTCTTCTGTCTAGCAGAATATGAAGAAATCCCGTTTCCAACGAAGGCCTCAAGGAGGTCTGAATATCCACTTACAGACTTCACAAACAGAGTGTTTCCTAACTGCTCTATGAACAGAAAGGTTAAACTCTGTGAGTTTAACGAACACATCACAACGCAGTTTTTGGGAATGAGTCTGTCTAGTTTTGAAACGCAGATATTTCCTTTTTTGCCATTGACCTTAAAGCGATTGAAATCTACACTTGCAAATTACACAAATAGAGTGTTTCAAATCTGCTCTGTCTAAGGGAATGTTCATCTCTGTGAGTTGAATGCACACAACACAAGGAAGTTACTGGGAATTCTTCTGTCTAGCCTTACATGAAAAAAAACCCGTTTCCAACGAAGGCCTCTAAGTGGTCAAAATATCCACGTGCAGACTTTACAAACAGAGTGTTTCCAAACCGCTGAATGAAAAGAAAAGTTAAACTCTGAGAGTGGAACGCACACATCACGCAGCAGTTTCTGAGAATGATTCTGTCTAGTTTTTATACGAAGATATTTCCTTTTCTGCCTTTGGCCCCAAAGCGCTTGAAATCTCCACTTGCAAATTCCACAAAAACAGTGTTTCAAATCTGCTCACTCTAAATGAAAGTTCAACTCTGTCAGTTGAATACACACAACACAAGGAAGTTACTGAGAATTCTTCTTTCTAGCAGAATATGAAGAAATCCCGTTTCCAACGAAAGCCTCAAGGATGTCTGAATATCCACTTGCAGACTTCACAAACAGAGTGTTTCCTAACTGCTCTATGAAAAGAAAGGTTAAACTCTGTGAGTTGAACGCACACATCACAAAGGAGTTTCTGAGAATCATTCTGTCTAGTCTTTATACGAAGATATTTCCTTTTCTACCATTGACCTCAAAGCGGCTGTAATCTCCACTTGCAAATTCGAGAAAAAGAGTGTTTCAAGCCTGCTCTCTGTAAAGGATCCTTCAACTCGGTGAGTTGAAAACACAAAACACAAGGAAGTTACTGAGAATTATTCTGTCTAGCAGAATATGAAGAAATCCCGTTTCCAACGAAGGCCTCAAGGAGGTCTGAATATCCACTTGCAGACTTTACAAACAGAGTGTTTCCTAACTGCTCTATGAACAGAAAGGTTAAACTCTGTGAGTTGAACGAACACGTCACAACGCAGTTTGTGGGAATGATTCTGTCTAGTTTTAAAACGAAGATATTTCCTTTTCTGCCATTGACCTTAAAGCGCTTGAAATCTACACTTGCAAATTGCACAAATAGAGTGTTTCAAATCTGCTCTGTCTAAGGGAACGTTCAACTCTGTGAGTTGAATGCACACAACACAAGGAAGTTACTGGGAATTCTTCTGTCTAGCCTTACAGGAAAAAAACCCGTTTCCAACGAAGGCCTCTAAGTGGTCAAAATATCCACCTGCAGACTTTACAAACAGAGTGTTTCCAAACTGCTGAATGAAAAGAAAAGTTAAACTCTGAGAGTTGAACGCACACATCGCAGAGCAGTTTCTGAGAATGATTCTGTCTAGTTTTTAAACGAAGATATTTCGTTTTCTGCCTTTGGCCCCAAAGCGCTTGAAATCTCCACTTGCAAATTCCACAAAAACAGTGTTTCAAACCTGCTCTCTCTAAATGAAAGTTCAACTCTGTCAGTTGAATACACACAACACAAGGAAGTTACTGAGAATTCTTCTGTCTAGCATAATATGAAGAAATCCCGTTTCCAACGAAGGCCTCAAGGAGGTCTGAATATCCACTTGCAGACTTTACAAACAGAGTGTTTCCTAACTGCTCTATGAAAAGAAAGGTTAAACTCTGTGAGTTGAACGCACACATCACAAAGGATTTCTCAGAATCATTCTGTCTAGTCTTTATACGAAGATATTTTCTTTTCTACCATTGACTTCAAAGCGGCTGAAATCTCCACTTGCAAATTCCACAAAAAGAGTGTTTCAAGTCTGCTCTGTGTAAAGGATCATTCAACTCTGTGAGTTGAATACACACAACACAAGGAAGTTACTGAGAATTCTTCTGTCTAGCAGAATATGAAGAAATCCCGTTTCCAACGAAGGCCACAAGATGTCAGAATATCCACTTACAGAATTGACAAACAGACTGTTTCCTAACTGCTGTATGAAAAGAAAGGTTAAACTCTGTGAGTTGAACGAACACATCACAACGCAGTTTGTGGGAATGATTCTGTCTAGTTTTGAAACGAAGATATTTCCTTTTCTGCCATTGACCTTAAAGCGCTTGAAATCTCCATTTGCCAATTGCACAAAAAGAGTGTTTCAAATCTGCTCTGTCTAAGGGAACGTTCAACTCTGTGAGTTGAATGTACACAACACAAGGAAGTTACTGGGAATTCTTCTGTCTAGCCTTACATGAAAAAAACCCGTTTCCAACGAAGGCCTCTAAGTGGTCAAAATATCCACGTGCAGACTTTACAAACAGAGTGTTTCCAAACTGCTGAATGAAAAGAAAAGTTAAACTCTGATGAGTTGAACGCACACATCACAAAGGAGTTTCTGAGAATCATTCTGTCTAGTTTTTATACCAAGATATTTCCTTTTCTGCCTTTGGCCTCAAAGCGCTTGAAATCTCCACTTGCAAATTCCACAAAAAGAGTGTTTCAAATCTGCTCTGTGTAAATGAAAGTTCAACTCTGTGAGTTGAACGCACACAACACAAGGAAGTTACTGGGAATTCTTCTGTCTAGCAAAATATGAAGAAATCCCGTTTCCAACGAAGGCCTCAAGGAGGTCTGAATATCCACTTGCAGACTTTACAGAGTGTTTCCTAACTGCTCTATGAAAAGAAAGGTTAAACTCTGTGAGTTGAACGCACACATCACAAAGGAGTTTCTGAGAATCATTCTGTCTAGTTTTTATACGAAGATATTTCCTTTTCTAGCATTGACCTCAAAGCGGCTGAAATCTCCACTTGCAAATTACACAAAAAGAGTGTTTCAAGTCTACTCTGTGTAAAGCATCGTTCAACTCTGTGAGTTGAAAACACACAACACAAGGAAGTTTCTGAGAATTCTTCTGTCTAGCAGAATATGAAGAAATCCCGTTTCCAACGAAGGCCTCAAAGATGTCTGAATATCCACTTGCAGACTTTACAAACAGAGTGTTTCCTAACTGCTCTATGAAAAGAAAGGTTAAACTCTGTGAGCTGAACGCACACAGCACAAAGGAGTTTCTGAGAATCATTCTGTCTAGTTTTGAAACGAAGATATTTCCTTTTCTGCCGTTGACCTTAAAGAGCTTGAAAACTACACTTGCAAATTGCACAAATAGAGTGTTTCAAATCTGCTCTGTCTAAGGGAACGTTCAACTCTGTGAGTTGAATGCACACAACACAAGGAAGTTACTGGGAATTCTTCTGTCTAGCCTTACATGAAAAAAACCCGTTTCCAACGAAGGCCTCTAAGTGGTCAAAATTTCCACGTGCAGACTTTACAAACAGAGTGTTTCCAAACCGCTGAATGAAAAGAAAAGTTAAACTCTGAGAGTTGAACGCACACATCACAAAGGAGTTTCTGAGAATGATTCTGTCTCGTTTTTATACGAAGATATTTCCTTTTCTGCCTTTGGCCTCAAAGCGCTTGAAATCTCCATTTGCAAATTCCACAAAAAGAGTGTTTCAAATCTGCTCTGTGTAAATGAAAGTTCAACTCTGTGAGTTGAACACACACAAGGAAGTTACTGGGAATTCTTCTGTCTAGCCTTATATGAAAAAAACCCGTTTCCAACGAAGGCCTCAAAGAGGCCTGAATATCCACCTGCAGTCTTTACAAACAGAGTGTTTCCTAACTGCTCTATGAAAAGAAAGGTTAAACTCTGTGAGTTGAACACACACATCACAAAGGAGTTTACTGAGAATCATTCTGTCTAGTTTCTATAGGAAGATATTTCCTATTCTACCATTGACCTCAAAGCGGCTGAAATCTCCACTTGCAAATTCCACAAAAAGAGTGTTTCAAGTCTGCTCTGTGTAAAGGATCGTTCAACTCTGTGAGTTGAATACACACAACAGACGGCAGTTACTGAGAATTCTTCTGTCTAGCAGAATATGAAGAAATCCCGTTTCCAACGAAGGCCTCAAGGAGGTCTGAATATCCACTTGCAGACTTTACAAACAGAGTGTTTCCTAACTGCTCTATGAACAGGAAGGTTAAACTCTGTGAGTTGAACGAACACATCACAACGCAGTTTGTGGGAATGATTCTGTCTAGTTTTGAAACGAAGATATTTCCTTTTCTGCCGTTGACCTGAAAGCGCTTGAAATCTACACTTGCAAATTACACAAATAGAGTGTTTCAAATCTGCTCTGTCTAAGGGAACGTTCAACTCTGTGAGTTGAATGCACACAACACAAGGAAGTTACTGGGAATTCTTCTGTCTAGCCTTACATAAAAAAAACCCGTTTCCAACGAAGGCCTCTAAGTGGTCAAAATATCCACGTGCAGACTTTACAAACAGAGTGTTTCCAAACCGCTGAATGAAAAGAAAAGTTAAACTCTGAGAGTTGAACGCACACATCACGCAGCAGTTTCTGAGAATGATTCTGTCTAGTTTTGAAACGAAGATATTTCCTTTTCTGCCTTTGGCCTCAAAGTGCTTGAAATCTCCACTTGCAAATTCCACAAAAAGAGTGTTTCAAATCTGCTCTGTGTAAATGGAAGTTCAACTCTGTGAGTTGAACACACACAACACAACGAAGTTACTGGGAATTCTTCTTTCTAGCAGAATATGAAGAAATCCCGTTTCCAACGAAAGCCTCAAGGATGTCTGAATATCCACTTGCAGACTTTACAAACAGAGTGTTTCCTAACTGCTCTATGAAAAGAAAGGTTAAACTCTTTGAGTTGAACGCACACATCACAAAGGAGTTTCTGAGAATCATTCTGTCTAGTTTCTATAGGAAGATATTTCCTATTCTACCATTGACCTCAAAGCGGCTGAAATCTCCACTTGCAAATTCCACAAAAAGAGTGTTTCAAGTCTGCTCTGTGTAAAGGATCGTTCAACTCTGTGAGTTGAATACACACAACACAAGGGAAGTTACTGAGAATTCTTCTGTCTACCAGAATATGAAGAAATCCCTTTTCCAACAAGGCAACAAGATGTCAGAATATCCACTTACAGACTTTACAAACAGAGTGTTTCCTAACTGCTCTATGAACAGAAAGGTTAAACTCTGTGAGTTGAACGAACACATCACAACGCAGTTTGTGGGAATGATTCTGTCTAGTTTTTATACGAAGATATTTCCTTTTCTACCATGGACCTCAAAGCGGCTGAAATCTCCACTTGCCAATTGCACAAAAAGAGTGTTTCAAATCTGCTCTGTCTAAGGGAACGTTCAACTCTGTGAGTTGAATGTACACAACACAAGGAAGTTACTAGGAATTCTTCTGTCTAGCCTTACAAGAAAAAAACCCGTTTCCAACGAAGGCCTCTAAGTGGTCAAAATATCCACGTGCAGACTTTACAAACAGAGTGTTTCCAAACTGCTGAATGAAAAGAAAAGTTAAACTCTGAGAGTTGAACGCACACATCGCAGAGCAGTTTCTGAGAATGATTCTGTCTAGTTTTTATACGAAGATATTTCCTTTTCTTCCTTTGGCCCCAAAGCGCTTGAAATCTCCACTTGCAAATTCCACAAAAACAGTGTTTCAAATCTGCTCTCTGTAAATGATAGTTCAACTCTGTCAGTTGAATACACACAACACAAGGAAGTTACTGAGAATTCTTCTGTCTAGCATAATATGAAGAAATCCCGTTTCCAACGAAGGCCTCAAGGAGGTCTGAATATCCACTTGCAGACTTTAGAAACAGAGTGTTTCCTAACTGCTGTATGAAAAGAAAGGTTAAACTCTGTGAGTTGAACGCACACATCACAAAGGAGTTTCTGAGAATCATTCTGTCTAGTTTTTATAGGAAGATATTTCCTTTTCTACCTTTGACTTCAAAGCGGCTGAAATCTCCACTTGCAAATTCCACAAAAAGAGTGTGACAAGTCTGCTCTGTGTAAAGGATCGTTCAACTCTGTGAGTTGAATACACACAACACAAGGAAGTTACTGAGAATTCTTCTGTCTAGCACAGTATGAAGAAATCTCTTTTCCAACGAAGGCCCCAAAGAGGTCTGAATATCCACTTGCAGACTTTACAAACAGAGTGTTTCCTAACTGCTCTATGAAAAGAAAGGTTAAACTCTATGTGTTGAACGCACACATCACAAAGAAGTTTCTGAGAATCATTCTGTCTAGTTTTTATACGAAGAGATTTCCTTTTCTACCTTTGACTTCAAAGCGGATGAAATCTCCACTTGCAAATTCCACAAAAAGAGTGTTACAAGTCTGCTCTGTGTAAAGGATCGTTCAACTCTGTGAGTTGAATACACACAACACAAGGAAGTTACTGAGAATTCTTCTGTCTAGCCTTACATGAAAAAAACCCGTTTCCAACGAAGACCTCTAAGTGGTCAAATTATCCACGTGCAGACTTTACAAACACAGTGTTTCCAAACTGCTGAATGAAAAGAAAAGTTAAACTCTGAGAGTTGAACGCACACATCGCAGAGCAGTTTCTGAGAATGATTCTGTCTAGTTTTGAAACGAAGATATTTCCTTTTCTGCCTTTGGCCTCAAAGCGCTTGACATCTCCACTTGCAAATTCCACAAAAAGAGTGTTTCAAATCTGCTCTGTGTAAATGAAAGTTCAACTCTGTGAGTTGAACACACACAACACAAGGAAGTTACTGGGAATTCTTCTGTCTAGCATAGTATGGAGAAATCCCGTTTCCAACGAAGACCTCAAAGAGGTCTGAATATCCACTTGCAGACTTTATAAACAGAGTGTTTCCTAACTGCTCTATGAAAAGAAAAGTTAAACTCTGTGAGTTGAAAGCACACATCACAAAGGCGTTTCTGAGAATCATTCTGTCTAGTCTTTATACGAAGATATTTCCTTTTCTACCATTGACCTCAAAGCGGCTGAAATCTCCACTTGCAAATTCCACAAAAAGTGTGTTTCAAGTCTGCTCTGTGTAAAGGATCGTTCAACTCTGTGAGTTGAATACACACAACACAAGGAAGTTACTGAGAATTCTTCTGTCTAGCAGAATATGAAGAAATCCCGTTTCCAACAAAGGCCACAAGATGTCAGAATAGCCACTTACAGACTTTACAAACAGAGTGTTTCCTAACTGCTCTATGAACAGAAAGGTTAAACTCTGTGAGTTGAACGAACACATCACAACGCAGTTTGTGGGAATGATTCTGTCTAGTTTTGAAACGAAGATATTTCCTTTTCTGCCATTGACCTTAAAGCGCTTGAAATCTCCATTTGCCAATTGCACAAAAAGAGTGTTTCAAATCTGCTCTGTCTAAGGGAACGTTCAACTCTGTGAGTTGAATGTACACAACACAAGGAAGTTACTTGGGAATTCTTCTGTCTAGCCTCACATGAAAAAATTCCGTTTCCAACGAAGGCCTCTAAGTGGTCAAAATATCCACGTGCAGACTTTACAAACAGAGTGTTTCCAAACCGCTGAATGAAAAGAAAAGTTAAACTCTGAGAGTTGAACGCACACATCACGCAGCAGTTTCTGAGAATGATTCTGTCTAGTTTTGAAACGAAGATATTTCCTTTTCTGCCTTTGGCCTCAAAGCGCTTGAAATCTCCACTTGCAAATTCCACAAAAAGAGTGTTTCACATCTGCTCTGGGTAAATGAAAGTTCAACTCTGTGAGTTGAACACACACAACACAAGGAAGTCACTGGGAATTCTTCTGTCTAGCATAATATGAAGAAATCCCGTTTCCAACGAAGGCCTCAAAGGGGTCTGAATATCCACTTGCAGACTTTATAAACAGAGTGTTTACTAACTGCTCTATGAAAAGAAAGGTTAAACTGCTGTGAGTTGAACACACACATCACAAAGGAGTTTCTGAGAATCATTCTGTCTATTTTCTATAGGAAGATATTTCCTATTCTACCATTGACCTCAAAGCGGCTGATATCTCCACTTGCAAATTCCACAAAAAGAGTGTTTCAAGTCTGCTCTGTGTAAAGGATCGTTCAACTCTGTGAGTTGAATACACACAACACAAGGAAGTTACTGAGAATTCTTCTGTCTAGCAGAATATGAAGAAATCCCGTTTCCAACGAAGGCCACAAGATGTCAGAATATCCACTTACAGAATTGACAAACAGACTGTTTCCTAACTGCTCTATGAAAAGAAAGGTTAAACTCTGTGAGTTGAACGAACACATCACAACGCAGTTTGTGGGAATGCTTCTGTCTAGTTTTGAAACGAAGATATTTCCTTTTCTGCCATTGACCTTAAAGCGCTTGAAATCTCCATTTGCCAATTGCACAAAAAGAGTGTTTCAAATCTGCTCTGTCTAAGGGAACGTTCAACTCTGTGAGCTGAATGTACACAACACAAGGAAGTTACTGGGAATTCTTCTGTCTAGCATAATATGAAGAAATCCCGTTTCCAACGAAGGCCTCAAGGAGGTCTGAATATCCACTTGCAGACTTTACAAACAGAGTGTTTCCTAACTGCTCTATGAAAAGAAAGGTTAACCTCTGTGAGTTGAACGCACACATCACAAAGGAGTTTCTGAGAATCATTCTGTCTAGTTTCTATAGGTACATATTTCCTATTCTACCATTGACCTCAAAGCGGCTGAAATCTCCTTGCAAATTCCACAAAAAGAGTGTTTCAAGTCTGCTCTGTGTAAAGGATCGTTCAACTCTGTGAGTTGAATACACACAACACAAGGAAATTACTGAGAATTCTTCTGTCCAGCATAATATGAAGAAATCCCGTTTCCAAAGAAGGCCTCAAGGAGCTCTGAATATCCACTTGCAGACCTTACAAACAGAGTGTTTCCTAACTGCTCTATGAAAAGAAAGGTTAAACTCTGTGAGTTGAACGCACACATCACAAAGGAGTTTCTGAGAATAATTCTGTCTAGTTTCTATAGGAAGATATTTCCTATTCTACCGTTGACCTCAAAGCGGCTGAAATCTCCACTTGCAAATTCCACAAAAAGAGTGTTTCAAGTCTGCTCTGTGTAAAGGATCGTTCAACTCTGTGAGTTGAATACACACAACACAAAGAAGTTACTGAGAATTTTTCTGTCTAGCAGAATATGAAGAAATCCCGTTTCCAACGAAGGCCACAATATGTCAGAATATCCACTTACAGACTTTAGAAACAGAGTGTTTCCTAACTGCTCTATGAACAGAAAGGTTAAACTCTGTGAGTTGAACGAACACATCACAACGCAGTTTGTGGGAATGATTCTGTCTAGTTTTGAAACGAAGATATTTCCTTTTCTGCCATTGACCTTAAAGCGCTTGAAATCTACACTTGCAAATTGCACAAATAGAGTGTTTCAAATCTGTTCTGTCTAAGGGAACGTTCATCTCTGTGAGTTGAATGCACACAACACAAGGAAGTTACTGGGAATTCTTCTGTCTAGCCTTACATGAAAAAAACCCGTTTCCAACGAAGGCCTCTAAGTGGTCAAAATATCCACGTGCAGACTTTACAAACAGAGTGTTTCCAAACCGCTGAATGAAAAGAAAAGTTAAACTCTGAGAGTTGAACGCACACATCACACAGCAGTTTCTGAGAATGATTCTGTCTAGTTTTTATACGAAGATATTTCCTTTTCTGCCTTTGGCCTCAAAGCGCTTGAAATTTCCACTTGCAAATTCCACAAAAAGAGTGTTTCAAATCTGCTCTGTGTAAATCAAAGTTCAACTCTGTGAGTTGAACACACACAACACAAGGAAGTTACTGGGAATTCTTCTGTCTAGCAGAATATGAAGAAATCCCGTTTCCAACGAAGGCCTCAACGAGGTCTGAATATCCACTTGCAGACTTTACAAACAGAGTGTTTCCAAACTGCTCTATGAAAAGAAAGGTTAAACTCTGTGAGTTGAACACACACATCACAAAGGAGTTTCTGAGAATCATTCTTTCTAGTTTTTCTACGAAGATATTTCCTTTTCTACTATTGACCTCAAAGCGGCTGAAATCTCCACTTGCAAATTCCACAAAAAGAGTGTTTCAAGTCTGCTCTCTGTAAAGGATCGTTCAACTCTGTGACTTGAATACACACAACACAAGGAAGTTACTGAGAATTATTCTGTCTAGCATAATATGAAGAAATCCCGTTTCCAAAGAAGGCCTCAAAGAGGTCTGAATATCCACTTGCAGACTTTACAAACAGAGTGTTTCCTAACTGCTCTATGAAAAGAAAAGTTAAACTCTGTGTGTTGAACGCACACATCACAAAGGAGTTTCTGAGAATCATTCTGTCTAGTTTTGAAACGAAGATATTTCCTTTTCTGCCATTGACCTTAAAGCGCTTGAAATCTCCACTTGCCAATTGCACAAAAAGAGTGTATCAAATCTGCTCTGTCTAAGGGAACGTTCAACTCTGTGAGTTGAATGTACACAACACAAGGAATTTACTGGGAATTCTTCTGTCTAGCCTTACATGAAAAAAACCCGTTTCCAACGAAGGCCTCTAAGTGGTCAAATTATCCACGTGCAGACTTTACAAACAGAGTGTTTCCAAACTGCTGAATGAAAAGAAAAGTTAAACTCTGAGAGTTGAACACACACATCGCAGAGCAGTTTCTGAGAATGATTTTGTCTAGTTTTTATACGAAGATATTTCCTTTTCTGCCTTTGGCCTCAAAGCGCTTGAAATCTCCACTTGCAAATTCCACAAAAAGAGTGTTTCAAATCTGCTCTGTGTAAATGAGAGTTCATCTCTGTGAGTTGAACACACACAACACAAGGAAGTTACTGGGAATTCTTCTGTATAGCAGAATATGAAGAAATCCCGTTTCCAACGAAGGCCTCAAGGAGGTCTGAATATCCACTTGCAGACTTTACAAACAGAGTGTTTCCTAACTGCTCTATGAAAAGAAAGGTTAAACTCTGTCAGTTGAACGCAGACATCACAAAGGAGTTTCTGAGAATCACTCTGTCTAGTTTTTATACGAAGATATTTCCTTTTCTACCATTGACCTCAACGCGGCTGAAATCTCCACTTGCAAATTCCACAAAAAGAGTGTTTCAAGTCCGCTCTGTGTAAAGGATCGTTCAAATCCTGTGAGTTGAATACACACAACACAAGGAAGTTACTGAGAATTCTTCTGTCTAGCAGAATACGAAGAAATCCCGTTTCCAACGAAGGCCACAAGATGTCAGAATATCCACTTACAGACTTTACAAACAGAGTGTTTCCTAACTGCTCTATGAACAGAAAGGTTAAACTCTGTGAGTTGAACGAACACATCACAACGCAGTTTGTGGGAATGATTCTGTCTAGTTTTTATAGGAAGATATTTCATTTTCTACCTTTGACTTCAAAGCGGCTGAAATCTCCACTTGCAAATTCCACAAAAAGAGTGTTACAAGTCTGCTCTGTGTAAAGGATCGTTCAACTCTTTGAGTTGAATACACACAACACAAGGAAGTTACTGAGAATTCTTCTGTCTAGCCTTACATAAAAAAAACCCGTTTCCAACGAAGGCCTCTAAGTGGTCAAGTTTTCCATGTGCAGACTTTACAAACAGAGTGTTTCCAAACTGCTGAATGAAAAGAAAAGTTAAACTCTGAGAGTTGAACGCACACATCGCAGAGCAGTTTCTGAGAATGATTCTGTCGAGTTTTTATACGAAGATATTTCCTTTTCTGCCTTTGGCCTCAAAGCGCTTGAAATCTCCATTTGCAAATTCCACAAAAAGAGTGTTTCAAATCTGCTCTGTGTAAATGAAAGTTCAACTCTGTGAGTTGAACACACACAACACAAGGAAGTTACTGGGAATTCTTCTGTATAGCAGAATATGAAGAAATCCCGTTTCCAACGAAAGCCTCAAAGAAGTCTGAATATCCACTTGCAGACTTTACAAACAGAGTGTTTCCTAACTGCTCTATGAAAAGAAAGGTTAAACTCTGTGAGTTGAACGCACACATCACAAAGGAGTTTCTGAGAATCATTCTGTCTAGTCTTTATACGAAGAGATTTCCTTTTCTACCATTGACCTCAAAGCGGCTGAAATCTCCACTTGCAAATTCCACAAAAAGAGTGTTTCAAGTCTGCTCTGTGTAAAGGATCGTTCAACTCTGTGAGTTGAATACACACAACACAAGGAAGTTACTGAGAATTCTTCTGTCTAGCAGAATATGAAGAAATCCCGTTTCCAACGAAGGCCACAAGATGTCAGAATATCCACTTAGAGACTTTACAAACAGAGTGTTTCCTAACTGCTCTATGAACAGAAAGGTTAAACTCTGTGAGTTGAACGAACACATCACAACGCAGTTTGTGGGAATGATTCTGTCTAGTTTTGAAACGAAGATATTTCCTTTTCTGCCATTGACCTTAAATCGCTTGAAATCTCCACTTGCCAATTGCACAAAAAGAGTGTTTCAAATCTACTCTGTCTAAGGGAACGTTCAACTCTGTGAGTTGAATGAACACAACACAAGGAAGTTACTGGGAATTCTTCTGTCTAGCCTTACATGGAAAAAACCCGTTTCCAACGAAGGCCTCTAAGTGGTCAAATTATGCACGTGCAGATTTTACAAACAGAGTGTTTCCAAACTGCTGAATGAAAGGAAAAGTTAAACTCTGAGAGTTGAACGCACACATCGCAGAGCAGTTTCTGAGAATGATTCTGTCTAGTTTTTATACGAAGATATTTTCTTTTCTGCATTTGGCCTCAAAGCGCTTGAAATCTCCATTTGCAAATTCCACAAAAAGAGTGTTTCAAATCTGCTCTGTGTAAATGAAAGTTCAACTCTGTGAGTTGAACACACACAACACAAGGAAGTTACTGGGAATTCTTCTTTCTAGCAGAATATGAAGAAATCCCGTTTCCAACGAAAGCCTCAAGGATGTCTGAATATCCACTTGCAGACTTTACAAACAGAGTGTTTCCTAACTGCTCTATGAAAAGAAAGGTTAAACTCTGTGAGTTGAACGCACACATAACAAAGGAGTTTCTGAGAATCATTCTGTCTAGTTTTTCTACGAAGATATTTCCTTTTCTACTATTGACCTCAAAGCGGCTGAAATCTCCACTTGCAAATTCCACAAAAAGAGTGTTTCAAGTCTGCTCTGTGTAAAGGATCGTTCAACACTGTGAGTTGAATACACACAACACAAGGAAGTTACTGAGAATTCTTCTGTCTAGCCTTATATGAAAAAAACCCGTTTCCAACGAAGGCCTCAAAGAGGTCTGAATATCCACTTGCAGACTTTACAAACAGAGTGTTTCCTAACTGCTCTATGAAAAGAAAGGTTAAACTCTGTGAGTTGAAAGCACACATCACAAAGGAGTTTCTGAGAATCATTCTGTCTAGTTTTTATAGGAAGATATTTCCTTTTCTACCTTTGACTTCAAAGCGGCTGAAATCCCCACTTGCAAATTCCACAAAAAGAGTGTTACAAGTCTGCTCTGTGTAAAGGATCGTTCAACTGTGTGAGTTGAATACACACAACACAAGGAAGTTACTGAGAATTCTTCTTTTTAGCCTTACAGGAAAAAAAACCGTTTCCAACGAAGGCCTCTAAGTGGTCAAAATATCCACGTGCAGACTTTACAAACAGAGTGTTTCCAAACTGCTGAATGAAAAGAAAAGTTAAACTCTGAGAGTTGAACGCACACATCGCAGAGCAGTTTCTGAGAATGATTCTGTCTAGTTTTGAAACGAAGATATTTCCTTTTCTGCCTTTGGCCTCAAAGCGCTTGAAATCTCCACTTGCAAATTCCACAAAAAGAGTGTTTCAAATCTGCTCTGTGTAAATGAATGTTCAACTCTGTGAGTTGAACACACACAACACAAGGAAGTTACTGGGAATTCTTCTTTCTGGCAGAATATGAAGAAATCCCGTTTCCAACGAAAGCCTCAAGGATGTCTGAATATCCACTTGCAAACTTTACAAACAGAGTGTTTCCTAACTGCTCTATGAAAAGAAAGGGTAAACTCTGTGAGTTGAACGCACACATCACAAAGGAGTTTCTGAGAATCATTCTGTCTAGTTTTTATAGGAAGATATTTCCTTTTCTACCTTTGACTTCAAAGCGGCAGAAATCTCCACTTGCAAATTCCACAAAAAGAGTGTTACAAGTCTGCTCTGTGTAAAGGATCGTTCAACTCTGTGAGTTGAATACACACAACACAAGGAAGTTACTGGGAATTCTTCTCTCTAGCCTTATATGAAAAAAACCCGTTTCCAACGAAGGCCTCAAAGAGGTCTGAATATCCACTTTCAGACTTTACAAACAGAGTGTTTCCTAACTGCTCTATGAAAACAAAGGTTAAACTCTGTGAGTTGAACGCACACATCACAAAGGAGTTTCTGAGAATCATTCTGTCTAGTTTTGAAACGAAGATATTTCCTTTTCTGCCATTGACCTTAAAGCGCTTGAAATCTCCACTTGCCAATTGCACAAAAAGAGTGTTTCAAATCTGCTCTGTCTAAGGGAACGTTCAACTCTGTGAGTTGAATGTACACAACACAAAGAAGTTACTGGGAATTCTTCTGTCTAGTCTTACAGGAAAAAAACCCGTTTCCAACGAAGGCCTCTAAGTGGTCAAAATATCCACGTGCAGACTTTACAAACAGAGTGTTTCCAAACTGCTGAATGAAAAGAAAAGTTAAACTCTGAGAGTTGAACGCACACATCGCAGAGCAGTTTCTGAGAATGATTCTGTCTAGTTTTGAAACGAAGATATTTCCTTTTCTGCCTTTGGCCTCAAAGCGCTTGAAATCTCCACTTGCAAATTCCACAAAAAGAGTGTTTCAAATCTGCTCTGTGTAAATGGAAGTTCAACTCTGTGAGTTGAACACACACAACACAAGGAAGTTACTGGGAATTCTTCTCTCTAGCCTTATATGAAAAAAACCCTTTTCCAACGAAGGCCTCAAAGAGGTCTGAATATCCACTTGCAGACTTTACAAACAGAGTGATTCCTAACTGCTCTATGAAAAGAAAGGTTAAACTCTGTGAGTTGAACACACACATCTCAAAGGAGTTTCTGAGAATCATTCTGTCTAGTTTTTATATGAAGATATTTCCTTTTCTACCATTGACCACAAAGCGGCTGAAATCTCCACTTGCAAATTCCAGAAAAAGAGTGTTTCAAATCTGCTCTGTGTAAAGGATCGTTCAACTCTGTGAGTTGAATACACACAACACAAGGAAGTTACTGAGAATTCTTCTGTCTAGCAGAATATGAAGAAATCCCGTTTCCAACGAAGGCCACAAGATGTCAGAATATCCACTTACAGAATTTACAAACAGACTGTTTCCTAACTGCTCTATGAAAAGAAAGGTTAAACTCTGTGTGTTGAACGAACACATCACAACGCAGTTTGTGGGAATGATTCTGTCTAGTTTTGAAACGAAGATATTTCCTTTTCTGCCATTAACCTTAAAGCGCTTGAAATCTCCACTTGCCAATTGCACAAAAAGAGTGTTTCAAATCTGCTCTGTCTAAGGGAACGTTCAACTCTGTGAGTTGAATGTACACAACACAAGGAAGTTACTGGGAATTCTTCTGTCTAGCCTTATAGGAAAAAAACCCGTTTCCAACGAAGGCCTCTAAGTGGTCAAAATATCCACGTGCAGACTTTACAAACAGAGTGTTTCCAAACTGCTGAATGAAAAGAAAAGTTAAACTCTGAGAGTTGAACGCACACATCGCAGAGCAGTTTCTGAGAATGATTCTGTCTAGTTTTCAAACGAAGATAGTTCCTTTTCTGCCTTTGGTCTCAAAGCGCTTGAAATCTCCACTTGCATATTCCACAAAAAGAGTGTTTCAAATCTGCTCTGTGTAAATGAAAGTTCAACTCTGTGAGTTGAACACACACAACACAAGGAAGTTACTGGGAATTCTTCTGTCTAGCAGAATATGAAGAAATCCCGTTTCCAACGAAGGCCTCAAATGGGTCTGAATATCCACTTGCAGACTTTATAAACAGAGTGTTTACTAACTGCTCTATGAAAAGAAAGGTTAAACTCTGTGAGTTGAACACACACATCACAAAGGAGTTTCTGAGAATCATTCTGTCTAGTTTTTCTACGAAGATATTTCCTTTTCTACTATTGACCTCAAAGCGGCTGAAATCTCCACTTGCAAATTCCACAAAAAGAGTGTTTCAAGTCTGCTCTGTGTAAAGGATCGTTCAACTCCGTGAGTTGAATACACACAACACAAGGAAGTTACTGAGAATTCCTCTGTCTAGCAGAATATGTAGAAATCCCGTTTCCAACGAAGGCCACAAGATGTCAGAATATCCACTTACAGAATTTACCAACAGAGTGTTTCCTAACTGCTCTATGAAAAGAAAGGTTAAACTCTGTTAGTTGAACGAACACATCACAACGCAGTTTGTGGGAATGATTCTGATCTAGTTTTGAAACGAAGATATTTCCTTTTCTGCCGTTGACCTTAAAGAGCTTGAAAACTACACTTACAAATTGCACAAATAGAGTGTTTCAAATCTGCTCTGTCTAAGGGAACGTTCAACTCTGTGAGTTGAATGCACACAACACAAGGAAGTTACTGGGAATTCTTCTGTCTAGCCTTACATGAAAAAAACCCGTTTCCAACGAAGGCCTCTAAGTGGTCAAAATATCCACGTGCAGGCTTTACAAACGAGAGTGTTTCCAAACCGCTGAATGAAAAGAAAAGTTAAACTCTGAGAGTTGAACGCACACATCACGCAGCAGTTTCTGAGAATGATTCTGTCTAGTTTTTATACGAAGATATTTCGTTTTCTGCCTTTGGCCCCAAAGCGCTTGAAATCTCCACTTGCAAATTCCACAAAAACAGTGTTTCAAATCTGCTCTCTCTAAATGAAAGTTCAACTCTGTCAGTTGAATACACACAACACAAGGAAGTTACTGAGAATTCTTCTGTCTAGCCTTACATGAAAAAAACCCGTTTCCAACGAAGGCCTCAAAGAGGTCAAAATATCCACTTGCAGACATTACAAACAGAGTGTTTCCTAACTACTCTATGAATAGAAAGGTTAAACTCTGTGAGTTGAACACACACATCACAAAGGAGTTTCTGAGAATCATTCTGTCTAGTTTTTATACGAAGATATTTCCTTTTCTACCATTGACCTCAAAGCGGCTGAAATCTCCACTTGCAAATTCCACAAAAAGAGTGTTTCAAATCTGCTCTGTGTAAACCATCGTTCAACTCTGTGAGTTGAATACACACAACACAAGGAAGATTCTGAGAGTTCTTCTGTCTAGCAGAATATGAAGAAATCCCGTTTCCAACGAAGGCCACAAGATGTCAGAATATCCACTTACAGAATTTACAAACAGACTGTTTCCTAACTGCTCTATGAAAAGAATGGTTAAACTCTGTGAGTTTACCTAACAGATCACAACGCAGTTTGTGGGAATGATTCTGTCTAGTTTTGAAACGAAGTTATTTCCTTTTCTGCCATTGACCTTAAAGCGCTTGAAATCTCCACTTGCCAATTGCACAAAAAGAGTGTTTCAAATCTGCTCTGTCTAAGGGAACGTTCAACTCTGTGAGTTGAATGTACACAACACAAGGAAGTTACTGGGAATTCTTCTGTCTAGCCTTACATGAAAAAAACCCGTTTCCAACGAAGGCCTCTAAGTGGTCAAAATATGCACGTTCCGACTTTACAAACAGAGTGTTTCCAAACCGCTGAATGAAAAGAAAAGTTAAACTCTGAGTGTTGAACGCACACATCACGCAGCAGTTTCTGAGAATGATTCTGTGTAGTTTTTATACGAAGATATTTCCTTTTCTGCCTTTGGCCTCAAAGCGCTTGAAATCTCCACTTGCAAATTCCACAAAAAGAGTGTTTCAAATCTGCTCTGTGTAAATGAAAGTTCAACTCTGTGAGTTGAACACACACAACACAAGGAAGTTACTGGGAATTCTTCTGTCTGGCAGAATATGAAGAAATCCCGTTTCCAACGAAGGCCTCAAAGAGGTCTGAATATCCACTTGCAGACTTTACAAACAGAGTGTTTCCTAACTGCTCTATGAAAAGAAAGGTTAAACTCTGTGAGTTGAACGCACACATCACAAAGGAGTTTCTGAGAATCATTCTGTCTAGTTTCTATAGGAAGATATTTCCTATTCTACCATTGAGCTCAAAGCGGCTGAAATCTCCACTTGCAAATTCCACAAAAACAGTGTTTCAAGTCTGCTCTGTGTAAAGGATCGTTCAACTCTGTGAGTTGAATACACACAACACAAGGAAGTTACTGAGAATTATTCTGTCTAGCAGAATATGAAGAAATCCCGTTTCCAACGAAGGCCACAAGATGTCAGAATATCCACTTACAGAATTTACAAACAGACTGTTTCCTAACTGCTCTATGAAAAGAAAGGTTAAACTGCTGTGAGTTGAACGAACACATCACAACGCAGTTTTTGGGAATGATTCTGTCTAGTTTTGAAACGAAGACATTTCCTTTTCTGCCATTGACCTTAAAGCGCTTGAAATCTACACTTGCAAATTGCACAAATAGAGTGTTTCAAATCTGCTCTGTCTAAGGGAACGTTCAACTCTGTGAGTTGAATGCACACAACACAAGGAAAGTTACTGGGAATTCTTCTGTCTAGCCTTACATGAAAAAATCCCGTTTCCAACGAAGGTCTCTAAGTGGTCAAAATTTCCACGTGCAGACTTTACAAACAGAGTGTTTCCAAACCGCTGAATGAAAAGAAAAGTTAATCTCTGAGAGTTGATCGCACACATCACGCAGCAGTTTCTGAGAATGATTCTGTCTAGTTTTTATACGAAGATATCTCCTTTTCTGCCTTTGGCCTCAAAGCGCTTGAAATCTCCACTTGCAAATTCCACAAAAAGAGTGTTTCAAATCTGCTCTGTGTAAATGAAAGTTCAACTCTGTGAGTTGAACACACACAACACAAGGAAGTTACTGGGAATTCTTCTGTCTAGCCTTATATGAAAAAAACCCGTTTCCAACGAAGGCCTCAAAGAGGTCTGAATATCCATTTGCAGACTTTACAAACAGAGTGTTTCCTAACTGCTCTATGAAAAGAAAGGTTAAAGTCTGTGAGTTGAACGCACACATCACAAAGGAGTTTCTGAGAATCATTCTGTCTAGTTTCTATACGAAGATATTTCCTATTCTACCATTGACCTCAAAGCGGCTGAAATCTCCACTTGCAAATTCCACAAGAAGAGTGTTTCAAGTCTGCTCTGTGTAAAGGATCGTTCAACTCTGTGAGTTGAATACACACAACACAAGGAAGTTACTGAGAATTCTTCTGTCTTGCATAATATGAAGAAATCCCGTTTCCAACGAAGGCCTCAAGGAGGTCTGAATATCCACTTGCAGACTTTACAAACAGAGTGTTTCCTAACTGCTCTATGAAAAGAAAGGTTAAACTCTGTGAGTTGAACGCACACATCACAAAGTAGTTTCTGAGAATCATTCTGTCTAGTTTTGAAACGAAGATATTTCCTTTTCTGCCATTGACCTTAAAGCGCTTGAAATCTCCACTTGCCAATTGCACAAAAAGAGTGTTTCAAATCTGCTCTGTCTAAGGGGAACGTTCAACTCTGTGAGTTGAATGTACACAACACAAGGAAGTTACTGGGAATTCTTCTGTCTAGCCTTACATGAAAAAAACCCGTTTCCAACGAAGGCCTCTAAGGGGTCAAAATATCCACGGGCAGACTTCACAAACAGAGTGTTTCCAAACCGCTGAATGAAAAGAAAAGTTAAACTCTGAGAGTTGAACGCACACATCACGCAGCAGTTTCTGAGAATGATTCTGTCTAGTTTTTATACGAAGATATATCCTTTTCTGCCTTTGGCCCCAAAGCGCTTGAAATCTCCACTTGCAAATTCCACAAAAACAGTGTTTCAAATCTGCTCCCTCTAAATGAAAGTTCAACTTTGTCAGTTGAATACACACAACACAAGGAAGTTACTGAGAATTCTTCTGTCTAGTATAATATGAAGAAATCCCGTTTCCAACGAAGGCCACAAAGAGGTCTGAATATCCACTTGCAGACTTTATAAACAGAGTGTTTCCTAACTGCTCTATGAAAAGAAAAGTTAAACTCTGTGAGTTGAACGCACACATCACAAAGGAGTTTCTGAGAATCATTCTGTCTAGTTTTTATACGAAGATATTTCCTTTTCTACCATTGACTTCAACGCGGCTGAAATCTCCACTTGCAAATTCCACAAAAAGAGTGTTCCAAGTCTGCTCTGTGTAAAGGATCGTTCAACTCTGTGAGTTGAATACACACAACACAAGGAAGTTACTGAGAATTCTTCTGTCTAGCAGAATATGAAGAAATCCCGTTTCCAACGAAGGCCACAAGATGTCAGAATATCCACTTACAGACTTTACAAACAGAGTGTTTCCTAACTGCTCTATGAAAAGAAAGGTTAAACTCTGTGAGTTGAACGAACACATCACAACGCAGTTTGTGGGAATGATTCTGTCTAGTTTTGAAACTAAGATATTTCCTTTTCTGCCATTGACCTTAAAGCGCTTGAAATCTCCACTTGCCAATTGCACAAAAAGAGTATTTCAAATCTGCTCTGTCTAAGGGAACGTTCAACTCTGTGAGTTGAATGTACACAACACAAGGAAGTTACTGGGAATTCTTCTGTCTAGCCTTACATGAAAAAAAAACCGTTTCCAACGAAGGCCTCTAAGTGGTCAAATTATCCACGTGCAGACTTTACAAACAGAGTGTTTTCAAACTGCTGAATGAAAAGAAAAGTTAAACTCGGAGAGTTGAACGCACACATCGCAGAGCAGTTTCTGAGAATGATTCTGTCTAGTTTTCAAACGAAGATATTTCCTTCTCTGCCTTTGGCCTCAAAGCGCTTGAAATCTCCACTTGCAAATTCCACAAAAAGAGTGTTTCAAATCTGCTCTGTGTAAATGAAAGTTCAACTCTGTGAGTTCAACACACACAACACAAGGAAGTTACTGGGAATTCTTCTGTCTAGCAGAATATGAAGAAATCCCGTTTCCAACGAAAGCCTCAAAGATGTCTGAATATCCACTTGCAGACTTTACAAACAGAGTGTTTCCTAACTGCTCTCTGAAAAGAAAGGTTAAACTCTGTGAGTTGAACGCACACATCACAAAGGAGTTTCTGAGAATCATTCTGTCTAGTCTTTATATGAAGATAGTTTCCTTTTCTACCATTGACCTCAAAGCGGCTGAAATCTCCACTTCCAAATTCCACAAAAAGAGTGTTTCACGTCTGCTCTGTGTAAAGGATCGTTTAACTCTGTGAGTTGAATACACACAACACAAGGAAGTTACTGAGAATTACTTCTGTCTAGCATAATATGAAGAAATCCCGTTTCCAACGAAGGCCTCAAGGAGGTCTGAATATCCACTTGCAGACTTTACAAACAGAGTGTTTCCTAACTGCTCTATGAAAAGAAAGGTTAAACTGTGTGAGTTTAACGCACACATCACAAAGGAGTTTCTCAGAATCATTCTGTCTAGTTTTTATAGGAAGATATTTCCTTTTCTACCTTTGACTTCAAAGCGGCTGAAATCTCCACTTGCAAATTCCACAAAAAGAGTGTTACAAGTCTGCTCTGTGTAAAGGATCGTTCAACTCTGTGAGTTGAATAAACACAACACAAGGAAGTTACTGAGAATTCTTTTGTCTAGCCTTACATGAAAAAAACCCGTTTCCAACGAAGACCTCTAAGTGGTCAAATTATCCACGTGCAGACTTTACAAACAGAGTGTTTCCAAACTGCTGAATGAAAAGAAAAGTTAAACTCTGAGAGTTGAACGCACACATCACGCAGCAGTTTCTGAGAATTATTCTGTCTAGTTTTTATACGAAGATATTTCCTTTTCTGCCTTTGGCCTCAAAGCGCTTGAAATCTCCACTTGCAAATTCCACAAAAAGTGTGTTCTAAATCTGCTCTGTGTAAATGAAAGTTCAACTCTGTGAGTTGAACACACACAACACAAGGAAGTTACTGGGAATTCTTCTGTCTAGCATAATATGAAGAAATCCCGTTTCCAACGAAGTCCTCAGAGGGGTCTGAATATCCACTTGCAGACTTTATAAACAGAGTGTTTACTAACTGCTCTATGAAAAGAAAAGTTAAACTCTGTGAGTTGAACGCACACATCACAAAGGAGTTTCTGAGAATCATTCTGTCTAGTTTTTATACGAAGATATTTACTTTTCTACCATTGACCTCAAAGCGGCTGAAATCTCCACTTGCAAATTCCACAAAAAGAGTGTTTCAAGTCTGCTCTGTGTAAAGGATCGTTGAACTCTGTGAGTTGAATACACACAACACAAGGAAATTACTGAGAATTCTTCTGTCTAGCACAGTATGAAGAAATCCCGTTTCCAACGAAGGCCTCAAAGAGGTCTGAATATCCACTTGCAGAGTTTACAAACAGAGTGTTTCCTAACTGCTCTATGAAAAGAAATGTTAAACTCTGTGAGTTGAACGCACACATCACAAAGAAGTTTCTGAGAATCATTCTGTCTAGTTTTTATAGGAAGTTATTTCCTTTTCTACCTTTGACTTCAAAGCGGCTGAAATCTCCACTTGCAAATTCCACAAAAAGAGTGTTACAAGTCTGCTCTGTGTAAAGGATCGTTTAACTCTGTGAGTTGAATACACACAACACAAGGAAGTTACTGAGAATACTTCTGTCTAGCCCTACATGAAAAAATCCCGTTTCCAACGAAGGCCTCTAAGTGGTCAAAATTTCCACGTGCAGACTTTACAAACAGAGTGTTTCCAAACCGCTGAATGAAAAGAAAAGTTAAACTCTGAGAGTTGAACGCACACATCACGCAGCAGTTTCTGAGAATGATTCTGTCTAGTTTTTATACGAAGATATTTCCTTTTCTGCCTTTGGCCCCAAAGCGCTTGAAATCACCACTTGCAAATTCCACAAAAACAGTGTTTCAAATCTGCTCTCTCTAAATGAAAGTTCAACTCTGTCAGTTGAATACACACAACACAAGGAAAGTTACTGAGAATTCTTCTGTCTAGCAGAATATGAAGAAATCCCGTTTCCACCGAAGGCCTCAAAGAGGTCTGAATATCCATTTGCAGACTTTACAAACAGAGTGTTTCCTAACTGCTCTATGAAAAGAAAGGTTAAACTCTGTGAGTTGAACGCACACATCACAAAGGAGTTTCTGAGAATCGTTCTGTTTAGTTTTTATACGAAGATATTTCCTTTTCTACCATTGACCTCAAAGCGGCTGAAATCTCCACTTGCAAATTCCACAAAAAGAGTGTTTCAAGTCTGCTCTGTGTAAAGGATCGTTGAACTCTGTGAGTTGAATACACACAACACAAGGTAAGTTACTGAGAATTCTTCTGTCTAGCAGAATATGAAGAAATCCCGTTTCCAACGAAGGCCTCAAAGAGGTCTGCATATCCACTTGCAGACTTTACAAACAGAGTGTTTCCTAACTGCTCTATGAAAAGAAAGGTTAAACTCTGTGAGTTGAACGCACACATCACAAAGGAGTTTCTGAGAATCGTTCTGTCTAGTCTTTATAGGAAGATATTTCCTTTTCTACCTTTGACTTCAAAGCGGCTGAAATCTCCACTTGCAAATTCCACAAAAAGAGTGTTACAAGTCTGCTCAGTGTAAAGGATCGTTCAACTCTGTGAGTTGAATACACACAACACAAGGAAGTTACTGAGAATTCTTCTGTCTAGCCTTACATGAAAAAAAACCCGTTTCCAACGAAGGACCCTAAGAGGTCAATATATCCACTTGCAGACTTTACAAACAGAGTGTTTCCAAACTGCTGAATGAAAAGAAAAGTTAAACTCTCTGAGTTGAAAGCACACATCACACAGCAGTTTCTGAGAATGATTCTGTCTAGTTTTTCTACGAAGATATTTCCTTTTCTACTGTTGACCTCAAAGCGGCTGAAATCTCCACTTGCGAATTCCACAAAAAGAGTGTTTCAAGTCTGCTCTTTGTAAAGGATCGTTCAACTCTGTGAGTTGAATACACACAACATAAGGAAGTTACTGAGAATTATTCTGTCTAGCATAATATGAAGAAATCCCGTTTCCAACGAAGGCCTCAAAGAGGTCTGAATATGCACTTGCAGACTTTACAGAGTGTTTCCTAACTGCTCTATGAAAAGAAAAGTTAAACTCTGTGAGTTGAACGCACACATCACAAAGGAGTTTCTGAGAATCATTCTGTCTAGTTTTTATACGAAGATATTTCCTTTTCTACCATTGACCTCAAAGTGGCTGAAATCTCCACTTGAAAATACCAAAAAAAGTGTGTTTCAAGTCTGCTCTGTGTAAAGGATCGTTCAACTCTCTGAGTTGAATACACACAACACAAGGAAGTTTCTGAGAATTCTTCTGTCTAGCAGAATATGAAGAAATCCCGTTTCCAACGAATGCCTCAAAGAGGTCTGAATATCCACTTGCAGACTTTACAAACAAAGTGTTTCCTAACTGCTATATGAAAAGTTAAACTCTGTGAGTTGAACGCACACATCACAAAGGATTTTCTGAGAATCATTCTGTCTAGTTTTGAAACGAAGATATTTCCTTTTCTGCCATTGACCTTAAAGCGCTTGAAATCTACACTTGCAAATTGCACAAATAGAGTGTTTCAAATCTGCTCTGTCTAAGGGAACGTTCAACTCTGTGAGTTGAATGCACACAACACAAGGAAGTTACTGGGAATTCTTCTGTCTAGCCTTACATGAAAAAAACCCGTTTCCAACGAAGGCCTCTAAGTGGTCAAAATACCCACGTGCAGACTTTACAAACAGAGTGTTTCCAAACCGCTGAATGAAAAGAAAAGTTAAACTCTGAGAGTTGAACGCACACATCACGCAGCAGTTTCTGAGAATGATTCTGTCTAGTTTCTATAAGAAGATATTTCCTATTCTACCATTGACCTCAAAGCGGCTGAAATCTCCACTTGCAAATTCGACAAAAAGAGTATTTCAAGCCTGCTCTCTGTAAAGGATCCTTCAACTCTGTGAGTTGAATACACACAACACAAGGAAGTTACTGAGAATTATTCTGTCTAGCATAATATGAAGAAATCCCGTTTCCAACGAAGGCCTCAAGGAGGTCTGAATATCCACTTGTAGACTTTACAAACAGAGTGTTTCCTAACTGCTCTATGAAAAGAAAGGTTAAACTCTGTGAGTTGAACGCACACATCACAAAGGAGTTTCTGAGAATCATTCTGTCTAGTCTTTATATGAAGATAGTTTCCTTTTCTACCATTGACCTCAAAGCGGCTGAAATCTCCACTTGCAAATTCCACAAAAAGAGTGTTTCAAGTCTGCTCTGTGTAAAGGATCGTTCAACTCTGTGAGTTGAATACACACAACACAAGGAAAGTTACTGAGAATTCTTCTGTCTAGCAGAATATGAAGAAATCCCGTTTCCAACGATGGCCACAAGATGTCAGAATATCCACTTACAGACTTTACAAACAGAGTGTTTCCTAACTGCTCTATGAGAAGAAAAGTTAAACTCTGTGAGTTGAACACACACATCACAAAGGAGTTTCTGAGAATCATTCTGTCTAGTTTTGAAACGAAGATATTTCCTTTTCTGCCATTGACCTTAAAGCGCTTGAAATCTACACTTGCAAATTGCACAAATAGAGTGTTTCAAATCTGCTGTGTCTAAGGAACGTTCAACTCTGTGAGTTGAATGCACACAACACAAGGAAGTTACTGGGAATTCTTCTGTCTAGCCTTACATGAAAAAATCCCGTTTCCAACGAAGGCCTCTAAGTGGTCAAAATTTCCACGTGCAGACTTTACAAACAGAGTGTTTCCAAACCGCTGAATGAAAAGAAAATTTAAACTCTGAGAGTTGAACGCACACATCACGCAGCAGTTTCTGAGAATGATTCTGTCTAGTTTTGAAACGAAGATATTTCCTTTTCTGCCTTTGCCCTCAAAGCGCTTGAAATCTCCACTTGCAAATTCCACAAAAAGAGTGTTTCAAATCTGCTCTGTGTAAATGAAAGTTCAACTCTGTGAGTTGAACACACACAACACAAGGAAGTTACTGGGAATTCTTCTGTCTAGCAGAATATGAAGAAATCCCGTTTCCAACGAAGGCCTCAAAGAGGTCTGAATATCCACTTGAAGACTATACAAAGAGAGTGTTTCCTAACTGCTCTATGAAAACAAAAGTTAAACTCTGTGAGTTGAACGCACACATCACAAAGGAGTTTCTGAGAATCATTCTGTCTAGTTTTTATATGAAGATATTTTCTTTTCTACCATTGACCTCAAAGCGGCTGCAATCTCCACTTACAAATTCCACAAAAAGAGTGTCTCAAGTCTGCTCTGTGTAAACGATCGTTCAACTCTGTGAGTTGAATACACACAACACAAGGAAGTTTCTGAGAATTCTTCTGTCTAGCAGAATATGAAGAAATCCCGTTTCCAACGAAAGCCTCAAGGAGGTCTGAATATCCACTTGCAGACTTTACAAACAGAGTGTTTCCTAACTGCTCTATGAACAGAAAGGTTAAACTCTGTGAGTTGAACGCACACATCACAAAGGAGTTTCTGAGAATCATTCTGTCTAGTTTTGAAACGAAGATATTTCCTTTTCTGCCATTGAACTTAAAGCGCTTGAAATCTCCATTTGCCAATTGCACAAAAAGAGTGTTTCAAATCTGCTCTGTCTAAGGGAACGTTCAACTCTGTGAGTTGAATGTACACAACACAAGGAAGTTACTGGGAATTCTTCTGTCTAGCCTTACAGGAAAAAAACCCGGTTCCAACGAAGGCCTCTAAGTGGTCAAAATATCCACGTGCAGACTTTACAAACAGAGTGTTTCCAAACTGCTGAATGAAAAGAAAAGTTAAACTCTGAGAGTTGAACGCACACATCGCAGAGCAGTTTCTGAGAATGATTCTGTCTAGTTTTGAAACGAAGATATTTCCTTTTCTGCCTTTGGCCTCAAAGCGCTTGAAATCTCCACTTGCAAATTCCACAAAAAGAGTGTTTCAAATCTGCTCTGGGTAAATGAAAGTTCAACTCTGTGAGTTGAACACACACAACACAAGGAAGTTACTGGGAATTCTTCTGTCTAGCATCATATGAAGAAATCCTGTTTCCAACGAAGGCCTCAAGGAGGTCTGAATATCCACTTGCAGACTTTACAAACAGAGTGTTTCCTAACTGCTCTATGAAAAGAAAGCTTAAACTCTGTGAGTTGAACGCACACATCACAAGGGAGTTTCTGAGAATCATTCTGTCTAGTTTCTATAAGAAGATATTTCCTATTCTACCATTGACCTCAAAGCGGCTGAAATCTCCACTTGCAAATTCGACAAAAAGAGTGTTTCAAGCCTGCTCTCTGTAAAGGATCCTTCAACTCTGTGAGTTGAATACACACAACACAAGGAAGTTTCTGAGAATTATTCTGTCTAGCATAATATGAAGAAATCCCGTTTCCAACGAAGGCCTCAAAGAGGTCTGAATATCCACTTGCAGACTTTACAAACAGAGTGTTTCCTACCTGCTCTATGAGAAGAAAAGTTAAACTCTGTGAGTTGAACGCACACATCACAAAAGATTTTCTGAGAATCATTCTGTCTAGTTTTGAAACGAAGAATATTTCCTTTTCTGCCATTGACCTTAAAGCGCTTGAAATCTCCATTTGCCAATTGCACAAAAAGAGTGTTTCAAATCTGCTCTGTCTAAGGGAACGTTCAACTCTGTGAGTTGAATGTACACAACACAAGGAAGTTACTGGGAATTCTTCTGTCTAGCCTTACATGCAAAAAACCCGTTTCCAACGAAGGCCTCTAAGTGGTCAAAATATCCACGTGCAGACTTTACAAACAGAGTGTTTCCAAACCGCTGAATGAAAAGAAAAGTTAAACTCTGAGAGTTGAACGCACACATCACGCAGCAGTTTCTGAGAATGATTCTGTCTAGTTTTTATACGAAGATATTTCCTTTTCTGCCTTTGGCCTCAAAGCGCTTGAAACCTCCATTTGCAAATTCCACAAAAAGAGTGTTTCAAATCTGCTCTGTGTAAATGAAAGTTCAACTCTGTGAGTTGAACACACACAACACAAGGGAAGTTACTGGGAATTCTTCTTTCTAACAGAATATGAAGAAATCCCGTTTCCAACGAAAGCCTCAAGGATGTCTGAATATCCACTTGCAGACTTTACAAACAGAGTGTTTCCTAACTACTCTATGAAAAGAAAGGTTAAACTCTGTGAGTTGAACGCACACATCACAAAGGAGTTTCTGAGAATCATTCTGTCTAGTTTCTATAGGAAGATATTTCCTATTCTACCATTGACCTCAAAGCGGCTGAAATCTCCACTAGCAAATTCCACAAAAAGAATGTTTCAAGTCTGCTCTGTGTAAAGGATCGTTCAACTCTGTGAGTTGAATACACACAACACAAGGAAGTTACTGAGAATTATTCTGTCTAGCATAATATGAAGAAATCCCGTTTCCAACGAAGGCCTCAAGGAGGTCTGAATATCCACTTGCAGACTTTACAAACAGAGTGTTTCCCAACTGCTCTATTAAAAGAAAGGTTGAACTCTGTGAGTTGAACGCACACATCACAAAGGAGTTTCTGAGAATCATTCTGTCTAGTTTTGAAACGAAGAATTTCCTTTTCTGCCGTTGACCTTAAAGCGCTTGAAAACTACACTTGCAAATTGCACAAATAGAGTGTTTCAAATCTGCTCTGTCTAAGGGAACGTTCAACTCTGTGAGTTGAATGCACACAACACAAGGAAGTTACTGGGAATTCTTCTGTCTAGCCTTACAGGAAAAAAACCCGTTTCCAATGAAGGCCTCTAAGTGGTCAAAATATCCACGTGCAGACTTTACAAACAGAGTGTTTCCAAACTGCTGAATGAAAAGAAAAGTTAAACTCTGAGAGTTGAACGCACACATCGCAGAGCAGTTTCTGAGAATGATTCTGTCTAGTTTTGAAACGAAGATATTTCCTTTTCTGCCTTTGGCCTCAAAGCGCTTGAAATCTCCACTTGCAAATTCCACAAAAAGAGTGTTTCAAGTCTGCTCTGTGTAAATGAAAGTTCAACTCTGTGAGTTGAACACACACAACACAAGGAAGTTACTGGGAATTCTTCTTTCTAGCAGAATATGAAGAAATCCCGTTTCCAACGAAAGCCTCAAGGAGGTCTGAATATCCACTTGCAGACTTTACAAACAGAGTGTTTCCCAACTGCGCTATGAAAAGAAAGGTTAAACTCTGTGAGTTGAACGCACACATCACAAAGGAGTTTCTGAGAATCATTCTGTCTAGTTTTTCTACGAAGATATTTCCTTTTCTACTATTGACCTGAAAGCGGCTGAAATCTCCACTTGCAAATTCCACAAAAAGAGTGTTTCAAGTCTACTCTGTGTAAAGGATCGTTCAACTCTGTGAGTTGAATACACACAACACAAGGAAGTTACTGAGAATTCTTCTGTCTAGGAGAATATGAAGAAATCCCTTTTCCAACGAAGGCCAAAAAATGTCAGAATATCCACTTACAGACTTTACAAACAGAGTGTTTCCTAACTGCTCTATGAACAGAAAGGTTAAACTCTGTGAGTTGAACGAACACATCACAACGCAGTTTGTGGGAATGATTCTGTCTAGTTTTGAAACGAAGATATTTCCTTTTCTGCCATTGACCTTAAAGCGCTTGAAATCTACACTTGCAAATTGCACAAATAGAGTGTTTCAAATCTGCTCTGTCTAAGGGAACGTTCAACTCTGTGAGTGGAATGCACACAACAGAAGGAAGTTACTGGGAATTCTTCTGTCTAGCCTTACATGAAAAAAACCCGTTTCCAACGAAGGCCTCTAAGTGGTCAAAATATCCACGTGCAGACTTTACAAACAGAGTGTTTCCAAACCGCTGAATGAAAAGAAAAGTTAAACTCTGAGAGTTGAACGCACACATCACGCAGCAGATTCTGAGAATGATTCTGTCTAGTTTTTATACGAAGATATTTCCTTTTCTGCCTTTGGCCCCAAAGCGCTTGAAATCTCCACTTGCAAATTCCACAAAAACAGTGTTTCAAACCTGCTCTCTCTAAATGAAAGTTCAACTCTGTCAGTTGAATACACACAACACAAGGAAGTTACTGAGAATTCTTCTGTCTAGCCTTATATGAAAAAAACCCGTTTCCAACGAAGGCCTCAAAGAGGTCTGAATATCCACTTGCAGACTTTACAAACAGAGTGTTTCCTAACTGCTCTATGAAAAGAAAGGTTAAACTCTGTGAGTTGCACGCACACATCACAAAGGCGTTTCTGAGAATCATTCTGTCTAGTTTTTCTACGAAGATATTTCCTTTTCCACTATTGACCTCAAAGCGGCTGAAATCTCCACTTGGAAATTCTACAAAAAGAGTGTTTCAAGTCTGCTCTGTGTAAAGGATCGTTCAACTCTGTGAGTTGAATACACACAACACAAGGAAGTTACTGAGAATTCTTCTGTGTAGCAGAACATGAAGAAATCCCGTTTCCAACGAAGGCCTCAAAGAGGTCTGAATATCCACTTGCAGACTTTACAAACAGAGTGTTTCCTAACTGCTCTATGAAAAGAAAGGTTAAACTCTGTGAGTTGAACGCACACATCACAAAGGAGTTTCTGAGAATCATTCTGTCTAGTTTCTATAGGAAGATATTTCCTATTCTACCATTGACCACAAAGCGGCTGAAATCTCCACTTGCAAATTCCACAAAAAGAGTGTTTCAAGTCTGCTCTCTGTAAAGGATCGTTCAACTCTGTGAGTTGAATACACACAACACAAGGAAGTTACTGAGAATTCTTCTGTCTAGCCTTACAGGAAAGAAACCCGTTTCCAACGAAGGCCTCTAAGTGGTCAAAATATCCACGTGCAGACTTTACAAACAGAGTGTTTCCAAACTGCTGAATGAAAAGCAAAGTTAAACTCTGAGAGTTGAACGCACAAATCGCAGAGCAGTTTCTGAGAATGATTCTGTCTAGTTTTTATACGAAGATATTTCCTTTTCTGTCTTTGGCCTCAAAGCGCTTGAAATCTCCACTTGCAAATTCCACAAAAAGAGTGTTTCCAATCTGCTCTGTGTAAATGAAAGTTCAACTCTGTGAGTTGAACACACACAACACAAGGAAGTTACTGGGAATTCTTCTGTCTAGCCTTATATGAAAAAAAACTGTTTCCAACGAAGGCCTCAAAGAGGTCTGAATATCCACTTGCAGACTTTACAAACAGAGTGTTTCCTAACTGCTCTATGAAAAGAAAGGTTAAACTCTGTGAGTTGAACACACACATCACAAAGGAGTTTCTGAGAATCATTCTGTCTAGTCTTTATACGAAGATATTTCCTTTTCTACCATTGACCTCAAAGCGGCTGAAATCTCCACTTGCAAATTCCACAAAAAGAGTGTTTCAAGTCTGGTCTGTGTAAAGGATCGTTCAACTCTGTGAGTTGAATACACACAACACAAGGAAGTTACTGAGAATTCTTCTGTCTAGCAGAATATGAAGAAATCCCGTTTCCACCGAAGGCCTCAAGGAGGTCTGAATATCCACTTGCAGACTTTACAAACAGAGTGTTTCCTAACTGCTCTATGAACAGAAAGGTTAAACTCTGTGAGTTGAACGAACACATCACAACGCAGTTTGTGGGAATGATTCTGTCTAGTTTTGAAACCAAGATATTTCCTTTTCTGCCGTTGACCTTAAAGAGCTTGAAAACTACACTTGCAAATTGCACAAATAGAGTGTTTCAAATCTGCTCTGTCTAAGGGAACGTTCAACTCTGTGAGTTGAATGCACACAACACAAGGAAGTTACTGGGAATTCTTCTGTCTAGCCTTACATGAAAAAAACCCGTTTCCAACGAAGACCTCTAAGTGGTCAAATTATCCACATGCAGACTTTACAAACAGAGTGTTTCCAAACTGCTGAATGAAAAGAAAAGTTAAACTCTGAGAGTTGAACGCACACATCGCAGAGCAGTTTCTGAGAATGATTCTGTCTAGTTTTTATACGAAGATATTTCCTTTTCTGCCTCTGGCCTCAAAGCGCTTGAAATCTCCATTTGCAAATTCCACAAAAAGAGTGTTTCAAATCTGCTCTGTGTAAATGAAAGTTCAACTCTGTGAGTTGAACACACACAACACATGGAAGTTACTGGGAATTCTTCTGTCTAGCAGAATAGGAAGAAATCCCGTTACAACGAAGGCCTCAAAGAGGTCTGAATATCCACTTGCAGACTTTACAAACAGAGTGTTTCCTAACTGCTCTATGAAAAGAAAGGTTAAACTCTGTGAGTTGAACGCACACATCACAAAGGAGTTTCTGAGAATCGTTCTGTCTAGTTTCTATAGGAAGATATTTCCTATTCTACCATTGACCTCAAAGCGGCTGAAATCTCCACTTGCAAATTCCACAAAAAGAGTGTTTCAAGTCTGCTCTGTGTAAAGGATCGTTCAACTCTGTGAGTTGAAAACACACAACACAAGGAAGTTTCTGAGAATTCTTCTGTCTAGCAGAATATGAAGAAATCCCGTTTCCAACGAAGGCCACAAGATGTCAGAATATCCACTTACAGAATTTACAAACAGACTCTTTCCTAACTGCTCTATGAAAAGAAAGGTTAAACTCTGTGAGTTGAACGAACACATCACAACGCAGTTTGTGGGAATGATTCTGTCCAGTTTTGAAACGAAGATATTTCCTTTTCTGCCATTGACCTTAAAGCGCTTGAAATCTCCACTTGCCAATTGCACAAAAAGAGTGTTTCAAATCTGCTCTGTCTAAGGGAACGTTCAACTCTGTGAGTTGAATGTACACAACACAAGGAATTTACTGGGAATTCTTCTGTCGAGCCTTACATGAAAAAAACCCGTTTCCAACGAAGGCCTCTAAGTGGTCAAAATATCCACGTGCAGACTTTACAAACAGAGTGTTTCCAAACCGCTGAATGAAAAGAAAAGTTAAACTCTGAGAGTTGAACGCACACATCACGCAGCAGTTTCTGAGAATGATTCTGTCTAGTTTCTATAGGAAGATATTTCCTATTCTACCATTGACCTCAAAGCGGCTGAAATCTCCACTTCCAAATTCCACAAAAAGAATGTTTCAAGTCTGCTCTGTGTAAAGGATCGTTCAACTCTGTGAGTTGAATACACACAACACAAGGAAGTTACTAAGAATTCTTCTTTGTAGCAGAATATGAAGAAATCCCGCTTCCAACGAAGGCCTCAAGGATGTCTGAATATCCACTTGCAGACTTTACAGAGTGTTTCCTAACTGGTCTATGAAAAGAAAGGTTAAACTCTGTGAGTTGAACGCACACATCACAAAGGAGTTTCTGAGAATCATTCTGTCTAGTCTTTATATGAAGATAGTTTCCTTTTCTACCATTGACCTCAAAGCGGCTGAAATCTCCAATTGCAAATTCCACAAAAAGAGTGTTTCAAGTCTGCTCTGTGTAAAGGATCGTTCAACTCTGTGAGTTGCATACACACAACACAAGGAAGTTACTGAGAATTCTTCTGTCTAGCAGAATATGAAGAAATCCCGTTTCCAACGAAGGCCACAAGATGTCTGAATATCCACTTACAGACTTTACAAACAGAGTGTTTCCTAACTGCTCTATGAACAGAAAGGTTAAACTCTGTGAGTTGAACGAACACATCACAACGCAGTTTGTGGGAATGATTCTGTCTAGTTTTGAAACGAAGATATTTCCTTTTCTGCCATTGACCTTAAAGCGCTTGAAATCTCCATTTGCCAATTGCACAAAAAGAGTGTTTCAAATCTGCTCTGTCTAAGGGAACGTTCAACTCTGTGAGTTGAATGTACACAACACAAGGAAGTTACTGGGAATTCTTCTGTCTAGCCTTACAGGAAAAAAACCCGTTTCCAACGAAGGCCTATAAGTGGTCAAAATATCCACGTGCAGACTTTACAAACAGAGTGTTTCCACACTGCTGAATGAAAAGAAAAGTTAAACTCTGAGAGTTGAACGCACACATCGCAGAGCAGTTTCTGAGAATGATTCTGTCTAGTTTTTATACGAAGATATTTCCTTTTCTGCCTTTGGCCTCACAGCGCTTGAAATCTCCACTTGCAAATTCCACAAAAAGAGTGTTTCAAATCTGCTCTGTGTAAATGAAAGTTCAACTGCTGTGAGTTGAACACACACAACACAAGGAAGTTACTGGGAATTCTTCTGTCTAGCATAATATGAAGAAATCCCGTTTCCAACGAAGGCCTCAAAGGGGTCTGAATATCCACTTGCAGACTTTACAAACAGAGTGTTTCCTAACTGCTCTATGAAAAGAAAAGTTAAACTCTTTGAGTTGAACGCACACATCACAATGGAGTTTCTGAGAATCATTCTGTCTAGTTTCTATAGGAACATATTTCCTATTCTACCATTGACCTCAAAGCGGCTGAAATCTCCACTTGCAAATTCCACAAAAAGAATGTTTCAAGTCTGCTCTTTGTAAAGGATCGTTCAACTCTGTGAGTTGAATACACACAACACAAGGAAGTTACTGAGAATTCTTCTGTCTAGCAGAATATGGAGAAATCCCGTTTCCAACGAAGGCCTCTAGGAGGTCTGAATATCCACTTGCAGACTTTACAAACAGAGTGTTTCCTAACTGCTCTATGAACAGAAAGGTTAAACTCTGTGAGTTGAACGAACACATCACAACGCAGTTTGTGGGAATGATTCTGTCTAGTTTTGAAACGAAGATATTTCCTTTTCTGCCATTGACCTTAAAGCGCTTGAAATCTCCACTTGCCAATTGCACAAAAAGAGTGTTTCAAATCTGCTCTGTCTAAGGGAACGTTCAACTCTGTGAGTTGAATGTACACAACACAAGGAAGTTACTGGGAATTCTTCTGTCTAGCCTTACAGGAAAAAAACCCGTTTCCAACGAAGGCCTCTAAGTGGTCAAATTATCCACGTGCAGACTTTAGAAACAGAGTGTTTCCAAACTGCTGAATGAAAAGAAAAGTTAAACTCTGAGAGTTGAACGCACACATCGCAGAGCAGTTTCTGAGAATGATTCTGTCTAGTTTTTATACGAAGATATTTCCTTTTCTGCCTTTGGCCTCAAAGCCCTTGAAATCTCCACTTGCAAATTCCACAAAAAGAGTGTTTCAAATCTGCTCTGTGTAAATGAAAGTTCAACTCTGTGAGTTGAACACACACAACACAAGGAAGTTACTGGGAATTCTTCTGTGTAGCCTTATATGAAAAAAACCCGTTTCCAACGAAGGCCTCAAAGAGGTCTGAATATCCACTTGCAGACTTTACAAGCAGAGTGTTTCCTAACTGCTCTATGAAAAGAAAGGTTAAACTCTGTGAGTTGAACGCACACATCACAAAGGAGTTTCTGAGAATCATTCTGTCTAGTCTTTATACGAAGATATTTACTTTTCTACCATTGACCTCAAAGCGGCTGAAATCTCCACTTGCAAATTCCACAAGAAGAGTGTTTCAAGTCTGCTCTGTGTAAAGGATCGTTCAACTCTGTGAGTTGAATACACACAACACAAGGAAGTTACTGAGAATTCTTCTGTCTAGCAGAATATGAAGAAATCCCGTTTCCAACGAAGGCCACAAGATGTCAGAATATCCACTTACAGACTTTACAAACAGAGTGTTTCCTAACTGCTCTATGAACAGAAAGGTTAAACTCTGTGAGTTGAACGAACACATCACAACGCAGTTTGTGGGAATGATTTCTGTCTAGTTTTGAAACGAAGATATTTCCTTTTCTGCCATTGACCTTAAATCGCTTGAAATCTACACTTGCAAATTGCACAAATAGAGTGATTCAAATCTGCTCTGTCTAAGGGAACGTTCAACTCTGTGAGTTGAATGCACACAACACAAGGAAGTTACTGGGAATTCTTCTGTCTACCCTTACATGAAAAAAACCCGTTTCCAACGAAGGCCTCTAAGTGGTCAAAATATCCACGTGCAGACTTTACAAACAGAGTGTTTCCAAACTGCTGAATGAAAAGAAAAGTTAAACTCTGAGAGTTGAACCCACACATCACAGAGGATTTTCTGAGAATGATTCTGTCTAGTTTTTATACGAAGATATTTCGTTTTCTGCCTTTGGCCCCAAAGCGCTTGAAATCTCCACTTGCAAATTCCACAAAAACAGTGTTACAAATCTGCTCTCTCTAAGTGAAAGTTGAACTCTGTCAGTTGAATACACACAACACAAGGAAGTTACTGAGAATTCTTCTTTCTAGCAGAATATGAAGAAATCCCGTTTCAAACGAAGGCCTCAAAGAGGTCTGAATATCAACTTGCAGACTTTACAAACAGAGTGTTTCCCAACTGCTCTATGAAAAGAAAGGTTAAACTGTGTGAGTTGAACGCACACATCACAAAGGAGTTTCTGAGAATCATTCTGTCTAGTTTTTCTACGAAGATATTTCCTTTTCTACTATTGACCTCAAAGCGGCTGAAATCTCCACTTGCAAATTCCACAAAAAGAGTGTTTCAAGTCTGCTCTGTGTAAAGGATCTTTCAACTCTGTGAGTTGAATACACACAACACAAGGAAGTTACTGAGAATTCTTCTGTCTAGCATACTATGAAGAAATCCCGTTTCCAACGAAGGCCTCCAAGAGGTCTGAATATCCACTTGCAGAGTTTACAAACAGAGTGTTTCCTAACTGCTCTATGAAAAGAAAGGTTAAACTCTGTGAGTTGAACGCACACATCACAAAGAAGTTTCTGAGAATCATTCTGTCTAGTTTTGAAACTAAGACATTTCCTTTTCTGCCATTGACCTTAAAGCGCTTGATATCTACACTTGCAAATTGCACAAATAGAGTGTTTCAAATCTGCTCTGTCTAAGGGAACGTTCAACTCTGTGAGTTGAATGCACACAACACAAGGAAGTTACTGGGAATTCTTCTGTCTAGCCTTACATGAAAAAAACCCGTTTCCAACGAAGGCCTCTAAGTGGTCAAATTATCCACGTGCAGACTTTACAAACAGAGTGTTTCCAAACTGCTGAATGAAAAGAAAAGGTAAACTCTGAGAGTTGAACGCACACATCACAGAGCAGTTTCTGAGAATGATTCTGTCTAGTTTTTATACGAAGATATTTCCTTTTCTACCATTGACCTCAAAGCGGCTGAAATCTCCACTTGCAAATTCCACAAAAAGAGTGTTTCAAGTCTGCTCTGTGTAAAGGATAGTTCAACTCTGTGAGTTGAATACACACAACACAAGGAAGTTACTGAGAATTCTTCTGTCTAGCAGAATATGAAGAAATCCCGTTTCCAACGAAGGCCTAAAGGAGGTCTGAATATCCACTTGCAGACTTTACAAACAGAGTGTTTCCTAACTGCTCTATGAACAGAAAGGTTAAACTCTGTGAGTTGAACGCACACATCACAAAGGAGTTTCTAAGAATCATTCTGTCTAGTCTTTATACGAAGATATTTCCTTTTCTACCATTGACCTCAAAGCGGCTGAAATCTCCACTTGCAAATTCCACAAAAAGAGTGTTTCAAGTCTGCTCTGTGTAAAAGATCGTTCAACTCTGTGAGTTGAATACACACAACACAAGGAAGTTACTGAGAATTCTTCTGTCTAGCAGAATATGAAGAAATCCCGTTTCCAACGAAGGCCACAAGATGTCAGAATATCCACTTACAGAATTGACAAACAGACTGTTTCCTAACTGCTCTATGAAAAGAAAGGTTAAACTCTGTGAGTTCAACGAACACATCACAACGCAGTTTGTGGGAATGATTCTGTCTAGTTTTGAAACGAAGATATTTCCTTTTCTGCCATTGACCTTAAAGCGCTTGAAATCTACACTTGCAAATTGCACAAATAGAGTGTTTCAAATCTGCTCTGTCTAAGGGAACGTTCAACTCTGTGAGTTGAATGCACACAACACAAGGAAGTTACTGGGAATTACTTCTGTCTAGCAGAATATGAAGAAATCCCGTTTCCAACGAAAGCCTCCAAGAGGTCTGAATATCCACTTGCAGACTTTACAAACAGAGTGTTTCCAAACCGCTGAATGAAAAGAAACTTTAAACTCTGAGAGTTGAACGCACACATCACGCAGCAGTTTCTGAGAATGATTCTGTCTAGTTTTTATACGAAGATATATCCTTTTCTGCCTTTGGCCCCAAAGCGCTTGAAATCTCCACTTGCAAATTCCACAAAAACAGTGTTTCAAATCTGCTCTCTCTAAATGAAAGTTCAACTCTGTCAGTTGAATACACACAACACAAGGAAGTTACTGAGAATTCTTCTGTCTAGCAGAATATGAAGAAATCCCGTTTCCAACGAAGGCCTCAACGAGGTCTGAATATCCACTTGCAGACTTTACAGGCAGAGTGTTTCCTAACTGCTCTATGAAAAGAAAGGTTAAACTCTGTGAGTTGAACACACACATCACAAAGAAGTTTCTGAGAATCATTCTGTCTAGTTTTTATACGAAGAGATTTCCTTTTCTACCGTTGACCTCAAAGCGGCTGAAATCTCCACTTGCAAATTCCACAAAAAGAGTGTTACAAGTCTGCTCTGTGTAAAGGATCGTTCAACTCTGTGAGTTGAATACACACAACACAAGGAAGTTACTGAGAATTCTTCTGTCTAGCAGAATATGAAGAAATCCCGTTTCCAACGAAGGCCACAAAATGTCAGAATATCCACTTACAGAATTTACAAACAGACTGTTTCCTAACTGCTCTATGAAAAGAAAGGTTAAACTCTGTGAGTTGAACGAACACATCACAACGCAGTTTGTGGGAATGATTCTGTCTAGTTTTGAAACGAAGATATTTCCTTTTCTGCCATTGACATTAAAGCGCTTGAAATCTCCATTTGCCAATTGCACAAAAAGAGTGTTTCAAATCTGCTCTGTCTAAGGGAACTTTCAACTCTGTGAGTTGAATGTACACAACACAAGGAAGTTACTGGGAATTCTTCTGTCTAGCCTTCCATGAAAAAAACCCGTTTCCAACGAAGGTCTCTAAGTGGTCAAATTATCCACGTGCAGACTTTACAAACAGAGTGTTTCCAAACTGCTGAATGAAAAGAAAAGTTAAACTCTGAGAGTTGAACGCACACATCGCAGAGCAGTTTCTGAGAATGATTCTGTCTAGTTTTTATACGAAGATATTTCCTTTTCTGCCTTTGGCCCCAAGGCGCTTGAAATCTCCACTTGCAAATTCCACAAAAACAGTGTTTCAAATCTGCTCTCTCTAAATGAAAGTTCAACTCTGTCAGTTGAATACACACAACACAAGGAAGTTACTGAGAATTCTTCTGTCTAGCATAATATGAAGAAATCCCGTTTCCAACGAAGGCCTCAAAGGGGTCTGAATATCCACTTGCAGACTTTATAAACAGAGTGTTTCCTAACTGCTCTATGAAAAGAAAGGTTAAACTCTGTGAGTTGAACGCACACATCACAAAGGAGTTTTTGAGAATCGTTCTGTCTAGTTTCTATAGGAAGATATTTCCTATTCTACCATTGAACTCAAAGCGGCTGAAATCTCCACTTGCAAATTCCACAAAAAGAGTGTTTCAAGTCTGCTCTGTGTAAAGGATCGTTCAACTCTGTGAGTTGAATACACACAACACAAGGAAGTTACTGACAATTCTTCTGTCTAGCAGAATATGAAGAAATCCCGTTTCCAACGAAGGCCACAAGATGTCAGAATATCCACTTTCAGACTTTACAAACAGAGTGTTTCCTAACTGCTCTATGAACAGAAAGGTTAAACTCTGTGAGTTGAACGAACACATCACAACGCAGTTTGTGGGAATGATTCTGTCTAGTTTTGAAACGAAGATATTTCCTTTTCTGCCATTGAACTTAAAGCGCTTGAAATCTCCATTTGCCAATTGCACAAAAAGAGTGTTTCAAATCTGCTCTGTCTAAGGGAACGTTCAACTCTGTGAGTTGAATGTACACAACACAAGGAAGTTACTGGGAATTCTTCTGTCTAGCCTTACATGAAAAAAACCCGTTTCCAACGAAGGCCTCTAAGTGGTCAAAATATCCACGTGCAGACTTACAAAAAGAGTGTTTCCAAACCGCTGAATGAAAAGAAAAGTTAAACTCTGAGAGTTGAACGCACACATCACGCAGCAGTTTCTGAGAATGATTCTGTCTAGTTTCTATAGGAAGATATTTCCTATTCTACCATTGACCTCAAAGCGGCTGAAATCTCCACTTGCAAATTCCACAAAAAGAGTGTTTCAAGTCTGCTCTGTGTATAGGATCGTTCAACTCTGTGAGTTGAATACACACAACACAAGGAAGTTACTGAGAATTCTTCTGTCTAGCCTTACATGAAAAAAACCCGTTTCCAACGAAGGCCTCAAAGAAGTCCAAATATCCACATGCATACTTTACAAACAGAGTGTTTCCTAACTGCTCTATGAAAAGAATGGTTAAACTCTGTGAGTTGAACGCCCACATCACAAAGGAGTTTCTGAGAATCATTCTGTCTAGTTTCTATAGGATGATATTTCCTATTCTACCATTGACCTCAAAGCGGCTGAAATCTCCACTTGCAAATTCCACAAAAAGAGTGTTTCAAGTCTGCTCTGTGTAAAGGATCGTTCAACTCTGTGAGTTGAATACACACAACACAAGGAAGTTACTGAGAATTCTTCTGTCTAGCAGAATATGAAGAAATCCCGTTTCCAACGAAGGCCACAAGTATGTCAGAATATCCACTTACAGAATTTACAAACAGACTGTTTCCTAACTGCTCTATGAAAAGAAAGGTTAAAGTCTGTGAGTTGAACGAACACATCACAACGCAGTTTGTGGGAATGATTCTGTCTAGTTTTGAAACGAAGATATTTCCTTTTCTGCCATTGACCTTAAAGCGCTTGAAATCTCCACTTGCCAATTGCACAAAAAGAGTGTTTCAAATCTGCTCTGTCTAAGGGAACGTTCAACTCTGTGAGTTGAACCGTACACAACACAAGGAAGTTACTGGGAATTCTTCTGTCTAGCCTTACAGGAAAGAAACCCGTTTCCAACGAAGGCCTCTAAGTGGTCAAAATATCCACGTGAAGACTTTACAAACAGAGTGTTTCCAAACTGCTGAATGAAAAGCAAAGTTAAACTCTGAGAGTTGAACGCACACATCGCAGAGCAGTTTCTGAGAATGATTCTGTCTAGTTTTTATACCGAAGATATTTCCTTTTCTGCCTTTGGCCTCAAAGCGCTTGAAATCTCCAATTGCAAATTCCACAAAAAGAGTGTTTCAAATCTGCTCTGTGTAAATGAAAGTTCAACTCTGTGAGTTGAACACACACAACACAAGGAAGTTACTGGGAATTCTTCTGTCTAGCAGAATATGAAGAAATCCCGTTTCCAACGAAGGCCTCAAAGAGGTCTGAATATCCACTTGCAGACTTCACAAACAGAGTGTTTCCTAACTGCTCTATGAAAAGAAAGGATAAACTCTGTGAGTTGAACGCACACATCACAAAGGAGTTTCTCAGAATCATTCTGTCTAGTTTTTATAGGAAGATATTTCCTTTTCTACCTTTGACTTCAAAGCGGCTGAAATCTCCACTTGCAAATTCCACAAAAAGAGTGTTCCAAGTCTGCTCTGTGTAAAGGATCGTTCAACTCTGTGAGTTGAATACACACAACACAAGGAAGTTACTGAGAATTCTTCTGTCTAGCCTTACATGAAAAAAACCCGTTTCCAACGAAGGCCTCTAAGTGGTCAAATTATCCACGTGCAGACTTTACAAACAGAGTGTTTCCAAACTGCTGAATGAAAAGCAAAGTTAAACTCTGAGAGTTGAACGCACACATCGCAGAGCAGTTTCTGAGAATGATTTCTGTCTAGTTTTGAAACGAAGAAATTTCCTTTTCTGCCATTGACCTTAAAGCGCTTGAAATCTACACTTGCAAATTGCACAAATAGAGTGTTTCAAATCTGCTCTGTCTAAGTGAACGTTCAACTCTGTGAGTTGAATGCACACAACACAAGGAAGTTACTGGGAATTCTTCTGTCTAGCCTTACATGAAGAAAACCCGTTTCCAAAGAAGGCTTCTAAGTGGTCAAAATATCCACGTGCAGACTTTACAAACAGAGTGTTTCCAAACCGCTGAATGAAAAGAAAAGTTAAACTCTGAGAGTTGAACGCACACATCACGCAGCAGATTCTGAGAATGATTCTGTCTAGTTTCTATAATAAGATATTTCCTATTCTACCATTGACCTCAAAGCGGCTGAAATCTCCACTTGCAAATTCGACAAAAAGAGTGTTTCAAGGCTGCTCTCTGTAAAGGATCCTTCAACTCTGTGAGTTGAATACACACAACACAAGGAAGTTACTGAGAATTCTTCTGTCTAGCAGAATATGAAGAAATCCCGTTTCCAACGAAGGCCTCAAAGGGGTCTGAATATCCACTTGCAGACTTTATAAACAGAGTGTTTACTAACTGCTCTATGAAAAGAAAGGTTAAACTCTGTGAGTTGAACACACACATCACAAAGGAGTTTCTGAGAATCATTCTGTCTAGTTTCTATAGGAAGATATTTCCTATTCTTCCATTGACCTCAAAGCGGCTGAAATCTCCACTTGCAAATTCCACAAAAAGAGTGTTTCAAGTCTGCTCTGTGTAAAGGATCGTTCAACTCTGTGAGTTGAATACACACAACACAAGGAAGTTACTGAGAATTCTTCTTTCTAGCAGAATATGAAGAAATCCCGTTTCCAACGAAAGCCTCAAGGATGTCTGAATATCCACTTGCAGACTTTACAAACAGTGTGTTTCCTAACTGCTCTATGAAAAGAAAGGTTCAACTCTGTGAGTTGAACGCACACATCACAAAGGAGGTTCTGAGAATCATTCTGTCTAGTTTTGAAACGAAGATATTTCCTTTTCTGCCGTTAACCTTAAAGCGCTTGAAATCTACACTTGCAAATTGCACAAATAGAGTGTTCCAAATCTGCTGTGTCTAAGGGAACGTTCAACTCTGTGAGTTGAATGCACACAACACAAGGAAGTTACTGGGAATTCTTCTGTCTACCCTTACATGAAAAAAACCCGTTTCCAACGAAGGCCTCTAAGTGGTCAAAATATCCACGTGCAGACTTTACAAACAGAGTGTTTCCAAACTGCTGAATGAAAAGAAAAGTTAAACTCTGAGAGTTGAACGCACACATCACAGAGCATTTTCTGAGAATGATTCTGTCTAGTTTTGAAACGAAGATATTTCCTTTTCTGCCTTTGGCCTCAAAGCGCTTGACATCTCCAGTTGCAAATTCCACAAAAAGAGTGTTTCAAATCTGCTCTGTGTAAATGAAAGTTCAACTCTGTGAGTTGAACACACACAACACAAGGAAGTTACTGGGAATTCTTCTGTCTAGCAGAATATGAAGAAATCCCGTTTCCAACGAAGGCCTCAAAGAGGTCTGAATATCCACTTGCAGACTTTACAAACAGAGTGTTTCCTAACTGCTCTATGAAAAGAAAGGTTAATCTCTGTGAGTTGAACGCACACATCACAAAGGAGTTTCTGAGAATCATTCTGTCTAGTTTTTATACGAAGATATTTCCTTTTCTACCATTGACCTCAAAGCGGGTGAAATCTCCACTTGCAAATTCCACAAAAAGAGTGTTTCAAATCTTCTCTGTGTAAACCATCGTTCAACTCTGTGAGTTGAATACACACAACACAAGGAAGATTGTGAGAATTCTTCTGTCTAGTAGAATATGGAGAAATCCAGTTTCCAACGAAGGCCACAAGATGTCAGAATATCCACTTACAGACTGTACAAACAGAGTGTTTCCTAACTGCTCTATGAACAGAAAGGTTAAACTCTGTGAGTTGAACGAACACATCACAACGCAGTTTGTGGGAATGATTCTGTCTAGTTTTGAAACGAAGATATTTCCTTTTCTGCCGTTGACCTTAAAGCGCTTGAAATCTACACTTGCAAATTGGACAAATAGAGTGTTTCAAATCTGCTCTGTCTAAGGGAACGTTCAACTCTGTGAGTTGAATGCACACAACACAAGGAAGTTACTGGGAATTCTTCTGTCTAGCCTTACATGAAAAAAACCCGTTTCCAACGAAGGCCTCTAAGTGGTCAAAATTTCCACGTGCAGACTTTACAAACAGCGTGTTTCCAAACCGCTGAATGAAAAGAAAAGTTAAACTCTGAGAGTTGAACGCACACATCACGCAGCAGTTTCTGAGAATGATTCTGTCTAGTCTTTATACGAAGATAGTTTCCTTTTCTACCATTGACCTCAAAGCGGCTGAAATCTCCACTTGCAAATTCCACAAAAAGAGTGTTTCAAGTCTGCTCTGTGTAAAGGATCGTTCAACTCTGTGAGTTGAATACACACAACACAAGGAAGTTACTGAGAATTGTTCTGTCTAGCATAATATGAAGAAATCCCGTTTCCAACGAAGGCCTCAAAGAGGTCTGAATATCCACTTGCAGACTTTACAAACAGAGTTTTTCCTAACTGCTCTATGAAAAGAAACGTTAAACTCTGTGAGTTGAACGCACACATCACAAAGGAGTTTATGAGAATCATTCTGTCTAGTTTCTATAGGAAGATATTTCCTATTCTACCATTGACCTCAAAGCGGCTGAAATCTCCACTTGCAAATTCCACAAAAAGAGTGTTTCAAGTCTGCTCTGTGTAAAGGATCGTTCAACTCTGTGAGTTGAATACACACAACACAAGGAAGTTACTGAGATTTCTTCCGTCTAGCAGAATATGAAGAAATCCCGTTTCCAACGAAGGCCACAAGGAGGTCTGAATATCCACTTGCAGACTTTACAAACAGAGTGTTTCCTAACTGCTCTATGAAAAGAAAAGTTAAACTCTGTGAGTTGAACGCACACATCACAAAAGAGTTTCTGAGAATCATTCTGTCTAGTTTTGAAACGAAGATATTTCCTTTTCTGCCATTGACCTTAAAGCGCTTGAAATCTCCATTTGCCAATTGCACAAAAAGAGTGTTTCAAATCTGCTCTGTCTAAGGGAACGTTCAACTCTGTGAGTTGAATGTACACAACACAAGGAAGTTACTGGGAATTCTTCTGTCTAGCCTTACAGGAAAAAAACCCGTTTCCAACGAAGGCCTCTAAGTGGTCAAAATATCCACGTGCAGACTTTACAAACAGAGTGTTTCCTAACTGCTCTATGAAAAGAAAGGTTAAACTCTGTGAGTTGAACGCACACATCACAAAGGAGTTTCTGAGAATCATTCTGTCTAGTTTTTATACGAAGATATTTCCTTTTTTGCCTTTGGCCCCAAAGCGCTTGAAATCTCCACTTGCAAATTCCACAAAAACAGTGTTTCAAATCTGCTCTCTCTAAATGAAAGTTCAACTCTGTCAGTTGAATACACAGAACACAAGGAAGTTACTGAGAATTCTTCTGTCTAGCAGAATATGAAGAAATCCCGTTTCCAACGAAGGCCTCAAGGAGGTCTTAATATCCACTTGCAGACTTTACAAACAGAGTGTTTCCTAACTGCTCTATGAAAAGAAAGGTTAAACTCTGTGAGTTGAACGCACACATCACAAAGGAGTTTCTGAGAATCTTTCTGTCTAGTTTTTCTACGAAGATATTTCCTTTTCTACTATTGACCTCAAAGCAGCTGAAATCTCCACTTGCAAATTCTACAAATAGAGTGTTTCAAGTCTGCTCTGTGTAAAGGATCGTTCAACTCTGTGAGTTGAATACACACAACACAAGGAAGTTACTGAGAATTCTTCTGTCTAGCCTTACATGAAAAAAACCTGTTTCCAACGAAGGCCTCTAAGTGGTGAAATTATGTACGTGCAGACTTTACAAACAGAGTGTTTCCAAACTGCTGAATGAAAAGAAAAGTTAAACTCTGAGAGTTGAACGCACACATCGCAGAGCTGTTTCTGAGAATGATTCTGTCTAGTTTTTATACGAAGATATTTCCTCTTCTGCCTTTGGCCTCAAAGCGCTTGAAATCTCCATTTGCAAATTCCACAAAAAGAGTGTTTCAAATCTGCTCTGTGTAAATGAGAGTTCATCTCTGTGAGTTGAACACACACAACACAAGGAAGTTACTGGGAATTCTTCTGTCTAGCAGAACATGAAGAAATCCCGTTTCCAACGAAGGCCTCAAGGATGTCTGAATATCCACTTGCAGACTTTACAAACAGAGTGTTTCCTAACTGCTCTATGAAAAGAAAGGTTAAACTCTGTGAGTTGAACGCAGACATCACAAAGGAGTTTCTGAGAATCATTTCTGTCTATTTTTTATACGAAGATATTTCCTTTTCTACCATTGACCTCAAAGCGGCTGAAATCTCCACTTGCCAATTCCACAAAAAGAGTGTTTCAAGTCTACTCTATGTAAAGGATCGTTGAACTCTGTGAGTTGAAAACACACAACACAAGGAAGTTACTGAGAATTCTTCTGTCTAGCATAATATGAAGAAATCCCGTTTCCAACGAAGGCCTCAAAGAGGTCTGAATATCCACTTGCAGACTTTACAAACAGAGTGTTTCCTAACTGCTCTATGAAAAGAAAGGTTAAACTCTGTGAGTTGAACGCACACATCACAAGGGAGTTTCTGAGAATCATTCTGTCTAGTTTCTATAGGAAGATGTTTCCTATTCTACCATTGACCTCAAAGCGGCTGAAATCTCCACTTGCAAATTCCACAACAAGAGTGTTTCAAGTATGCTCTGTGTAAAGGATCGTTCAACTCTGTGAGTTGAATACACACAACACAAGGAAGTTACTGAGAATTCTTCTGTCTAGCAGAATATGAAGAAATCCCGTTTCCAACGAAGGCCACAAGGATGTCAGAATATCCACTTACAGAATTTTCAAACAGACTGTTTCCTAACTGCTCTATGAAAAGAAAGGTTAAACTCTGTGAGTTGAACGAACACATCACAACGCAGTTTGTGGGAATGATTCTGTCTAGTTTTGAAACGAAGATATTTCCTTTTCTGCCATTGACCTTAAAGCGCTTGAAATCTCCATTTGCCAATTGCACAAAAAGAGTGTTTCAAATCTGCTCTGTCTAAGGGAACGTTCAACTCTGTGAGTTGAATGTACACAACACAAGGAAGTTACTGGGAATTCTTCTGTCTAGCGTTACATGAAAAAAACCCGTTTCCAACGAAGGCCTCTAAGTGGTCAAGTTATCCACGTGCAGACTTTACAAACAGAGTGTTTCCAAACTGCTGAATGAAAAGAAAAGTTAAACTCTGAGAGTTGAACGCACACATCGCAGAGCAGTTTCTGAGAATGATTCTGTCTAGTTTTTATACGAAGATATTTCCTTTTCTACCATTGACCTCAAAGCGGCTGAAATCTCCACTTACAAATTCCACAAAAAGAGTGTCTCTAGTCTGCTCTGTGTAAACGATCGTTCAACTCTGTGAGTTGAATACACACAATAGAAGGAAGTTTCTGAGAATTCTTCTGTATAGCAGAATATGAAGAAATCCCGTTTCCAACGAAGGCCTCAAGGAGGTCTGAATATCCACTTGCAGACTTTACAAACAGAGTGTTTCCTAACTGCTCTATGAAAAGAAAGGTTAAACTCTGTGAGTTGAACGCAGACATCACAAAGGAGTTTCTGAGAAACACTCTGTCTAGTCTTTATACGAAGATATTTCCTTTTCTACCATTGACCTCAAAGCGGCTGAAATCTCCACTTGCAAATTCCACAAAAAGAGTGTTTCAACTCTGCTCTGTGTAAAGGATCGTTCAACTCTGTGAGTTGAATACACACAACACAAGGAAGTTACTGAGAATTCTTCTGTCTAGCAGAATATGAAGAAATCCCGTTTCCACCGAAGGCCTCAAGGTGGTCTGAATATCCACTTGCAGACTTTACAAACAGAGTGTTTCCTAACTGCTCTATGAACAGAAAGGTTAAACTCTGTGAGTTGAACGCACACATCACAAAGGAGTTTCTGAGAATCATTCTGTCTAGTTTTGAAACGAACAATTTCCTTTTCTGCCATTGACCTTAAAGCGCTTGAAATCTCCATTTGCCAATTGCACAAAAAGAGTGTTTCAAATCTGCTCTGTCTAAGGGAACGTTCAACTCTGTGAGTTGAATGTACACAACACAAGGCAAGTTACTGGGAATTCTTCTGTCTAGCCTTACATGAAAAAAACCCGTTTCCAACGAAGGCCTCTAAGTGGTCAAAATGTCCACGTGCAGACTTTACAAACAGAGTGTTTCCAAACCGCTGAATGAAAAGAAAAGTTAAACTCTGAGAGTTGAACGCACACATCACGCAGCAGTTTCTGAGAATGATTCTGTCTAGTTTTTATACGAAGATATTTCCATTTCTGCCTTTGGCCTCAAATCCCTTGAAATCTCCATTTGCAAATTCCAGAAAAAGAGTGTTTCAAATCTGCTCTGTGTAAATGAAAGTTCAACTCTGTGAGTTGAACACACACAACACAAGGAAGTTACTGGGAATTCTTCTGTCTAGCCTTATATGAAAAAAACCCGTTTCCAACGAAGGCCTCAAAGAGGTCTGAATATCCACTTGCAGACTTTACAAACAGAGTGTTTCCTAACTGCACTATGAAAAGGAAGGTTAAACTCTGTGAGTTGAACGCACACATCACAAAGGAGTTTCTGAGAATCATTCTGTGTAGTTTTTATAGGAAGATATTTCCTTTTCTACCTTTGACTTCAAAGCGGCTGAAATCTCCACTTGCAAATTCCACAAAAAGAGTGTTACAAGTCTGCTCTGTGTAAAGGATCGTTCAACTCTGTGAGTTGAATACACACAACACAAGGAAGTTACTGAGAATTCTTCTGTCTAGCCTTACATGAAAAAAACCCGTTTCCAACGAAGGCCTCTAAGTGGTCAAATTATCCACGTGCAGACTTTAGAAACAGAGTGTTTCCAAACTGCTGAATGAAAAGCAAAGTTAAACTCTGAGAGTTGAACGCACACATCGCAGAGCAGTTTCTGAGAATGATTCTGTCTAGTTTTGAAAGGAAGATATTTCCTTTCCTGCCGTTGACCTTAAAGCGCTTGAAATCTACACTTGCAAATTGCACAAATAGGCTGTTTCAAATCTGCTCTGTCTAAGGGAACGTTCAACTCTGTGAGTTGAATGCACCCAACACAAGGAAGTTACTGGGAATTCTTCTGTCTAGCCTTACATGAAAAAAACCCGTTTCCAACGAAGGCCTCTAAGTGGTCAAGTTATCCACGTGCAGACTTTACAAACAGAGTGTTTCCAAACTGCTGAATGAAAAGAAAAGTTAAACTCTGGGAGTTGAACGCACACATCGCAGAGCAGTTTCTGAGAATCATTCTGTCTAGTTTTTATACGAAGATATTTCCTTTTCTGCCTTTGGCCTCAAAGCTCTTGAAATCTCCACTTGCAAATTCCACAAAAAGAGTGTTTCAAATCTGCTCTGTGTAAATGAAAGTTCAACTCTGTGAGTTGAACACACACAACACAAGGAAGTTACTGGGAATTCTTCTGTCTAGCACAGTATGAAGAAACCCGTTTCCAACGAAGGCCTCAAAGAGGTCTGAATATCCACTTGCAGAGTTTAAAAACACAGTGTTTCCTAACTGCTCTATGAAAAGAAAGGTTAAACTCTGTGAGTTGAACACACACATCACAAAGAAGTTTCTGAGAATCATTCTGTCTAGTTGTTATACGAAGATATTTCCTTTTCTACCATTGACCTCAAAGCGGCTGAAATCTCCACTTGCAAATTCCACCAAATGAGTGTTTCAAATCTGCTCTGTGTAAACTATCGTTCAACTACTGTGGGTTGAATACACACAACACAAGGAAGATTCTGAGAATTCTTCTGTCTAGCAGAATATGAAGAAATCCCGTTTCCAACGAAGGTCACAAGATGTCAGAATATCCACTTACAGAATTTACAAACAGACTGTTTCCTAACTGTTCTATGAAAAGAAAGGTTAAACTCTGTGAGTTGAACGAACACATCACAACGCAGTTTGTGGGAATGATTCTGTCTAGTTTTGAAACCAAGATATTTCCTTTTCTGCCGTTGACCTTAAAGAGCTTGAAAACTACACTTGCAAATTGCACAAATAGAGTGTTTCAAATCTGCTCTGTCTAAGGGAACGTTCAACTCTATGAGTTGAATGCACACAACACAAGGAAGTTACTGGGAATTCTTCTGTCTAGCCTTACATGAAAAAAACCCGTTTCCAACGAAGGCCTCTAAGTGGTCAAGTTATCCACGTGCAGACTTTACAAACAGAGTGTTTCCAAACTGCTGAATGAAAAGAAAAGTTAAACTCTGAGAGTTGAACGCACACATCGCAGAGCAGTTTCTGAGCATGATTCTGTCTAGTTTTTATACGAAGATATTTCCTTTTCTGCCTTTGGCCTCAAAGCGCTTGAAATCTCCACTTGCAAATTCCACAAAAAGAGTGTTTCAAATCTGCTCTGTGTAAATCAAAGTTCAACTCTGTGAGTTGAACACACACAACACAAGGAAGTTACTGGGGATTCTTCTGTCTAGCAGAATATGAAGAAATCCCGTTTCCAACGAAGGCCTCAAAGAGGTCTGAATATCCACTTGCAGACTTTACAAACAGAGTGTTTCCTAACTGCTCTATGAAAAGAAAGGTTAAACTCTGTGAGTTCAACGCACACATCACAAAGGAGTTTCTGAGAATCGTTCTCTGTCTACTTTCTATAGGAAGATATTTCCTATTCTATCATTGACCTCAAAGCGGCTGAAATCTCCACTTGCAAATTCCACAAAAGGAGTGTTTCAAGTCTGCTCTGTGTAAAGGATCGTTCAACTCTGTGAGTTGAAAACACACAACACAAGGAAGTTTCTGAGAATTCTTCTGTCTAGCAGAATATGAAGAAATCCCGTTTCCAACGAAGGCCTCAAGGAGGTCTGAATATCCACTTGCAGACTTTACAAACAGAGTGTTTCTTAACTGCTCTATGAACAGAAAGGTTAAACTCTGTGAGTTGAACGAACACATCACAACGCAGTTTGTGGGAATGATTCTGTCTAATTTTGAAACGAAGATATTTCCTTTTCTGCCATTGACCTTAATGCGCTTGAAATCTACACTTGCAAATTGCACAAATAGAGTGTTTCAAATCTGCTCTGTCTAAGGGAACGTTCAACTCTGTGAGTTGAATGCACACAACACAAGGAAGTTACTGGGAATTCTTCTGTCTAGCCTTACATGAAAAAAACCCGTTTCCAACGAAGGCCTCTAAGTGATCAAATTATCCACGTGCAGACTTTACAAACAGAGTGTTTCCAAACTGCTGAATGAAAAGAAAAGTTAAACTCTGAGAGTTGAACGCACACATCACAGAGCAGTTTCTGAGAATGATTCTGTCTAGTTTATATACGAAGATATTTCCTTTTCTGCCTTTGGCCTCAAAGCGCTTGAAATCTCCACTTGCAAATTCCACAAAAAGAGTGTTTCAAATCTGCTCTGTGTAAATGAAAGTTCAACTCTGTGAGTTGAACACACACAACACAAGGAAGTTACTGGGAATTCTTCTGTATAGCAGAATATGAAGAAATCCCGTTTCCAACGAAGGCCTCAAGGAGGTCTGAATATCCACTTGCAGACTTTACAAACAGAGTGTTTCCTAACTGCTCTATGAAAAGAAAGGTTAAACTCTGTGAGTTGAACGCAGACATCACAAAGGAGTTTCTGAGAATCATTCTGTCTAGTTTTTATAGGAAGTTATTTCCTTTTCTACCTTTGACTTCAAAGTGGCTGAAATCTCCACTTGCAAATTCCACAAAAAGAGTGTTACAAGTCTGCTCTGTGTAAAGGGTCGTTCAACTACTGTGAGTTGAATACACACAACACAAGGAAGTTACTGAGAATTCTTCTGTCTAGCGGAATATGAAGAAATCCCCTTTCCAACGAAGGCCACAAGATGTCAGAATATCCACTTACAGACTTTACAAACAGAGTGTTTCCTAACTGCTCTATGAACAGAAAGGTTAAACTCTGTGAGTTGAACGAACACATCACAACGCAGTTTGTGGGAATGATTCTGTCTAGTTTTGAAACGAAGATATTTCCTTTTCTGCCATTGACCTTAAATCTCTTGAAATCTCCACTTGCCAATTGCACAAAAAGAGTGTTTCAAATCTGCTCTGTCTAAGGGAACGTTCAACTCTGTGAGTTGAATGTACACAACACAAGGAAGTTACTGGGAATTCTTCTGTCTAGCCTTACAGGAAAAAAACCCGTTTCCAACGAAGGCCTCTGAGTGGTCAAAATATCCACGTGCAGACTTTACAAACAGAGTGTTTCCAAACTGCTGAATGAAAAGAAAAGTTAAACTCTGAGAGTTGAACGCACACATCGCAGAGCAGTTTCTGAGAGTGATTCTGTCTAGTTTTGAAACGAAGACTATTTCCTTTTCTGCCTTTGGCCTCAAAGCGCTTGAAATCTCCACTTGCAAATTCCACAAAAAGAGTGTTTCAAATCTGCTCTGTGTAAATGAAAGTTCAACTCTGTGAGTTGAACACACACAACACAAGGAAAGTTACTGGGAATTCTTCTGTCTAGCAGAATATGAAGAAATACCGTTTCCAACGAAGGCCTCAAGGAGGTCTGAATATCCACTTGCAGACTTTACAAACAGAGTGTTTCCTAACTGCTCTATGAAAAGAAAGGTTAAACTCTGTGAGTTGAACGCACACATCACAAAGGAGTTTCTGAGAATCATTCTGTCTACTTTTTCTACGAAGATATTTCCTTTTCTACTATTGACCTCAAAGCGGCTGAAACCTCCACTTGCAAATTCCACAAAAAAAGTGTTTCAAGTCTGCTCTGTGTAAAGGATCGTTCAACTCTGTGAGTTGAATACACACAACACAAGGAAGTTACTGAGAATTCTTCTGTCTAGCAGAATATGAAGAAATCCCGTTTCCAACGAAGGCTTCAAAGAGGTCTGAATATCCACTTGCAGACTTTACAAACAGAGTGTTTCCTAACTGCTCTATGAACAGAAAGGTTAAACTCTGTGAGTTGAACGAACACATCACAACGCAGTTTGTGGGAATGATTCTGTCTAGTTTTTATTGGAAGATATTACCTTTTCTACCATTGACTTAAAAGCGGCTGAAAACTCCACTTGCAAATTCCACAAAAAGAGTGTTACAAGTCTGCTCTGTCTAAGGGAACGTTCAACTTTGTGAGTTGAATGTCCACAACACAAGGAAGTTACTGGGAATTCTTCTGTCTAGCCTTACATGAAAAAAACCCGTTTCCAACGAAGGCCTCTATGTGGTCAAATTATCCACGTACAGACTTTACAAACAGAGTGTTTTCAAACTGCTGAATGAAAAGAAAAGTTAAACTCTGAGAGTTGAACGCACACAATGCAGAGCAGTTTCTGAGAATGATTCTGTCTAGTTTTCAAACGAAGATATTTCCTTTTCTGCCTTTGGCCTCAAAGCGCGTGAAATCTCCACTTGCAAATTCCACAAAAAGAGTGTTTCAAATCTGCTCTGTGTAAATGAAAGTTCAACTCTGTGAGTTGAACACACACAACACAAGGAAGTTACTGGGAATTCTTCTGTCTAGCATAATATGAAGAAATCCCGTTTCCAACGAAGGCCTCAAGGAGGTCTGAATATCCACTTGCAGACTTTACAAACAGAGTGTTTCCTAACTGCTCTATGAAAAGAAAAGTTAAACTCTGTGAGTTGAACGCACACATCACAAAGGAGTTTATGAGAATCATTCTGTCTAGTTTCTATAGGAAGATATTTCCTATTCTACCATTGATCACAAAGCGGCTGAAATCTCCACTTGCAAATTCCACAAAAAGAGTGTTTCAAGTCTGCTCTGTGTAAAGGATCGTTCAACTCTGTGAGTTGAATACACACAATACAAGGAAGTTACTGAGAATTCTTCTGTCTAGCAGAATATGAGGAAATCCCGTTTCCAACGAAAGCCTCAAAGAGGTCTGAATATCCACTTGCAGACTTTACAAACAGAGGGTTTCCTAACTGCTCTATGAACAGAAAGGTTAAACTCTGTGAGTTGAACGAACACATCACAACGCAGCTTGTGGGAATGATTCTGTCTAGTTTTGAAAGGAAGATATTTCCTTTTCTGCCATTGACCTTAAAGCGCTTGAAATCTCCATTTGCCAATTGCACAAAAAGAGTGTTTCAAATCTGCTCTGTCTAAGGGAACGTTCAACTCTGTGAGTTGAATGTACACAACACAAGGAAGTTACTGGGAATTCTTCTGTCTAGCCTTACATGAAAAAAACCCGTTTCCAACGAAGCCTCTAAGTGGTCAAAATATCCACGTGCAGACTTTACAAACAGAGTGTTTCCAAACCGCTGAATGAAAAGAAAAGTTAAACTCTGAGAGTTGAACGCACACATCACGCAGCAGTTTCTGAGAATGATTCTGTCTAGTTTTTATACGAAGATATTTCCTTTTCTGCCCTTGGCCCCAAAGCGCTTGAAATCTCCACTTGCAAATTCCACAAAAAGAGTGTTTCAAATCTGCTCTCTCTAAATGAAAGTTCAACTCTGTCAGTTGAATACACACAACACAAGGAAGTTACTGAGAATTCTTCTGTCTCGCCTTATATGAAAAAAACCCGTTTCCAACGAAGGCCTCAAAGAGGTCTGAATATCCACTTGCAGACTTTACAAACAGAGTGTTTCCTAACTGCTCTATGAAAAGAAAGGTTAAACTCTGTGAGTTGAACGCACACATCACAAAGGAGTTTCTGAGAATCATTCTGTCTATTCTTTATACGAAGATATTTCCTATTCTACCATTGACCTCAAAGCGGCTGAAATCTCCACTTGCAAATTCGACAAAAAGAGTGTTTGAAGCCTGCTCTCTGTAAAGGATCCTTCAACTCTGTGAGTTGAATACACACAACACAAGGAAGTTACTGAGAATTCTTCTGTCTAGCAGAATATGAAGAAATCCCGTTTCCAACGAAGGCCACAAGATGTCAGAATATCCACTTACAGACGTTACAGAGTGTTTCCTAACTGCTCTATGAATAGAAAGGTTAAACTCTGTGAGTTGAACGAACACATCACAAGGCAGTTTGTGGGAATGATTCTGTCTAGTTTTGAAACGAAGTTATTTCCTTTTCTGCCATTGACCTTAAAGCGCTTGAAATCTACACTTGCAAATTGCACAAATAGAGTGTTTCAAATCTGCTCTGTCTAAGGGAACGTTCAACTCTGTGAGTTGAATGCACACAACACAAGGAAGTTACTGGGAATTCTTCTGTCTAGCCTTACATGAAAAAAACCCGATTCCAACGAAGGCCTCTAAGTGGTCAAAATTTCCACGTGCAGACTTTACAAACAGAGTGTTTCCAAACCGCTGAATGAAAAGAAAAGTTAAACTCTGAGAGTTGAACGCACACATCACGCAGCAGTTTCTGAGAATGATTCTGTCTAGTTTCTATAGGAAGATATTTCCTTTTCTACCATTGACCTCAAAGCGGCTGCAATTTCCACTTGCAAATTCCACAAAAAGAGTGTTTCAAGTCTGCTCTCTGTAAAGGATCGTTCAACTCTGTGAGTTGAATACACACAACACAAGGAAGTTACTGAGAATTATTCTGTCTAGCAGAATATGAAGAAATCCCGTTTCCAACGAAGGCCCCAAAGAGGTCTGAATATCCACTTGCAGACTTTACAAACAGAGTGTTTCCTAACTGCTCTATGAAAAGAAAAGTTAAACTCTGTGAGTTGAACGCACACATCACAAAGGAGTTTATGAGAATCATTCTGTCTAGTTTTTATATGAAGATATTTCCTTTTCTACCATTGACCTCAAAGCGGCTGAAATCTCCACTTGCAAATTCCACAAAAAGAGTTTCTCAAGTCTGCTCTGTGTAAACGATCGTTCAACTCTGTGAGTTGAATACACACAACACAAGGAAGTTTCTGAGAATTCTTCTGTATAGCAGAATATGAAGAAATCCCGTTTCCAACGAAGGCCTCAAGGAGGTCTGAATATGCACTTGCAGACTTTACAAACAGAGTGTTTCCTAACTGCTCTATGAAAAGAAAGGTTAAACTCTGTGAGTTGAACGCAGACATCCCAAAGGAGTTTCTGAGAATCACTCTGTCTAGTTTTGAAACGAAGATATTTCCTTTTCTGCCACTGACCTTAAAGCGCTTGAAATCTACACTTGCAAATTGCACAAATAGAGTGTTTCAAATCTGCTCTGTCTAAGGGAACGTTCAACTCTGTGAGTTGAATGCACACAACACAAGGAAGTTACTGGGAATTCTTCTGTCTAGCCTTACATGAAAAAAAACCCGTTTCCAACGAAGGCCTCTAAGTGGTCAAAATATCCACGTGCAGTCTTTACAAACAGAGTGTTTCCAAACCGCTGAATGAAAAGAAAAGTTAAACTCTGAGAGTTGAACGCACACATCACGCAGCAGTTTCTGAGAATGATTCTGTCTAGTTTTGAAACGAAGATATTTCCTTTTCTGCCTTTGGCCTCAAAGCGCTTGAAATCTCCACTTGCAAATTCCACAAAAAGAGTGTTTCAAATCTGCTCTGTGTAAATGAAAGTTCAACTCTGTGAGTTGAACACACACAACACAAGGAAGTTACTGGGAATTCTTTCTGTCTAGCATAATATGAAGAAATCCCGTTTCCAACGAAGTCCTAAAGGAGGTCTGAATATCCACTTGCAGACTTTACAAACAGAGTGTTTCCTAACTGCTCTATGAAAAGAAAGGTTAAACTCTGTGAGTTGAACGCACACATCACAAAGGAGTTTCTGAGAATCATTCTGTCTAGTTTTTATAGGAAGATATTTCCTTTTCTACCTTTGACTTCAAAGCGGCTGAAATCTCCACTTGCAAATTCCACAAAAAGAGTGTTACAAGTCTGCTCTGTGTAAAGGATCGTTCAACTGTGTGAGTTGAATACACACAACACAAGGGAAGTTACTGAGAATTCTTCTGTCTAGCAGAATATGAAGAAATCCCATTTCCAACGAAGGCCTCAAGGAGGTCTGAATATCCACTTGCAGACTTTACAAACAGAGTGTTTCCTAACTGCTCTATGAACGGAAAAGTTAAACTCTGTGAGTTGAACGAACACATCACAACGCAGTTTGTGGGAATGATTCTGTCTAGTTTTGAAACGAAGATATTTCCTTTTCTGCCGTTGACCTTAAAGCGCTTGAAATGTACACTTGCAAATTACACAAATAGAGTGTTTCAAATCTGCTCTGTCTAAGGGAACGTTCAACTCTGTGAGTTGAATGCACACAACACAAGGAAGTTACTGGGAATTCTTCTGTCTACCCTTACAGGAAAAAAACCCGTTTCCAACGAAGGCCTCTAAGTGGTCAAAATATCCACGTGCAGACTTTACAAACAGAGTGTTTCCAAACTGCTGAATGAAAAGAAAAGTTAAACTCTGAGAGTTGAACGCACACATCGCAGAGCAGTTTCTGAGAATGATTCTGTCTAGTTTCGAAACGAAGATATTTCCTTTTCTGCCTTTGGCCTCAAAGCGCTTGAAATCTCCACTTGCAAATTCCACAAAAAGAGTGTTTCAAATCTGCTCTGTGTAAATGAAAGTTCAACTCTGTGAGTTGAACACACACAACACAAGGAAGTTACTGGGAATTCTTCTGTCTAGCCTTATATGAAAAAAACCCGTTTCCAACGAAGGCCTCAAAGAGGTCTGAATATCCACTTGGAGACTTTACAAACAGAGTGTTTCCTAACTGCTCTATGAAAAGAAATGTTAAACTCTGTGAGTTGAACACACACATCACAAAGGAGTTTCTGAGAATCATTCTGTCTAGTCTTTATACGAAGATATTTCCTTTTCTACCATTGACCTCAAAGCGGCTGAAATCTCCACTTGCAAATTCCACAAAAAGAGTCCTTAAAGTCTGCTCTCTGTAAAGGATCGTTCAACTCTGTGAGTTGAATACACACAACACAAGGAAGTTACTGAGAATTCTTCTGTCTAGCAGAATATGAAGAAATCCCTTTTCCAACGAAGGCCACAAGATGTCAGAATATCCACTTACAGACTTTACAAACACAGTGTTTCCTAACTGCTCTATGAACAGAAAGGTTAAACTCTGTGAGTTGAACGAACACATCACAACGCAGTTTGTGGGAATGATTCTGTCTAGTTTTGAAACGAAGATATTTCCTTTTCTGCCATTGACCTTAAAGCGCTTGAAATCTACACTTGCAAATTGCACAAATAGAGTGTTTCAAATCTGCTCTGTCTAAGGGAACGTTCAACTCTGTGAGTTGAATGCACACAACACAAGGAAGTTACTGGGAATTCTTCTGTCTAGCCTTACATGAAAAAATCCCGTTTCCAACGAAGGCCTCTAAGTGGTCAAAATATCCACGTGCAGACTTTACAAACAGAGTGTTTCCAAACCGCTGAATGAAAAGAAAAGTTAAACTTTGAGAGTTGAACGCACACATCACACAGCAGTTTCTGAGAATGATTCTGTCTAGTTTTGAAACGAAGATATTTCCTTTTCTGCCTTTGGCCTCAAAGCGCTTGAAATCTCCACTTGCAAATTCCACAAAAAGAGTGTTTCATATCTGCTCTGTGTAAATGAAAGTTCAACTCTGTGAGTCGAACACACACAACACAAGGAAGTTACTGGGAATTCTTCTGTCTAGCCTTACATGAAAAAAACCCGTTTCCAACGAAGGCCTCTAAGTGGTCAAAATATCCACGTGCAGACTTTATAAACAGAGTGTTTACTAACTGCTCTATGAAAAGAAAGGTTAAACTCTGTGAGTTGAACACACACATCACAAAGGAGTTTCTGAGAATCATTCTGTCTAGTCTTTATATGAAGGTAGTTTCCTTTTCTACCATTGACCTCAAAGCGGCTGAAATCTCCACTTGCAAATTCCACAAAAAGAGTGTTTCAAATCTGCTCTGTGTAAAGGATCGTTCAACTCTGTGAGTTGAATACACACAACACAAGGAAGTTACTGAGAATTATTCGGTCTAGCAGAATATGAAGAAATCCCGTTTCCAACGAAGGCCTCAAGGAGGTCTGAATATTCACTTGCAGACTTTACAAACAGAGTGTTTCCTAACTGCTCTATGAACAGAAAGGTTAAACTCTGTGAGTTGAACGAACACATCACAACGCAGTTTGTGGGAGTGATTCTGTCTAGTTTTGAAACGAAGATATTTCCTTTTCTGCCGTTGACCATAAAGCGCTTGAAATCTACACTTGCAAATTGCACAAATAGAGTGTTCCAAATCTGCTCTGTCTAAGGGAACGTTCAACTCTGTGAGTTGAATGCACACAACACAAGGAAGTTACTGGGAATTCTTCTGTCTAGCCTTACAGGAAAAAAACCCGTTTCCAACGAAGGCCTCTAAGTGGTCAAGTTATCCACGTGCAGACTTTACAACCAGAGTGTTTCCAAACTGCAGAATGGAAAGAAAAGTTAAACTCTGAGAGTTGAACGCACACATCGCAGAGCAGTTTCTGAGAATGATTCTGTCTAGTTTTGAAACGAAGATATTTCCTTTTCTGCCTTTGGCCTCAAAGCGCTTGAAATCTCCATTTGCAAATTCCACAAAAAGAGTGTTTCAAATCTGCTCTGTGTAAATGAAAGTTCAACTCTGTGAGTTGAACACACACAACACAAGGAAGTTACTGGGAATTCTTCTGTCAAGCATAATATGAAGAAATCCCGTTTCCAACGAAGGCCTCAAGGAGGTCTGAATATCCACTTCCAGACTTTACAAACAGAGTGTTTCCTAACTGCTCTATGAAAAGAAAGGTTAAACTCTGTGAGTTGAACGCACACATCACAAAGGAGTTTCTGAGAATCATTCTGTCTAGTCTTTATATGAAGATAGTTTCCTTTTCTACCATTGACCTCAAAGCGGCTGAAATCTCCACTTGCAAATTCCACAAAAAGAATGTTTGAAGTCTGCTCTGTGTAAAGGATCGTTCAACTCTGTGAGTTGAATACACACAACACAAGGAAGTTACTGAGAATTCTTCTGTCTAGCAGAATATGAAGAAATCCCGTTTCCAACGAAGGCCACAAGATGTCAGAATATCCACTTTCAGACTTTACAAACAGAGTGTTTCCTAACTGCTCTATGAACAGAAAGGTTAAACTCTGTGAGTTGAACGAACACATCACAACGCAGTTTGTGGGAATGATTCTGTCTAGTTTTGAAACGAAGATATTTCCTTTTCTGCCATTGACCTTAAAGCGCTTGAAATCTACACTTGCAAATTGCACAAATAGAGTGTTTCAAATCTGCTCTGTCTAAGGGAACGTTCAACTCTGTGAGTTGAATGCACACAACACAAGGAAGTTACTGGGAATTATTCTTTCTAGCCTTACAGGAAAAAATACCCGTTTCCAACGAAGGCCTCTAAGTGGTCAAAATATCCACCTGCAGACTTTACAAACAGAGTGTTTCCAAACTGCTGAATGAAAAGAAAAGTTAAACTCTGAGAGTTGAACGCACACATCGCAGAGCAGTTTCTGAGAATGATTCTGTCTAGTTTTTATACGAAGATATTTCCTTTTCTGCCTTTGACCCCAAAGCGCTTGAAATTTCCACTTGCAAATTCCACAAAAACAGTGTTTCAAATCTGCTCTCTCTAAATGAAAGTTCAACTCTGTCAGTTGAATACACACAACACAAGGGAAGTTACTGAGAATTCTTCTGTCTAGCATAATATGAAGAAATCCCGTTTCCAACGAAGGCTTCAAAGGGGTCTGAATATCCACTTGCAGACTTTATAAACAGAGTGTTTACTAACTGCTCTATGAAAAGAAAGGTTAAATTCTGTGAGTTGAACACACACATCACAAAGGAGTTTCTGAGAATCATTCTGTCTAGTTTTTCTACGAAGATATTTCCTTTTCTACTATTGACCTCAAAGCGGCTGAAATCTCCACTTGCAAATTCCACAAAAAGAGTGTTTCTAGTCTGCTCTGTGTAAAGGATCGTTCAACTCTGTGAGTTGAATACACACAACACAAGGAAGTTACTGAGAATTCTTCTGTCTAGCAGAATATGAAGAAATCCCGTTTCCAACGAAGGCCACAAGATGTCAGAATATCCACTTTCAGACTTTACAAACAGAGTGTTTCCTAACTGCTCTATGAACAGAAAGGTTAAACTCTGTGAGTTGAACGAACACATCACAACGCAGTTTGTGGGAATGATTCTGTCTAGTTTTGAAACGAAGATATTTCCTTTTCTGCCATTGACCTTAAAGCGCTTGAAATCTCCACTTGCCAATTGCACAAAAAGAGTGTTTCAAATCTGCTCTGTCTAAGGGAACGTTCAACTCTGTGAGTTGAATGTACACAACACAAGGAAGTTACTGGGAATTCTTCTGTCTAGCCTTACATGAAAAAATCCCGTTTCCAACGAAGGCCTCTAAGTGGTCAAAATATCCACGTGCAGACTTTACAAACAGAGTGTTTCCAAACCGCTGAATGAAAAGAAAAGTTAAACTCTGAGAGTTGAACGCACACATCACACAGCAGTTTCTGAGAATGATTCTGTCTAGTTTTTATACGAAGATATTTCCTTTTCTGCCTTTGGCCCCAAAGCGCTTGATATCTCCACTTGCAAATTCCACAAAAACAGTGTTTCAAATCTGCTCTCTCTAAATGAAAGTTCAACTCTGTCAGTGGAATACACACAACACAAGGAAGTTACTGAGAATTCTTCTGTCTAGCACAGTATGAAGAAAATCCCGTTTCCAACGAAGGCCTCAAAGAGGTCTGAATATCCACTTGCAGACTTTACAAACAGAGTGTTTCCTAACTGCTCTATGAAAAGAAATGTTAAACTCTGTGAGTTGAACGCACACGTCACAATGAAGTTTCTGAGAATCATTCTGTCTAGTTTTTCTACGAAGATATTTCCTTTTCTATTATTGACCTCAAAGCGGCTGAAATCTCCACTTGCAAGTCCCACAAAAAGAGTGTTTCAAGTCTGCTCTGTATAAAGGATCGTTCAACCCTGTGAGTTGAATACACACAACACAAGGAAGTTACTGAGAATTCTTCTGTCTAGCAGAATATGAAGAAATCCCGTTTCCAACGAAGGCCTCAAGGAGGTCTGAATATCCACTTGCATACTTTACAAACAGAGTGTTTCCTAACTGCTCTATGAACAGAAAGGTTAAACTCTGTGAGTTGAACGAATACATCACAACGCAGTTTGTGGGAATGATTCTGTCTAGTTTTGAAACGAAGATATTTCCTTTTCTGCCGTTGACCTTAAAGCGCTTGAAATCTACACTTGCAAATTGCACAAATAGAGTGTTTCAAATCTGCTCTGCCTAAGGGAACGTTCAACTCTGTGAGTTGAATGCACACAACACAAGGAAGTTACTGGGAATTCTTCTGTCTAGCCTTACATGAAAAAAAACCCGTTTCCAACGAAGGCCTCTAAGTGGTCAAAATATCCACGTGCAGTCTTTACAAACAGAGTGTTTCCAAACCGCTGAATGAAAAGAAAAGTTAAACTCTGAGAGTTGAACGCACACATCACGCAGCAGTTTCTGAGAATGATTCTGTCTAGTTTTTCTACGAAGATATTTCCTTTTCAATTATTGACCTCAAAGCGGCTGAAATCTCCACTTGCAAGTCCCACAAAAAGAGTGTTTCAAGTCTGCTCTGTATAAAGGATCGTTCAACCCTGTGAGCTGAATACACACAACACAAGGAAGTTACTGAGAATTCTTCTGTCTAGCAGAATATGAAGAAATCCCGTTTCCAATGAAGGCCTCAAGGAGGTCTGAATATCCACTTGCAGACTTTACAAACAGAGTGTTTCCTAACTGCTCTATGAAAAGAAAAGTTAAACTCTGTGAGTTGAACGCACACATCACAAAGGAGTTTCTGAGAATCATTCTGTCTAGTTTTTATAGGAAGATATTCCCTTTTCTACCTTTGACTTCAAAACGGCTGAAATCTCCACTTGCAAATTCCACAAAAAGAGTGTTACAAGTCTGCTCTGTGTAAAGGATCGGTCAACTCTGTGAGTTGAATACACACAACACAAGGAAGTTACTGAGAATTCTTCTGTCTAGCAGAATATGTAGAAATCCCGTTTCCAACGAAGGCCACAAGATGTCAGAATATCCACTTACAGAATTTACCAACAGAGTGTTTCCTAACTGCTCTATGAAAAGAAAGGTTAAACTCTGTGAGTTGAACGAACACATCACAACGCAGTTTGTGGGAATGATTATCTGTCTAGTTTTTATACGAAGATATTTCCTTTTCTACCATTGACCTCAATGCGGCTGAAATCACCACTTGCCAATTGCACAAAAAGAGTGTTTCAAATCTGCTCTGTCTAAGGGAACGTTCAACTCTGTGAGTTGAATGTACACAACACAAGGAAGTTCCTGGGAATTCTTCTGTCTAGCCTTACATGAAAAAAACCCGTTTCCAACGAAGGCCTCTAAGTGGTCAAAATTTCCACGTGCTGACTTTACAAACAGAGTGTTTCCAAACCGCTGAATGAAAAGAAAAGTTAAACTCTGAGAGTTGAACGCACACATCACAAAGGAGTTTCTGAGAATGATTCTGTCTAGTTTTTATACGAAGATATTTCCTTTTCTGCCTTTGGCCCCAAAGCGCTTGAAATCTCCACTTGCAAATTCCACAAAAACAGTGTTTCAAATCTGCTCTCTCTAAATCAAAGTTCAACTCTGTCAGTTGAATACACACAACACAAGGAAGTTACTGAGAATTCTTCTGTCTAGCATAATATGAAGAAATCCCGTTTCCAACGAAGGCCTCAAAGGGGTCTGAATATCCACTTGCAGACTTTATAAACAGAGTGTTTACTAACTGCTCTATGAAAAGAAAAGTTAAACTCTGTGAGTTGAACGCACACATCACAAAGGAGTTTCTGAGAATCGTTCTGTCTAGTTTCTATAGGAAGATATTTCCTATTCTACCATTGAGCTCAAAGCGGCTGAAATCTCCACTTGCAAATTCCACAAAAAGAGTGTTTCAAGTCTGCTCTGTGTAAAGGATCGTTCAACTCTGTGAGTTGAATACACACAACACAAGGAAGTTACTGAGAATTCTTCTGTCTAGCAGAATATGAAGAAATCCCGTTTCCAACGAAGGCCACAAGATGTCAGAATATCCACTTACAGAATTTACCAACAGAGTGTTTCCTAACTGCTCTATGAAAAGAAAGGTTAAACTCTGTGAGTTGAACGAAAACATCACAACGCAGTTTGTGGGAATGATTCTGTCTACTTTTTATAGGAATATATTTCCTTTTCTACCTTTGACTTCAAAGCGGCTGAAATCTCCACTTGCAAATTCCACAAAAAGAGTTTTCCAAGTCTGCTCTGTGTGAAGGATCGTTCAACTCTGTGAGTTGAATACACACAACACAAGGAAGTTACTGAGAATTCTTCTGTCTAGCCTTACAGGAAAAAAACCCGTTTCCAACGAAGGCCTCTAAGTGGTCAAATTATCCACGTGCAGACTTTACAAACAGAGTGTTTCCAAACTGCTGAATGAAAAGAAAAGTTAAACTCTGAGAGTTGAACGCACACATCGCAGAGCAGTTTCTGAGAATGATTCTGTCTAGTTTTTATACGAAGATATTTCCTTTTCTGCCTTTGGCCTCAAAGCGCTTGAAATCTCCATTTGCAAATTCCACAAAAAGAGTGTTTCAAATCTGCTCTGTGTAAATGAAAGTTCAACTCTGTGAGTTGAACACACACAACACAAGGAACTTACTGGGAATTCTTCTGTCTAGCCTTATATGTAAAAAACCCGTTTCCAACGAAGGCCTCAAAGAGGTCTCAATATCCACTTGCAGACTTTACAAACAGAGTGTTTCCTAACTGCTCTATGAAAAGAAAGGTTAAACTCTGTGAGTTGAACGTACACATCACAAAGGAGTTTCTGAGAATCATTCTGTCTAGTTTCTATAGGAAGATATTTCCTATTCTACCATTGACCACAAAGCGGCTGAAATCTCCACTTGCACATTCCACAAAAAGAGTGTTTCAAGTCTGCTCTGTGTAAAGGATCATTCAAGTCTGTGAGTTGAATACACACAACACAAGGAAGTTACTGAGAATTCTTATGTCTAGCACAGTATGAAGAAATCCCGTTTCCAACGAAGGCCTCAAAGAGGTCTGAATATCCACTTGCAGAGTTTACAAACAGAGTGTTTCCTAACTGCTCTATGAAAAGAAAGGTTAAACTCTGTGAGTTGAACGCACACATCACAAAGAAGTTTCTGAGAATCATTCTGTCTAGTTTTGAAACGAAGATATTTCCTTTTCTGCCATTGACCTTAAAGCGCTTGAAATCTCCACTTGCCAATTGTACAAAAAGAGTGTTTCACATCTGCTCTGTCTAAGGGAACGTTCAACTCTGTGAGTTGAATGTACTCAACACAAGGAAGTTACTGGGAATTCTTCTGTCTAGCCTTACAGGAAAAAAACCCGTTTCCAACGAAGGCCTCTAAGTGGTCAAAATATCCACGTGCAGACTTTACAAACAGAGTGTTTTCAAACTGCTGAATGAAAAGAAAAGTTAAACTCTGAGAGTTGAACGCACACATCGCAGAGCAGTTTCTGAGAATGATTCTGTCTAGTTTTGAAACGAAGATATTTCCTTTTCTGCCTTTGGCCTCAAAGCGCTTGACATCTCCACTTGCAAATTCCACAAAAAGAGTGTTTCAAATCTGCTCTGCGTAAATGAAAGTTCAACTCTGTGAGTTGAACACACACAACACAAGGAAGTTACTGGGAATTCTTCTGTCTAGCAGAATATGAAGAAATCCCGTTTCCAACGAAGGCCTCAAAGAGGTCTGAATATCCACTTGCAGACTTTACAAACAGAGTGTTTCCTAACTGCTCTATGAACAGAAAGGTTAAACTCTGTGAGTTGAACGCACACATCACAAAGGAGTTTCTGAGAATCGTTCTGTCTAGTTTTTATACGAAGATATTTCCTTTTCTACCATTGACCTCAAAGCGGCTGAAATCTCCACTTGCAAATACCACAAAAAGAGTGTTTCAAATCTGCTGTGTGTAAACCATCGTTCAACTCTGTGAGTTGAATACACACAACACAAGGAAGATTCTGAGAATTCTTCTGTCTAGCAGAATATGAAGAAATCCTGTTTCCAACGAAGGCCACAAGATGTCTGAATATCCACTTACAGACTTTACAAACAGAGTGTTTGCTAACTGCTCTATGAACAGAAAGGTTAAACTCTGTGAGTTGAACGAACACATCACAACGCAGTTTGTGGGAATGATTCTGTCTAGTTTTGAAAGGAAGATATTTCCTTTTCTGCCATTGACCTCAAAGCGCTTGAAATCTCCACTTGCCAATTGCACAAAAAGAGTGTTTCAAATCTGCTCTGTCTAAGGGAACGTTCAACTCTGTGAGTTGAATGTACACAACACAAGGAAGTTACTGGGAATTCTTCTGTCTAGCCTTACATGAAAAAAAACCCCTTTCCAACGAAGGCCTCTAAGTGGTCAAAATATCCACGTGCAGTCTTTACAAACAGAGTGTTTCCAAACCGCTGAATGAAAAGAAAAGTTAAACTCTGAGAGTTGAACGCACACATCACGCAGCAGTTTGCTGAGAATGATTTCTGTCTAGTTTTGCAACGAAGATATTTCCTTTTCTGCCTTTGGCCTCAAAGCGCTTGAAATCTCCACTTGCAAATTCCACAAAAAGAGTGTTTCAAATCTGCTCTGTGTAAATGAAAGTTCAACTCTGTGAGTTGAACACACACAACACAAGGAAGTTACTGGGAATTCTTCTGTCTAGCCTTATATGAAAAAAACCCGTTTCCAACGAAGGCCTCAAAGAGGTCTGAATATCCACTTGCAGACTTTACAAACAGAGTGTTTCCTAACTGCTCTATGAGAAGAAAGGTTAAACTCTGTGAGTTGAACGCACACATCACAAAGGAGTTTCTGAGAATCATTTTGTCTAGTTTCTATAAGAAGATATTTCCTATTCTACCATTGACCTCAAAGCGGCTGAAATCTCCACTTGCAAATTCGACAAAAAGAGGGTTTCAAGCCTCCTCTCTGTAAAGGATCCTTCAAGTCTGTGAGTTGAATACACACAACACAAGGAAGTTACTGAGAATTCTTCTGTCTAGCAGAATATGAAGAAATCCTGTTTCCAACGAAGGCCACAAGATGTCAGAATATCCACTTACAGAATTTACAAACAGACTGTTTCCTAAGTGCTCTATGAAAAGAAATGTTAAACTCTGTGAGTTGAACGAACACATCGCAACGCAGTTTGTGGGAATGATTCTGTCTAGTTTTGAAACAAAGATATTTCCTTTTCTGCCATTGACCTTAAAGAGCTTGAAATCTACACTTGCAAATTGCACAAATAGAGTGTTTCAAATCTGCTCTGTCTAAGGGAACGTTCATCTCTGTGAGTTGAATGCACACAACACAAGGAAGTTACTGGGAATTCTTCTGTCTAGCCTTAAATGAAAAAACCCCGTTTCCATCGAAGGCCTCTAAGTGGTCAAAATATCCACGTGCAGACTTTACAAACAGAGTGTTTCCAAAGTACTGAATGAAAAGAAAAGTTAAACTCTGAGAGTTGAACGCACACATCACAGAGCAGTTTCTGAGAATGATTCTGTCTAGTTTTTATACGAAGATATTTCCTTTTCTGCCTTTGGCCCCAAAGCGCTTGAAATCTCCACTTGCAAATTCCACAAAAACAGTGTTTGAAATCTGCTCTCTCTAAATGAAAGTTCAACTCTGTCAGTTGAATACACACAACACAAGGAAGTTACTGAGAATTCTTCTGTCTAGCCTTATATGAAAAAAACCCGTTTCCAACGAAGGCCTCAAAGAGGTCTGAGTATCCACTTGCAGACTTGACAAACAGAGTGTTTCCTAACTGCTCTATGAATAGAAAGGTTAAACTCTGTGAGTTGAACGCACACATCACAAAGGAGTTTCTGAGAATCATTCTGTCTAGTCTTTATACGAAGATATTTCCTTTTCTACCATTGACCTCAAAGCGCCTGAAATCTCCACTTGCAAATTCCACAAAAAGAGTGTTTCAACTCTGCTCTGTGTAAAGGATCGTTCAACTCTGTGAGTTGAATACACACTACACAAGGAAGTTACTGAGAATTCTTCTGTCTAGCAGAATATGAAGAAATCCCGTTTCCAACGAATGCCACAAGATGTCAGAATATCCACTTACAGAATTGACAAACAGACTGTTTCCTAACTGCTCTATGAAAAGAAAGGTTAAACTCTGTGAGTTGAACGAACACATCACAACGCAGTTTGTGGGAATGATTCTGTCTAGTTTTGAAGCGAAGATATTTCCTTTTCTGCCATTGACATTAAAGCGCTTGAAATCTACACTTGCAAATTGCACAGAGTGTTTCAAATCTGCTCTGTCTAAGGGAACGTTCATCTCTGTGAGTTGAATGCACACAACACTAGGAAGTTACTGGGAATTATTCTGTCTAGCCTTACAGGAAAGAACCCCGTTTCCAACGAAGGCCTCTAAGTGGTCAAAATATCCACGTGCAGACTTTACAAACAGAGTGTTTCCAAACTGCTGAATGAAAAGAAAAGTTAAAATCTGAGAGTTGAACGCACACATCGCAGAGCAGTTTCTGAGAATGATTCTGTCTAGTTTTTATACGAAGATATTTCCTTTTCTGCCTTTGGCCTCAAAGCGCTTGAAATCTCCATTTGCAAATTCCACAAAAAGAGTGTTTCAAATCTGCTCTGTGTAAATGAAAGTTCAACTCTGTGAGTTGAATACACACAACACAAGGAAGTTACTGAGAATTCTTCTGTCTAGTCTTATATGAAAAAAACCCGTTTCCAACGAAGGCCTCAAAGAGGTCTGAATATCCACTTGCAGACTTTACAAACAGAGTGTTTCCTAACTGCTCTATGAAAAGAAAGGTTAAACTCTGTGAGTTGAACGCACACATCATAAAGGAGATTCTGAGAATCATTCTGTCTAGTCTTTATATGAAGATAGTTTCCTTTTCTACCATTGACCTCAAAGCGGCTGAAATCTCCACTTGCAAATTCCACAAAAAGAGTGTTTCAAGTCTGCTCTGTGTAAAGGATCCTTCAACTCTGTGAGTTGAATACACACAACACAAGGAAGTTACTGAGAATTCTTCTGTCTAGCAGAATATGAAGAAATCCCGTTTCCAACGAAGGCCTCAAGGAGGTCTGAATATCCACTTGCAGACTTTACAAACAGAGTGTTTCCTAACTGCTTTATGAAAAGAAAGGTTAAACTCTTTGAGTTGAACGCACACATCACAACGCAGTTTGTGGGAATGATTCTGTCTAGTTTTGAAACGAAGATATTTCCTTTTCTGCCATTGACCTCAAAGCGCTTGAAATCTCCACTTGCCAATTGCACAAAAAGAGTGTTTCAAATCTGCTGTGTCTAAGGGAACGTTCAACTCTGTGAGTTGAATGTACACAACACAAGGAAGTTACTGAGAATTCTTCTGTCTAGCCTTACATGAAAAAAACCCGTTTCCAACGAAGGCCTCTAAGGGGTCAAAATATCCACGGGCAGACTTCACAAACAGAGTGTTTCCAAACCGCTGAATGAAAAGAAAAGTTAAACTCTGAGAGTTGAACGCACACATCACGCAGCAGTTTCTGAGAATGATTCTGTCTAGTTTTTATGCGAAGATATTTCCTTTTCTGCCTTTGGCCTCAAAGCGCTTGAAATCTCCACTTGCAAATTCCACAAAAAGAGTGTTTCAAATCTGCTCTGTGTAAATCAAAGTTCAACTCTGTGAGTTAAACACACACAACACAAGGAAGTTACTGGGAATTCTTCTGTCTAGCATAATATGAAGAAATCCCGTTTCCAACGAAGGCCTCAAGGAGGTCTGAATATCCACTTGCAGACTTTACAAACGCAGTGTTTCCTAACTGCTCTATGAAAAGAAAGGTTAAACTCTGTGAGTTGAACGCACACATCACAAAGGAGTATCTGAGAATCATTCTGTCTAGTTTTTCTACGAAGATATTTCCTTTTCTACTATTGACCTCAAAGCGGCTGAAATCTCCACTTGCAAGTTCTACAAATAGAGTGTTTCAAGTCTGCTCTGTGTAAAGGATCGTTCAACTCTGTGAGTTGAATACACACAACACAAGGAAGTTACTGAGAATTCTTCTGTCTAGCAGAATATGAAGAAATCCCGTTTCCAACGAAGGCCTCAAGGAGGTCTGAATATCCACTTGCAGACTTTACAAACAGAGTGTTTCCTAACTGCTCTATGAAAAGAAAAGTTAAACTCTGTGAGTTGAACGAACACATCACAACGCAGTTTGTGGGAATGATTCTGTCTAGTTTTGAAACGAAGATATTTCCTTTTCTGCCATTGACCTTAAAGCGCTTGAAATCTCCACTTGCCAATTGCACAAAAAGAGTGTTTCAAATCTGCTCTGTCTAAGGGAACGTTCAACTCTGTGAGTTGAATGTACACAACACAAGGAAGTTACTGGGAATTCTTCTGTCTAGCCTTACAGGAAAAAAACCCGTTTCCAACGAAGTCCTCTAAGTGGTCAAAATATCCACGTGCAGACTTTACAAACAGAGTGTTTCCAAACTGCTGAATGAAAAGAAAAGTTAAACTCTGAGAGTTGAACGCACACATCGCAGAGCAGTTTCTGAGAATGATTCTGTCTAGTTTTTATACGAAGAGATTTCCTTTTCTACCATTGACCTCAACGCGGCTGAAATCTCCACTTGCAAATTCCACAAAAAGAGTGTTTCAAGTCCGCTCTGTGTAAAGGATCGTTCAACTCTGTGAGTTGAATACACACAACACAAGGAAGTTACTGAGAAATCTTCTGTCTAGCACAGTATGAAGAAATCCCGATTCCAACGAAGGCCTCAAAGAGGTCTGAACATCCACTTGCACAGTTTACAAACAGAGTGTTTCCTAACTGCTCTATGAAAAGAAAGGTTAAACTCTGTGAGTTGAACGCACACGTCACAAAGAAGTTTCTGAGAATCATTCTGTCTAGTTTTTATACGAAGATATTTCCTTTTCTACCATTGACCTCAACGCGGCTGAAATCTCCACTTGCAAATTCCACAAAAACAGTGTTTCAAGTCTGCTCTGTGAAAAGGATCGTTCAACTCTGTGAGTTGAATACACACAACACAAGGAAGATTCTGAGAATTCTTCTGTCTAGCAGAATATGAAGAAATCCCGTTTCCAACGAAGGCCACAAGATGTCAGAATATCCACTTACAGAATTTACAAACAGACTGTTTCCTAAGTGCTCTATGAAAAGAAAGGTTAAACTCTGTGAGTTGAACGAACACATCACAACGCAGTTTGTGGGAATGATTCTGTCTAGTTTTGAAACGAAGATATTTCCTTTTCTGCCGTTGACCTTAAAGCGCTTGAAATCTACACTTGCAAATTGCACAAATAGAGTGTGTCAAATCTGCTCGGTCTAAGGGAACGTTCAACTCTGTGAGTTGAATGCACACAACACAAGGAAGTTACTGGGAATTCTTCTGTCTAGCCTTACATGAAAAAAACCCGTTTCCAACGAAGGCCTCTAAGTGGTCAAATTATCCACGTGCAGACTTTACAAACAGAGTGTTTCAAAACTGCTGAATGAAAAGCAAAGTTAAACTCTGAGAGTTGAACGCACACATCGCAGAGCAGTTTCTGAGAATGATTCTGTCTAGTTTTTATACGAAGATATTTCCTTTTCTGCCTTTGGCCCCAAAGCGCTTGAAATCTCCACTTGCAAATTCCACAAAAACAGTGTTTCAAATCTGCCCTCTCTAAATGAAAGTTCAACTCTGTCAGTTGAATACACACAACACCAGGAAGTTACTGAGAATTCTTCTGTCTAGCATAATATGAAGAAATCCCGTTTCCAACGAAGGCCTCAAAGAGGTCTGAATATCCACTTGCAGACTTTACAAACAGAGTGTTTCCTAACTGCTCTATGAAAAGTTAAAGTCTGTGAATTGAACGCACACATCACAAAGGAGTTTCTGAAAATCATTCTGTCTAGTTTCTATAGGAAGATATTTCCTATTCTACCATTGACCTCAAAGCGGCTGAAATCTCCACTTGCAAATTCCACTAAAAGAGTGTTTCAAGTCTGCTCTGTGTAAAGGATCGTTCAACTCTGTGAGTTGAATACACACAACACAAGGAAGTTACTGAGAATTCTTCTGTCTAGCCTTATATGAAAAAAACCCGTTTCCAACGAAGGCCTCAAAGAGGTCTGAATATCCACTTGCAGACTTTACAAACAGAGTGTTTCCTAACTGCTCTATGAAAAAAAAAGTTAAACTCTGTGAGTTGAACGCACACATCACAAAGGAGTTTGCTGAGAATCATTCTGTCTAGTTTTTATAGGAAGATATTTCCTTTTCTACCTTTGACTTCAAAGCGGCTGAAATCTCCACTTGCAAATTCCACAAAAAGAGTGTTACAAGTCTGCTCTGTGTATAGGATCGTTCAACTCTGTGAGTTGAATACACACAACACAAGGAAGTTACTGAGAATTCTTCTGTCTAGCCTTACATGAAAAAAACCCGTTTCCAACGAAGGCCTCTAAGTGGTCAAAATATCCACGTGCAGACTTTACAAACAGAGTGTTTCCAAACTGCTGAATGAAAAGAAAAGTTAAACTCTGAGAGTTGAACGCACACATCGCAGAGCAGTTTCTGAGAATGATTCTGTCTAGTTTTGAAACGAAGATATTTCCTTTTCTGCCTTTGGCCTCAAAGCGCTTGAAATCTCCACTTGCAAATTCCACAAAAACAGTGTTTCAAATCTTCTCTGTGTAAATGAAAGTTCAACTCTGTGACTTGAACACACACAACACAAGGAAGTTACTGGGAATTCTTCTGTCTAGCATAGTATGAAGAAATCCCGTTTCCAACGAAGGCCTCAAAGAGGTCTGAATTTCCACTTGCAGAGTTTACAAACAGAGTGTTTCCTAACTGCTCTATGAAAAGAAAGGTTAAACTCTGTGAGTTGAACGCACACATCACAAAGAAGTTTCTGAGAATCATTCTGTCTAGTTTTTATAGGAAGTTATTTCCTTTTCTACCTTTGACTTCAAAGTGGCTGAAATCTCCACTTGCAAATTCCACAAAAAGAGTGTTATAAGTCTGTTCTGTGTAAAGGATCGTTCAACTCTGTGAGTTGAATACACACAACACAAGGAAGTTACTGAGAATTCTTCTGTCTAGCAGAATATGAAGAAATCCCGTTTCCAACGAAGGCCACAAGATGTCAGAATATCCACTTACAGAATTGACAAACAGACTGTTTCCTAACTGCTCTATGAAAAGAAAGGTTAAACTCTGTGAGTTGAACGAACACATCACAACGCAGTTTGTGGGAATGATTATCTCTCTAGTTTTGAAACGAAGATATTTCCTTTTCTGCCATTGACCTTAAAGCGCTTGAAATCTCCACTTGCCAATTGCACAAAAAGAGTGTTTCAAATCTGCTCTGTCTAAGGGAACGTTCAACTCTGTGAGTTGAATGTACACAACACAAGGAAGTTACTGGGAATTCTTCTGTCTAGCCTTACAAGAAAAAAACCCGTTTCCAACGAAGGCCTCTAAATGGTCAAAATATCCACGTGCAGACTTTACAAACAGAGTGTTTCCAAACTGCTGAATGAAAAGAAAAGTTAAACTCTGAGAGTTGAACGCACACATCGCAGAGCAGTTTCTGAGAATGATTCTGTCTAGTTTTGAAACGAAGATATTTCCTTTTCTGCCTTTGGCCTCAAAGCGCTTGAAATCTCCACTTGCAAATTCCACAAAAAGAGTGTTTCAAATCTGCTCTGGGTAAATGAAAGTTCAATTCTGTGAGTTGAACACACACAACACAAGGAAGTTACTGGGAATTCTTCTGTCTAGCATAATATGAAGAAATCCCGTTTCCAACGAAGGCCTCAAAGGGGTCTGAATATCCACATGCAGACTTTATAAACAGAGTGTTTACTAACTGCTCTATGAAAAGAAAGGTTAAACTCTGTGAGTTGAACACACACATCACAAAGGAGTTTCTGAGAATCATTCTGTCTAATCTTTATACGAACATATTTCCTTTTCTACCATTGACCTCAAAGCGGCTGAAATCTCCACTTGCAAATTCCACAAAAAGAGTGTTTCAAGTCTGCTCTGTGTAAAGGATCGTTCAACTCTGTGAGTTGAATACACACAACACAAGGAAGTTACTGAGAATTCTTCTGTCTAGCAGAATATGAAGAAATCCCGTTTCCAACGAAGGCCACAAGATGTCAGAATATCCACTTACAGACTTTACAAACAGAGTGTTTCCTAACTGCTCTATGAACAGAAAGGTTAAACTCTGTGAGTTGAACGAACACATCACAACGGAGTTTGTGGGAATGATTCTGTCTAGTTTTTATAGGAAGTTATTTCCTTTTCTACCTTTGACTTCAAAGTGGCTGAAATCTCCACTTGCAAATTCCACAAAAAGAGTGTTACAAGTCTGCTCTCTGTAAAGGATCGTTCAACTCTGTGAGTTGAATACAGACAACACAAGGAAGTTACTGAGAATTCTTCTGTCTAGCCTTACATGAAAAAAACCCGTTTCCAACGAAGGCCTCTAAGTGGTCAAGTTATCCACGTGCAGACTTTACAAACAGAGTGTTTCCAAACTGCTGAATGAAAAGAAAAGTTAAACTCTGAGAGTTGAACGCACACATCGCAGAGCAGTTTCTGAGAATGATTCTGTCTAGTTTTGAAACGAAGATATTTCCTTTTCTGCCTTTGGCCTCAAAGCGCTTGAAATCTCCACTTGCAAATTCCACAAAAAGAGTGTTTCAAATCTGCTCTGTGTAAATGAAAGTTCAACTCTGTGAGTTGAACACAGACAACACAAGGAAGTTACTGGGAATTCTTCTGTCTAGCCTTATATGAAAAAAACCCGTTTCCAACGAAGGCCTCAAAGAGGTCTGAATATCCACCTGCAGACTTTACAAACAGAGTGTTTCCTAACTGCTCTATGAAAAGAAAGGTTAAACTCTGTGAGTTGAACACACACATCACAAAGGAGTTTCTGAGAATCATTCTGTCTAGTTTTTATACGAAGATATTTCCTTTTCTACCATTGACCTCAAAGCGGCTGAAATCTCCACTTGCAAATTCCACAAAACGAGTGTTTCAAGTCTGCTCTGTGTAAAGGATAGTTCAACTCTGTGAGTTGAATACACACAACACAAGGAAGTTACTGAGAATTCTTCTGTCTAGCAGAATATGAAGAAATCCCATTTCCAACGAAGGCCACAAAATGTCAGAATATCCACTTACAGACTTTACAAACAGAGTGTTTTCTAACTGCTCTATGAACAGAAAGGTTAAACTCTGTGAGTTGAACGAACACATCACAACGCAGTTTGTGGGAATGATTCTGTCTAGTTTTGAAACGAAGATATTTCCTTTTCTGCCATTGACCTTAAAGCGCTTGAAATCTACACTTGCAAATTGCACAAGTAGAGTGTTTCAAATCTGCTCTGTCTAAGGGAACGTTCAACTCTGTGAGTTGAATGCACACAACACAAGGAAGTTACTGGGAATTCTTCTGTCTAGCCTTACGTGAAAAAAACCCGTTTCCAACGAAGGCCTCTAAGCGGTCAAGTTATCCACGTGCAGACTTTACAAACAGAGTGTTTCCAAACTGCTGAATGAAAAGAAAAGTTAAACTCTGAGAGTTGAACGCACACATCGCAGAGCAGTTTCTGAGAATGATTCTGTCCAGTTTTTATACGAAGATATTTCCTTTTCTGCCTTTGGCCTCAAAGCGCTTGAAATCTCCATTTGCAAATTCCACAAAAAGAGTGTTTCAAATCTGCTCTGTGTAAATGAAAGTTCAACTCTGTGAGTTGAACACACACAACACAAGGAAGTTACTGGGAATTCTTCTCTCTAGCCTTATATGAAAAAAACCCGTTTCCAACGAAGGCCTCAAAGAGGTCTGAATATCCACTTGCAGACTTTACAAACAGAGTGTTTCCTAACTGCTCTATGAAAAGAAAGGTTAAACTCTGTGAGTTGAACGCACACATCACAAAGGAGTTTCTGAGAATCATTCTGTCTAGTTTCTATAGGAAGATATTTCCTATTCTACCATTGACATCAAAGCGGCTGAAATCTCCACTAGCAAATTCCACAAAAAGAGTGTTTCAAGACTGTTCTGTGTAAAGGATCATTCAACTCTGTGAGTTGAATACACACAACACAAGGAAGTTACTGAGAATTCTTCTGTCTAGCAGAATGTGAAGAAATCCCGTTTCCAACGAAGGCCACAAGATGTCAGAATATCCACTTACAGAGTTTACAAACAGAGTGTTTCCTAACTGCTCTATGAACAGAAAGGTTAAACTCTGTGAGTTGAACGAACACATCACAACGCAGTTTGTGGGAATGATTCTGTCTAGTTTTGAAACGAAGATATTTCCTTTTCTGCCGTTGACCTTAAAGCGCTTGAAATCTACACTTGCAAATTGCACAAATAGAGTGTTTCAAATCTGCTCTGTCTAAGGGAACGTTAAACTCTGTGAGTTGAATGCACACAAAACAAGGAAGTTACTGGGAATTCTTCTGTCTAGCATTACATGAAAAAAACCCGTTTCCAACGAAGGCCTCTAAGTGGTCAAAATATCCACGTGCAGACTTTACAAACAGAGTGTTTCCAAACCGCTGAATCAAAAGAAAAGTTAAACTCTGAGAGTTGAACGCACACATCACGCAGCAGTTTCTGAGAATGATTCTGTCTAGTTTTTATACGAAGATATTTCCTTTTCTGCCTTTGGCCACAAAGCGCTTGAAATCTCCACTTGCAAATTCCACAAAAACAGTGTTTCAAATCTGCTCTCTCTAAATGAAAGTTCAACTCTGTCAGTTGAATACACACAACACAAGGAAGTTACTGAGAATTCTTCTTTCTAGCAGAATATGAAGAAATCCCGTTTCCAACGAAAGCCTCAAGGATGTCTGAATATCCACTTGCAGACTTTACAAACAGAGTGTTTCCTAACTGCTCTATGAAAAGAAAGGTTAAACTCTGTGAGTTGAACGCACGCATCACAAAGGAGTTTCTGAGAATCATTCTGTCTAGTTTCTATAAGAAGATATTTCCTATTCTACCATTGACCTCAAAGCGGCTGAAATCTCCACTTGCAAATTCGACAAAAAGACTGTTTCAAGCCTGCTCTCTGTAAAGGATCGTTCAACTCTGTGAGTTGAATACACACAACACAAGGAAGTTACTGAGAATTATTCTGTCTAGCAGAATTTGAAGAAATCCCGTTTCCAACGTAGGCCACAAGATGTCAGAATATCCACTTACAGAATTTACAAACAGACTGTTTCCTAACTGCTCTATGAAAAGAAAGTTTAAACTCTGTGATTTGAACGAACACATCACAACGCAGTTTGTGGGAATGATTCTGTCTAGTTTTGAAACGAAGATATTTCCTTTTCTGCCATTGACCTTAAAGCGCTTGAAATCTCCATTTGCCAATTGCACAAAAAGAGTGTTTCAAATCTGCTCTGTCTAAAGGAACGTTCAACTCTGTGAGTTGAATGTACACAACACAAGGAAGTTACTGGGAATTCTTCTGTCTAGCCTTACATGAAAAAAACCCGTTTCCAACGAAGGCCTCTAAGTGGTCAAATTATCCACGTGCAGACTTTACAAACAGAGTGTTTCCAAACTGCTGAATGAAAAGCAAAGTTAAACTCTGATAGTTGAACGCACACATCGCAGAGCAGTTTCTGAGAATGATTCTGTCTAGTTTTTATACGAAGATATTTCCTTTTCTGCCTTTGGCCCCAAAGCGCTTGAAATCTCCACTTGAAAATTCCACAAAAACAGTGTTTCAAATCTGCTCTCTCTAAATGAAAGTTCAACTCTGTCAGTTGAATACACACAACACAAGGAAGTTACTGAGAATTCTTCTGTCTAGCAGAACATGAAGAAATCCCGTTTCCAACGAAGGCCTCAATGATGTCTGAATATCCACATGCAGACTTTACAAACAGAGTGTTTCCTAACTGCTCTATGAAAAGAAAGGATAAACTCTGTGAGTTGAACGCACACATCACAAAGGAGTTTCTGAGAATCATTCTGTCTAGTTTCTATAGGAAGATATTTCCTATTCTACCATTGAACTCAAAGCGGCTGAAATCTCCACTTGCAAATTCCACATAAAGAGTGTTTCAAGTCTGCTCTGTGTAAAGGATCATTCAACTCTGTGAGTTGAATACACACAACACAAGGAAGTTACTGACAATTCTTCTGTCTAGCAGAATATGAAGAAATCCCGTTTCCAACGAAGGCCACAAGATGTCAGAATATCCACTTACAGAATTTTCAAACAGACTGTTTCCTAACTGCTCTATGAAAAGAAAGGTTAAACTCTGTGAGTTGAACGCACACATCACAAAGAAGTTTCTGAGAATCATTCTGTCTAGTTTTGAAACGAAGATATTTCCTTTTCTGCCGTTGACCTTAAAGCGCTTGAAATCTACACTTGGAAATTGCACAAATAGAGTGTTTCAAATCTGCTCTGTCTAAGGGAACGTTCAACTCTGTGAGTTGAATGCACACAACACAAGGAAGTTACTGGGAATTCTTCTGTCTAGCCTTATATGAAAAAAACCCGTTTCCAACGAAGGCCTCTAAGTGGTCAAAATATCCACGTGCAGACTTTACAAACAGAGTGTTTCCAAACCGCTGAATGAAAAGAAAAGTTAAACTCTGAGAGTTGAACGCACACATCATGCAGCAGTTTCTGAGAATGATTCTGTCTAGTTTTGAAACGAAGATATTTCCTTTTCTACCGTTGACCTCAACGCGGCTGAAATCTCCATTTGCAAATTCCACAAAAAGAGTGTTTCAAATCTGCTCTGTGTAAATGAAAGTTCAACTGTGTGAGTTGAACACACACAACACAAGGAAGTTACTGGGAATTCTCTGTCTAGCAGAATATGAAGAAATCCCGTTTCCAACGAAGGCCTCAAGGAGGTCTGAATATCCACTTGCACACTTTACAAACAGAGTGTTTCCTAACTGCTCTATGAAAAGAAAGGTTAAACTCTGTGAGTTGAACGCACACATCACAAAGGAGTTTATGAGAATCATTTCTGTCTAGTTTTTATACGAAGATATTTCCTTTTCTACCATTGACCTCAAAGCGGCTGAAATCTCCACTTGCAAATTCCACAAAAAGAGTGTATCAAGTCTGCTCTGTGTAAAGGATCGTTCAACTCTGTGAGTTGAATACACACAGCACAAGGGAAGTTACTGAGAATTCTTCTCTCAGGCATAATATGAAGAAATCCCGTTTGCAAAGAAGGCCTCAAAGAGGTCTGAATATCCACTTGCAGAGTTTACAAACAGAGTGTTTCCTAACTGCTCTATGAAAAGAAAGGTTAAACTCTGTGAGTGGAACGCACACATCACAAAGAATTTTCTGAGAATCATTCTGTCTAGTTTTGAAACGAGGATATTTCCTTTTCTGCCATTGACCTTAAAGCGCTTGAAATCTACACTTGCAAATTGCACAAATAGAGTGTTTCAAATCTGCTCTGCCTAAGGGAACGTTCAACTCTGTGAGTTGAATGCACACAACACAAGGAAGTTACTGGGAATTCTTCTGTTTAGCCTTACATGCAAAAAACCCGTTTCCAACGAAGGCCTCTAAGTGGTCAAAATATCCACGTGCAGACTTTACAAACAGAGTGTTTCCAAACGGCTGAATGAAAAGAAAAGTTAAACTCTGAGAGTTGAACGCACACATCACGCAGCAGTTTCTGAGAATGATTCTGTCTAGTTTTTATAGGAAGATATTTCCTTTTCTACCATTGACCACATAGCGGCGGAAATCTCCACTTGCAAATTCCACAAAAAGAGTGTTTCAAGTCTGCTCTGTGTAAAGGATCGTTCAACTCTGTGAGTTGAATACACACAACACGCGGAAGTTACTAAGAATTCTTCTGTCTAGCATAGTATGAAGAAATCCCGTTTCCAACGAAGGCCTCAAAGAGGTCTGAATATCCACTTGCAGAGTTTACAAACAGAGTGTTTCCTAACTGCTCTATGAAAAGAAAGGTTAAACTCTGTGAGTTGAACGCACACATCACAAAGGAGTTTCTGAGAATCATTCTGTCTAGTTTTTATACGAAGATATTTCCTTTTCTACCATTGACCTCAAAGCGGCTGAAATCTCCACTTGCAAATTCCACAAAAAGAGTGTTTCAAATCTGCTCTGTGTAAATGAAAGTTCAACTCTGTGAGTTGAACACACACAACACAAGGAAGTTACTGGGAATTCTTCTGTCTAGCCTTATATGAAAAAAACCCGTTTCCAACGAAGGCCTCAAAGCAGGTCTGAATATCCACTTGCAGACTTTACAAACAGAGTGTTTCCTAACTGCTCTATGAAAAGAAAGGTTAAACTCTGTGAGTTGAACACACACATCACAAAGGAGTTTCTGAGAATCATTCTGTCTAGTTTTTATACGAAGATATTTCCTTTTCTACCATTGACCTCAAAGAGGCTGAAATCACCACTTGCCAATTGCACAAAAAGAGTGTTTCAAATCTGCTCTGTCTAAGGGAACGTTCAACTCTGTGAGTTGAATGTACACAACACAAGGGAAGTTACTGGGAATTCTTCTGTCTAGCCTTACAGGAAAAAAACCCGTTTCCAATGAAGGCCTCTAAGTGGTCAAATTATCCACGTGCAGACTTTACAAACAGAGTGTTTCCAAACTGCTGAATGAAAAGAAAAGTTAAACTCTGAGAGTTGAACGCACACATCGCAGAGCAGTTTCTGAGAATGATTCTGTCTAGTTTTTATACGAAGATATTACCTTTTCTGCCTTTGGCCCCAAAGCGCTTGAAATCTCCACTTGCAAATTCCACACAAACAGTGTTTCAAATCTGCTCTCTCTAAATGAAAGTTCAACTCTGTCAGTTGAATACACACAACACAAGGAAGTTACTGAGAATTCTTCTGTCCAGCATAATATGAAGAAATCCCGTTTCCAAAGAAGGCCTCAAGGATCTCTGAATATCCACTTGCAGACCTTACAAACAGAGTGTTTCCTAACTGCTCTATGAAAAGAAAGGTTAAACTCTGTGAGTTGAACGCACACATCACAAAGGAGTTTCTGAGAATAATTCTGTCTAGTTGTTATACGAAGATATTTCCTTTTCTACCATTGACCTCAAAGCGGCTGAAATCTCCACTTGCAAATTCCACCAAATGAGTGTTTCAAATCTGCTCTGTGTAAACCATCGTTCAACTCTGTGAGTTGAATACACACAACACAAGGAAGATTCTGAGAATTCTTCTGTCTAGCAGAATATGAAGAAATCCCGTTTCCAACGAAGGCCACAAGATGTCAGAATATCCACTTACAGAATTTTCAAACAGACTGTTTCCTAACTGCTCTATGAAAAGAAAGGTTAAACTCTGTGAGTTGAACGAACACATCACAACGCAGTTTGTGCGAATGATTCTGTTTAGTATTTATAAGAAGATATTTCCTTTTCTACCTTTGACTTCAAAGCGGCTGAAATCTCCACTTGCAAATTCCACAAAAAGAGTGTTACAAGTCTGCTCTGTGTAAAGGATCGTTCAACTCTGTGAGTTGAATACACACAAAACAAGGAAGTTACTGAGAATTCTTCTGTCTAGCCTTACATGAAAAAAACCCGTTTCCAACGAAGGCCTCTAAGTGGTCAAAATATCCACGTGCAGACTTTACACACAGAGTGTTTCCAAACCGCTGAATGAAAAGAAAAGTTAAACTCTGAGAGTTGAAAGCACACATCACGCAGCAGTTTCTGAGAATGATTCTGTCTAGTTTTTATACGAAGATATTTCCTTTTCTGCCTTTGGCCCCAAAGCGCTTGAAATCTCCACTTGCAAATTCCACAAAAACAGTGTTTCAAATCTGCTCTCTCTAAACGAAAGTACAACTCTGTCAGTTGAATACACACAACACAAGGAAGTTACTGAGAATTCTTCTGTCTAGCCTTACATGAAAAAAACCCGTTTCCAACGAAGGCCTCAAAGAGGTCTGAATATCCACTTGCAGACTTTACAAACAGAGTGTTTCCTAACTGCTCTATGAAAAGAAAGGTTAAACTCTGTGAGTTGAACACACACATCACAAAGGAGTTTCTGAGAATCATTCTGTCTAGTTTTTATACGAAGATATTTCCTTTTCTACCATTGACCACAAAGCGGCTGAAATCTCCACTTGCAAATTCCACAAAAAGAGTGTTTCAAGTCTGCTGTGTGTAAAGGAACGTTCAACTCTGTGAGTTGAATACACACAACAGAAGGAAGTTACTGAGAATTCTTCTGTCTAGCCTTACATGAAAAAAACCCGTTTCCAAAGAAGGCCTCTAAGTGGTCAAATTATCCACGTGCAGACTTTACAAACAGAGTGTTTCCAAACTGCTGAATGAAAAGAAAAGTTAAACTCTGAGAGTTGAACGCACACATTGCAGAGCAGTTTCTGAGAATGATTCTGTCTAGTTTTGAAACGAAGATATTTCCTTTTCTGCCTTTGGCCTCAAAGCGCTTGAAATCTCCACTTGCAAATTCCACAAAAAGAGTGTTTCAAATCTGCTCTGGGTAAATGAAAGTTCAACTCAGTGAGTTGAACACACACAACACAAGGAAGTTACTGGGAATTCTTCTGTCTAGCCTTACAGGAAAAAATCCCGTTTCCAACGAAGGCCTCTAAGTGGTCAAAATATCCACGTGCAGACTTTACAAACAGAGTGTTTCCAAACTGCTGAATGAAAAGAAAAGTTAAACTCTGAGAGTTGAACGCACACATCGCAGAGCAGTTTCTGAGAATGATTCTGTCTAGTTTTTATACGAAGATATTTCCTTTTCTGCCTTTGGCCTCAAAGCGCTTGAAATCTCCATTTGCAAATTACACAAAAAGAGAGTTTCAAATCTGCTCTGTGTAAATGAGAGTTCATCTCTGTGAGTTGAACACACACAACACAAGGAAGTTACTGGGAATTCTTCTGTCTAGCATAATATGAAGAAATCCCGTTTCCAACGAAGGCCTCAAGGAGGTGTGAATATCCACTTGCAGACTTTACAAACAGAGTGTTTCCTAACTGCTCTATGAAAAGAAAGGTTAAACTGTGTGAGTTGAACGCACACATCACAAAGGAGTTTCTGAGAATCATTCTGTCTAGTTTTTGTACGAAGATATTTCCTTTTCTACCATTGACCTCAAAGCGGCTGAAATCTCCACTTGCAAATTCCACAAAAAGAGTGTTTCAAATCTGCTCTGAGTAAACCATCGTTCAACTCTGTGAGTTGAATACACACAACACAAGGAAGATTCTGAGAATTCTTCTGTCTAGCAGAATATGAAGAAATCCCGTTCCCAACGAAGGCCACAAGATGTCAGAATATCCACTTACAGACTTTACAAACAGAGTGTTTCCTAACTGCTCTATGAACAGGAAGGTTAAACTCTGTGAGTTGAACGAACACATCACAACGCAGTTTGTGGGAATGATTCTGTCTATTTTTTATATGAAGATATTTCCTTTTCTACCATTGACCTCAAAGCGGCTGAAATCTCCACTTGCAAATTCCACAAAAAGAGTGTCTCAAGTCTGCTCTGTGTAAACGATCGTTGAACTCTGTGAGTTGAATACACACAACACAAGGAAGTTTCTGAGAATTCTTCTGTATAGCAGAATATGAAGAAATCCCGTTTCCAAAGAAAGCCTCAAAGATGTCTGAATATCCACTTGCAGACTTTACAAACAGAGTGTTTCCTAACTGCTCTATGAAAAGAAAGGTTAAACTCTGTGAGTTGAACGCACACATCACAAAGGAGTTTCTCAGAATCATTCTGTCTACTTTCTATAGGAAGATATTTCCTATTGTACCATTGACCTCAAAGCGGCTGAAATCTCCACTTGCAAATTCCACAAAAGGAGTGTTTCAAGTCTGCTCTGTGTAAAGGATCGTTCAACTCTGTGAGTTGAAAACACACAACACAAGGAAAGTTACTGAGAATTCTTCTGTCTAGCAGAACATGAAGAAATCCCGTTTCCAACGAAGGCCTCATAGATGTCTGAATATCCACTTGCAGACTTTACAAACAGAGTGTTTCCTAACTGCTCTATGAAAAGAAAGGTTAAACTCTGTGAGTTGAACGCACACATCACAAAGGAGTTTCTGAGAATCATTCTGTCTAGTCTTTATACGAAGATATTTCCTTTTCTACCATTGAAATCAAAGCGGCTGAAATCTCCACTTGCAAATTCCACAAAAAGAGTGTTTCAAGTCTGCTCTGTGTAAAGGATCGTTCAACTCTGTGAGTTGAATACACACAACACAAGGAAGTTACTGAGAATTCTTCTGTCTAGCAGAATATGAAGAAATCCCGTTTCCAACGAAGGCCACAAGATGTCAGGATATCCACTTACAGAATGTACAAACAGACTGTTTCCTAACTGCTCTATGAAAAGAAAGGTTAAACTCTGTGAGATGAACGAACACATCACAACGCAGTTTGTGGGAATGATTCTGTCTAGTTTTGAAACCAAGATATTTCCTTTTCTGCCGTTGACCTTAAAGAGCTTGAAAACTACACTTGCAAATTGCACAAATAGAGTGTTTCAAATCTGCTCTGTCTAAAGGAACGTTCAACTCTGTGAGTTGAATGCACACAACACAAGGAAGTTACTGGGAATTCTTCTGTCTAGCCTTACATGAAAAAAACCCGTTTCCAACGAAGGCCTCAAAGAGGTCTGAATATCCACGTGCAGACTTTACAAACAGAGTGTTTCCAAACCGCTGAATGAAAAGAAAGGTTAAACTCTGTGAGTTGAACGCACACATCACAAAGGAGTTTCTGAGAATCATTCTGTCTAGTTTTGGCCCCAAAGCGCTTGAAATCTCCACTTGCAAATTCCACAAAAACAGTGTTTCAAATCTGCTCTCTCTAAATGAAAGTTCAACTCTGTCAGTTGAATACACACAACACAAGGAAGTTACTGAGAATTCTTCTGTCTAGCATAATATGAAGAAATCCCGTTTCCAACGAAGGCCTTAAGGAGGTCTGAATATCCACTTGCAGACTTTACAAACACAGTGTTTCCTAACTGTTCTATGAAAAGAAAGGTTAAACTCTGTGAGTTGAACGCACACATCACAAAGGAGTTTCTGAGAATCATTCTGTCTAGTTTTTATACGAAGATATTTCCTTTTCTACCATTGACCTCAAAGCGGCTGAAATCTCCACTTGCAAATTCCACAAAAAGAGTGTTTCAAGTCTGCTCTGTGTAAAGCATCGTTCAACTCTGTGAGTTGAATACACACAACACAAGGAAGTTACTGAGAATTCTTCTGTCTAGCATAATATGAAGAAATCCCGTTTCCAACGAAGGCCTCAAGGAGGTCTGAATATCCACTTGCAGACTTTACAAACAGAGTGTTTCCTAACTGCTCTATGAAAAGAAAGGTTAAACTGTGAGTTGAATGCACACATCACAAAGGAGTTTCTGAGAATCATTCTGTCTAGTTTTGAAACGAAGATATTTCCTTTTCTGCCGTTGACCTTAAAGCGGTTGAAATCTACACTTGCAAATTGCACAAATAGAGTGTTTCAATTCTGCTCTGTCTAAGGAAACGTTCAACTCTGTGACTTGAATGCACACAACACAAGGAAGTTACTGGGAATTCTTCTGTCTAGGCTTACATGAAAAAAACCCGTTTCCAACGAAGGCCTCTAAGTGGTCAAAATATCCACGTGCAGACTTTACAAACAGAGTGTTTCCAAACCGCTGAATGAAAAGAAAAGTTAAACTCTGAGAGTTGAACGCACACATCACGCAGCAGTTTCTGAGAATGATTCTGTCTAGTTTTTATACGAAGATATTTCCTTTTCTGCCTTTGGCCCCAAACCGCTTGAAATCTCCACTTGCAAATTCCACAAAAACAGTGTTTCAAATCTGCTCTCTCTAAATGAAAGTTCAACTCTGTCAGTTGAATACACACAACACAAGGAAGTTACTGAGAATTCTTCTGTCTAGCAGAATATGAAGAAATCCCGTTTCCAACGAAGGCCTCAAGGAGGTCTGAATATCCACTTGCAGACTTTACAAACAGAGTGTTTCCTAACTGCTCTATGAACAGAAAGGTTAAACTCTGTGAGTTGAACGCACACATCACAAAGGAGTTTCTGACAATCATTCTGTCTAGTTTCTATAGGAACATATTTCCTATTCTACCATTGACCTCAAAGCGGCTAAAATCTCCACTTGCAAATTCCACAAAAAGAATGTTTCAAGTCTGCTCTGTGTAAAGGATCGTTCAACTCTGTGAGTTGAATACACACAACACAAGGAAGTTACTGAGAATTCTTCTGTCTAGCAGAATATGAAGAAATCCCGTTTCCAACGAAGGCCACAAGACGTCAGAATATCCACTTACAGACTTTACAAACAGAGTGTTTCCTAACTGCTCTATGAACAGAAAGGTTAAACTCTGTGAGTTGAACGAACACATCACAACGCAGTTTGTGGGAATGATTCTGTCTAGTTTTGAAACGAAGATATTTCCTTTTCTGCCATTGACCTTAAAGCGCTTGAAATCTACACTTGCAAATTGCACAAATAGAGTGTTTCAAATCTGCTCTGTCTAAGGGAACGTTCAACTCTGTGAGTTGAATGCACACAACACAAGGAAGTTACTGGGAATTCTTCTGTCTAGCCTTACAGGAAAAAAACCCGTTTCCAACGAAGGCCTCTAAGTGGTCAAATTATCCACGTGCAGACTTTACAAACAGAGTGTTTCCAAACTGCTGAATGAAAAGAAAAGTTAAACTCTGAGAGTTGAACGCACACATCGCAGAGCAGTTTCTGAGAATGATTCTGTGTAGTTTTTATACGAAGATATTTCCTTTTCTGCCTTTGGCCTCAAAGCGCTTGAAATCTCCACTTGCAAATTCCACAAAAAGAGTGTTTCCAATCTGCTCTGTGTAAATGAAAGTTCAACTCTGTGAGTTGAACACACACATCACAAGGAAGTTACTGGGAATTCTTCTGTCTAGCAGAATATGAAGAAATCCCGTTTCCAACGAAGGCCTCAAGGAGGTCTGAATATCCACTTGCAGACTTTACAAACAGAGTGTTTCCTAACTGTTCTATGAAAAGAAAGGTTAAACTCTGTGAGTTGAACGCACACATCACAAAGGAGTTTATGAGAATCATTCTGTCTAGTTTCTATAGGAAGATATTTCCTATTCTACCATTGACCCCATAGCGGCTGAAATCTCCACTTGCAAATTCCACAAAAAGAGTGTTTCAAGTCTGCTCTGTGTAAAGGATCGTTCAACTCTGTGAGTTGAATACACACAACACAAGGAAGTTACTGAGAATTCTTCTGTCTAGCAGAATATGAAGAAATCCCGTTTCCAACGAAGGCCACAAGATGTCAGAATATCCACTTACAGACGTTACAGAGTGTTTCCTAACTGCTCTATGAACAGAAAGGTTAAACTCTGTGAGTTGAACGAACATATCACAAGGCAGTTTGTGGGAATGATTCTGTCTAGTTTTGAAACGAAGATATTTCCTTTTCTGCCATTGACCTTAAAGCGCTTGAAATCTACACTTGCAAATTGCACAAATAGAGTGTTTCAAATCTGCTCTGTCTAATGGACGTTCAACTCTGTGAGTTGAATGCACACAACACAAGGAAGTTACTGGGAATTCTTCTGTCTAGCCTTACATGAAAAAAACCCGTTTCCAACGAAGGACTCTAAGTGGTCAAAATATCCACGTGCAGACTTTACAAACAGAGTGTTTCCAAACCGCTGAATGAAAAGAAAAGTTAAACTGTGAGAGTTGAACGCACACATCACGCAGCAGTTTCTGAGAATGATTCTGTCTAGTTTTTCTATGAAGATATTTTCTTTTCTACTATTGACCTCAAAGCGGATGAAATCTCCACTTGCAAATTACACAAAAAGAGTGTTTCAAGTCTGCTCTGTGTAAAGGATCGTTCAACTCTGTGAGTTGAATACACACAACACAAGGAAGTTACTGAGAATTCTTCTGTCTAGCAGAATATGAAGAAATCCCGTTTCCAACGAAGGCCTCAAGGAGGTCAGAATATCCACTTGCAGGCTTTACAAACAGAGTGTTTCCTAACTGCTCTATGAAAAGAATGGTTAAACTCTGTGAGTTGAACGCACACATCACAAAGGAGTTTCTGAGAATCATTCTGTCTAGTTTTTATAGGAAGATATTTCCTTTTCTACCTTTGACTTCAAAGCTGCTGAAATCTCCACTTGCGAATTCCACAAAAAGAGTGTTACAAGTCTGCTCTGTGTAAAGGATCGTTCAACTCTGTGAGTTGAATACACACAACACAAGGAAGTTACTGAGAATTCTTCTGTCTAGCCTTACATGAAAAAAACCCGTTTCCAACGAAGGCCTCTAAGTAGTCAAATTATCCACGTGCAGACTTTACAAACAGAATGTTTCCAAACTGCTGAATGAAAAGAAAAGTTGAACTCTGAGAGTTGAACGCACACATCGCAGAGCAGTTTCTGAGAATGATTCTGTCTAGTTTTGAAACGAAGATATTTCCTTTTCTGCCGTTGACCTTAAAGCGCTTGAAATCTACACTTGCAAATTGCACAGAGTGTTTCCAATCTGCTCTGTCTAAGGGAACGTTCAACTCTGTGAGTTGAATGCACACAACACAAGGAAGTTACTGGGAATTCTTCTGTCTAGCCTTACATGAAAAAAACCCGTTTCCAACGAAGGCCTCTACGTGGTCAAAATATCCACGTGCAGACTTTACAAACAGAGTGTTTCCAAACCGCTGAATGAAAAGAAAAGTTAAACTCTGAGAGTTGAACGCACACATCACGCAGCAGTTTCTGAGAATGATCTCTGTCTAGTTTCTATAGGAAGATATTTCCTATTCTACCATTGACCTCAAAGCGGCTGAAATCTCCACTTGCAAATTCCACAAAAAGAGTGTTTCAAGTCTGCTCTGTGTAAAGGATCGTTCAATTCTGTGAGTTGAATACACACAACACAAGGAAGTTACTGAGAATTCTTGTGTCTAGCATAATATGAAGAAATCCCGTTTCCAACGAAGGCCTCAAGGAGGTCTGAATATCCACTTGCAGACTTTACAAACAGAGTGTTTCCTAACTGCTCTATGAAAAGAAAGGTTAAACTCTGTGAGTTGAACGCACACATCACAAAGGAGTTTCTGAGAATCATTCTGTCTAGTCTTTATACGAAGATATTTCCTTTTCTACCATTGACCTCAAAGCGGCTGAAATCTCCACTTGCAAATTCCACAAAAAGAGTGTTTCAAGTCTGCTCTGTGTAAAGGATCGTTCAACTCTGTGAGTTGAATACACACCACACAAGGAAGTTACTGAGAATTCTTCTGTCTAGCAGAATATGAAGAATTCCCGTTTCCAACGAAGGCCTCAAGGAGGTCTGAATATCCACTTGCAGACTTTTCAAACAGAGTGTTTCCTAACTGCTCTATGAAAAGAAAGGTTAAACTCTGTGAGTTGAACGCACACATCACAAAGGAGTTTATGAGAATCATTCTGTCTAGTTTTGAAACGAAGATATTTCCTTTTCTGCCATTGACCTTAAAGCGCTTGAAATCTCCATTTGCCAATTGCACAAAAAGAGTGTTTCAAATCTGCTCTGTCTAAGGGAACGTTCAACTCTGTGAGTTGAATGTACACAACACAAGGAAGTTCCTGGGAATTCTTCTGTCTAGCCTTACAGGAAAAAAACCCGTTTCCAAAGAAGGCCTCTAAGTGGTCAAAATATCCACGTGCAGACTTTACAAACAGAGTGTTTCCAAACTGCTGAATGAAAAGAAAAGTTAAACTCTGAGAGTTGAACGCACACATCGCAGAGCAGTTTCTGAGAATGATTCTGTCTAGTCTTTATACGAAGATATTTCCTTTTCTGCCTTTGGCCGCAAAGCGCTTGAAATCTCCACTTGCAAATTCCACAAAAACAGTGTTTCAAATCTGCTCTCTGTAAATGAAAGTTCAACTCTGTCAGTTGAATACACACAACACAAGGAAGTTACTGAGAATTCTTCTGTCTAGCATAATATGAAGAAATCCCGTTTCCAACGAAGGCCTCAAATGGGTCTGAATATCCACTTGCAGACTTTATAAACAGAGTGTTTCCTAACTGCTCTATGAAAAGAAAGGTTAAACTCTGTGAGTTGAACACACACATCACAAAGGAGTTTCTGAGAATCATTCTGTCTAGTCTTTATACGAAGATATTTCCTTTTCTACCATTGACCTCAAAGCGGCTGAAATCTCCACTTGCAAATTCCACAAAAGAGACTGTTTTCAAGTCTGCTCTGTGTAAAGGATCGTTCAACTCTGTGAGAGGAATACACACAACACAAGGAAGTTACTGAGAATTCTTCTGTCTAGCAGAATATGAAGAAATCCCGTTTCCAACGAAGGCCACAAGATGTCAGAATATCTACTTACAGACTTTACAAACAGAGTTTTTCCTAACTGCTCTATGAACAGAAAGGTTAAACTCTGTGTGTTGAACGAACACATCACAACGCAGTTTGTGGGAATGATTCTGTCTAGTTTTGAAATGAAGATATTTCCTTTTCTGCCATTGACCATAAAGCGCTTGAAATCTACACTTGCAAATTGCACAAATAGAGTGCTTCAAATCTGCTCTGTCTAAGGGAACGTTCAACTCTGTGAGTTGAATGCACACAACACAAGGAAGTTACTGGGAATTCTTCTGTCTAGCCTTACAGGAAAAAAACCCGTTTCCAACGAAGGCCTCTAAGTGGTCAAGTTATCCACGTGCAGACTTTACAAACAGAGTGTTTCCAAACTGCTGAATGAAAAGAAAAGTTAAACTCTGAGAGTTGAACGCACACATCGCAGAGCAGTTTCTGAGAATGATTCTGTCTAGTTTTGAAACGAAGATATTTCCTTTTCTGCCTTTGGCCTCAAAGCGCTTGAAATCTCCACTTGCAAATTCCACAAAAAGAGTGTTTCAAAGATGCTCTGTGTAAATGAAAGTTCAACTCTGTGAGTTGAACACACACAACACAAGGAAGTTACTGGGAATTCTTCTGTCTAGCAGAATATGAAGAAATCCCGTTTCCAACGAAGGCCTCAAAGAGGTCTGAATATCCACTTGCAGACTTTACAAACAGAGTGTTTCCTAACTGCTCTATGAAAAGAAAGGTGAAACTCTGTGAGTTGAACGCACACATCACAAAGGAGTTTCTGAGAATCGTTCTGTCTAGTTTCTATAGGAAGATATTTCCTATTCTACCATTGACCTCAAAGAGGCTGAAATCTCCACTTGCAAATTCCACAAAAAGAGTGTTTCAAGTCTGCTCTGTGTAAAGGATCGTTCAACTCTTTGAGTTGAATACACACAACACAAGGAAGTTACTGAGAATTCTTCTGTCTAGCAGCAATATGAAGAAATCCCGTTTCCAACGAAGGCCACAAGATGTCAGAATATCCACTTACAGAATTTACAAACAGATTGTTTCCTAACTGCTCTATGAAAAGAAAGGTTAAACTCTGTGAGTTGAACGAACACATCACAACGCAGTTTGTGGGAATGATTCTGTCTAGTTTTGAAACGAAGATATTTCCTTTTCTGCCATTGACCTTAAAGCGCTTGAAATCTCCACTTGCCAATTGCACAAAAAGAGTGTTTCAAATCTGCTCTGTCTAAGGGAACGTTCAACTCTGTGAGTTGAATGTACACAACACAAGGAAGTTACTGGGAATTCTTCTGTCTAGCCTTACAGGAAAAAAACCCGTTTCCAACGAAGGCCTCTAAGTGGTCAAAATATCCACGTGCAGACTTTACAAACAGAGTGTTTCCAAACTGCTGAATGAAAAGAAAAGTTAAACTCTGAGAGTTGAACGCACACATCGCACAGCAGTTTCTGAGAATGATTCTGTCTAGTTTTGAAACGAAGATATTTCCTTTTCTGCCTTTGGCCTCAAATCGCTTGAAATCTCCAGTTGCAAATTCCACAAAAAGAGTGTTTCAAATCTGCTCTGTGTAAATGAAAGTTCAACTCTGTGAGTTGAACACACACAACACAAGGAAGTTACTGGGAATTCTTCTGTGTAGCCTTATATGAAAAAAACCCGTTTCCAACGAAGGCCTCAAAGAGGTCTGAATATCCACTTGCAGACTTTACAAACAGAGTGTTTCCTAACTACTCTATGAAAAGAAAGGTTAAACTCTGTGAGTTGTACGCACACATCACAAAGGAGTTTCTGAGAATCATTCTGTCTAGTTTTTATACGAAGATATTTCCTTTTCTACCATTGACCTCAAAGCGGCTGAAATATCCAATTGCAAGTTCCACAAAAAGAGTGTTTCTAATCTGCTCTGTGTAAAGGATCTTTCAACTCTGTGATTTGAATGCACACAACACAAGGAAGTTACTGAGAATTCTTCTGTCTAGCAGAATATGAAGAAATCCCGTTTCCAAGGAAGGCCACAAGATGTCAGAATATCCACTTACAGAATTTACAAACAGACTGTTTCCTAACTGCTCTATGAAAAGCAAGGTTAAACTGCTGTGAGTTGAACGAACACATCACAACGCAGTTTGTGGGAATGATTCTGTCTAGTTTTGAGATGAAGATATTTTCTTTTCTGCCATTGACCCTAAAGCGCTTGAAATCTCCACTTCCAAATTGCACAAAAAGAGTGTTTCAAATCTGCTCTGTCTAAGGGAAAGTTCAACTCTGTGAGTTGAATACACACAACACAAGGAAGTTACTGGGAATTCTTCTGTCTAGCCTTACATGAAAAAAACCCGTTTCCAACGAAGGCCTCTAAGTGGTCAAAATTTCCACGTGCAGACTTTACAAACAGAGTGTTTCCAAACCGCTGAATGAAAAGAAAAGTTAAACTCTGAGAGTTGAAGGCACACATCACGCAGCAGTTTCTGAGAATGATTCTGTCTAGTTTTTATACGAAGATATTTCCTTTTCTGCCTTTAGCCCCAAAGCGCTTGAAATCTCCACTTGCAAATTCCACAAAAAGAGTGTTTCAAGTCTGCTCTGTGTAAAGGATCGTTCAACTCTGTGAGTTGAATACACACAACACAAGAAAGTTACTGAGAATTCTTCTGTCTAGCATAGTATGAAGAAATTCCGTTTCCAACGAAGGCCTCAAAGAGGTCTGAATATCCACTTGCACAGTTTACAAACAGAGTGTTTCCTAACTGCTCTATGAGAAGAAAGGTTAAACTCTGTGAGTTGAACGCACACATCACAATGAAGTTTCTGAGAATCATTCTGCCTAGTTTCTATAGGAAGATATTTCCTATTCTACCATTGACCTCAAAGAGGCTGAAATCTCCACTTGCAAATTCCACAAAAAGAGTGTTTCAAGTCTGCTCTGTGTAAAGGATCGTTCAACTCTGTGAGTTGAATACACACAACACAAGGAAGTTACTGAGAATTCTTCTGTCTAGCAGAATATGAAGAAATCCCGTTTCCAACGAAGGCCACAAGATGTCAGAACATTCACTTACAGACTTTACAAACAGAGTGTTTCCTAACTGCTCTATGAACAGAAAGGTTAAACTCTGTGAGTTGAACGAACACATCACAACGCAGTTTGTGGGAATGATTCTGTCTAGTTTTGAAACGAAGATATTTCCTTTTCTTCCATTGACTTTAAAGCGCTTGAAATCTACACTTGCAAATTGCACAAATAGAGTGTTTCAAATCTGCTCTGTCTAAGGGAACGTTCAACTCTGTGAGTTGAATGCACACAACACAAGGAAGTTACTGGGAATTCTTCTGTCTAGCCTTACATGAAAAAAACCCGTTTCCAACGAAGGCCTCTAAGTGGTCAAAATATCCACGTGCAGACTTTACAAACAGAGTGTTTCCAAACCGCTGAATGAAAAGAAAAGTTAAACTCTGAGAGTTGAACGCACACATCACGCAGCAGTTTCTGAGAATGATTTCTGTCTAGTTTTTATACGAAGATATTTCCTTTTCTGCCTTTGGCCCCAAAGCGCTTGAAATCTCCACTTGCAAATTCCACAAAAATAGTGTTTCAAATCTGCTCTCTCCAAATGAAAGTTCAACTCTGTCAGTTGAATACACACAACACAAGGAATTTACTGAGAATTCTTCTGTCTAGCATAATATGAAGAAATCCCGTTTCCAACGAAGGCCTCAAAGAGGTCTGAATATCCACTTGCAGACTTTACAGAGTGTTTCCTAACTGCACTATGAAAAGAAAGGTTAAACTCTGTGAGTTGTACGCACACATCACAAAGGAGTTTCTGAGAATCATTCTGTCTAGTTTCTATAGGAAGATATTTCCTATTCTACCATTGAACTCAAAGCGGCTGAAATCTCCACTTGCAAATTTCACAAAAAGAGTGTTTCAAGTCTGCTCTGTGTAAAGGATCGTTCAACTCTGTGAGTTGAATACACACAACACAAGGAAGTTACTGAGAATTCTTCTGTCTAGCATAATATTAAGAAATCCCGTTTCCAACGAAGGCCTCAAGGAGGTCTGAATATCCACTTGCAGACTTTACAAACAGAGTGTTTCCTAACTGCTCTATGAAAAGAAAGGTTAAACTCTGTGAGTTGAACGCACACATCACAAAGGAGTTTCTCAGAATAATTCTGTCTAGTTTTGAAACGAAGATATTTCCTTTTCTGCCGTTGACCTTAAAGCGCTTGAAATCTACACTTGCAAATTGCACAAATAGAGTGTTTCAAATCTGCTCTGTCTAAGGGAACGTTCAACTCTGTGAGTTGAATGCACACAACACAAGGAAGTTACTGGGAATTCTTCTGTCTAGCCTTACAGGAAAAAAACCCGTTTCCAACGAAGGCCTCTAAGTGGTCAAAATATCCACGTGCAGACTTTACAAACAGAGTGTTTCCAAACTGCTGAATGAAAAGAAAAGTCAAACTCTGAGAGTTGAACGCACACATCGCAGAGCAGTTTCTGAGAATGATTCTGTCTAGTTTTGAAACGAAGATATTTCCTTTTCTGCCTTTGGCCTCAAAGCGCTTGAAATCTCCACTTGCAAATTCCACAAAAAGAGTGTTTCAAATCTTCTCTGTGTAAATGAAAGTTCAACTCTGTGAGTTGAACACACACAACACAAGGAAGTTACTGGGAATTCTTCTGTCTAGCATAATATGAAGAAATCCCGTTTCCAACGAAGGCCACAAGGAGGTCTGAATATCCACTTGCAGACTTTACAAACAGAGTGTTTCCTAACTGCTCTATGAAAAGAAAGGTTAAACTCTGTGAGTTGAATGCACACATCACAAAGGAGTATCTGAGAATCATTCTGTCTAGTCTTTATACGAAGATATTTACTTTTCTACCATTGACCTCAAAGCGGCTGAAATCTCCACTTGCAAATTCCACAAAAAGAGTGTTTCAAGTCTGCTCTGTGTAAAGGATCGTTCAACTCTGTGAGTTGAATACACACAACACAAGGAAGTTACTGAGAATTCTTCTGTCTAGCAGAATACGAAGAAATCCCGTTTCCAACGAAGGCCACAAGATGTCAGAATATCCACTTACAGACTTTACAAACAGAGTGTTTCCTAACTGCTCTATGAACAGAAAGGTTAAACTCTGTGAGTTGAACGAACACATCACAACGCAGTTTGTGGGAATGATTCTGTCTAGTTTTGAAACGAAGATATTTCCTTTTCTGCCATTGACCTTAAAGCGCTTGAAATCTACACTTGCAAATTGCACAAATAGAGTGTTTCAAACCTGCTCTGTCTAAGGGAACGTTCAACTCTGTGAGTTGAATGCACACAACACAAGGAAGTTACTGGGAATTCTTCTGTCTAGCCTTACATGAAAAAAACCCGTTTCCAACGAAGGCCTCTAAGTGGTCAAAATATCCACGTGCAGACTTTTCAAACAGAGTGTTTCCAAACCGCTGAATGAAAAGAAAAGTTAAACTCTGAGAGTTGAACGCACACATCACGCAGCAGTTTCTGAGAATGATTCTGTCTAGTGTTTATACGAAGATATTTCCTTTTCTGCCTTTGGCCCCAAAGCTCTTGAAATCTCCATTTGCAAATTCCACAAAAACAGTGTTTCAAATCTGCTCTCTCTAAATGAAAGTTCAACTCTGTCAGTTGAATACACACAACACAAGGAAGTTACTGAGAATTCTTCTGTCTAGCCTTATATGAAAAAAACCCGTTTCCAACGAAGGCCTCAAAGAGGTCTGAATATCCACTTGCAGACTTTACAAACAGAGTGTTTCCTAACTGCTCTATGAAAACAAAGGTTAAACTCTGTGAGTTGAACGCACACATCACAAAGGAGTTTCTGAGAATCATTCTGTCTAGTCTTTATACGAAGATATTTACTTTTCTACCATTGACCTCAAAGCGGCTGAAATCTCCATTTGCAATTTCCACAAAAAGTGTGTTTCAAGTCTGCTCTGTGTAAAGGATCATTCAACTCTGTGAGTTGAATAAACACAACACAAGGAAGTTATTGAGAATTCTTCTGTCTAGCAGAATATGAAGAAATCCCGTTTCCAACGAAGGCCACAAGATGTCTGAATATCCACTTACAGACTTTACAAACAGAGTGTTTCCTAACTGCTCTATGAACAGAAAGGTTAAACTCTGTGAGTTGAACGAACACATCACAACGCAGTTTGTGGGAATGATTCTGTCTAGTTTTGAAACGAAGATATTTCCTTTTCTGCCATTGACCTTAAAACTCTTGAAATCTCCACTTGCCAATTTCACAAAAAGAGTGTTTCAAATCTGCTCTGTCTAAGTTAACGTTCAACTCTGTGAGTTGAATGTACACAACACAAGGAAGTTACTGGGAATTCTTCTGTCTAGCCTTACAGGAAAAAAACCCGTTTCCAACGAAGGCCTCTAAGTGGTCAAAATATCCACGTGCAGACTTTACAAACAGAGAGTTTACAAACTGCTGAATGAAAAGAAAAGTTAAACTCTGAGAGTTGAACGCACACATCGCAGAGCAGTTTCTGAGAATGATTCTGTCTAGTTTTTATACGAAGATATTTCCTTTTCTGCCTTTGGCCTCAAAGCGCTTGAAATCTCCACTTGCAAATTCCACAAAAAGAGTGTTTCAAATCTGCTCTTTGTATATGAAAGTTCAACTCTGTGAGTTGAACACACACAACACAAGGAAGTTACTGGGAATCCTTCTGTCTAGCATAATATGAAGAAATACCGTTTCCAACGAAGGCCTCAAAGAGGTCTGAATATCCACTTGCAGACTTTACAAACAGAGTGTTTCCTAACTGCTCTATGAAAAGAAAGGTTAAACTCTGTGAGTTGAACGCACACATCACAAAGGAGTTTCTGAGAATCATTCTGTCTAGTTTTTATAGGAAGATATTTCCTTTTCTACCTTTGACTTCAAAGCGGCTGAAATCTCCACTTGCAAATTCCACAAAAAGAGTGTTTCAAGTCTGCTACTGTGTAAAGGATCATTCAACTCTGTGAGTTGAATACACACAACACAAGGAAGTTACTGAGAATTCTTCTGTCTAGCAGAATATGAAGAAATCCCGTTTCCAACGAAGGCCCCAAGATGTCAGAATATCCACTTACAGAATTTACAAACAGAGTGTTTCCTAACTGCTCTATGAAAAGAAAGGTTAAACTCTGTGAGTTGAACGAACACTTCACAACGCAGTTTGTGGGAATGATTCTGTCTAGTTTTGAAACGAAGATATTTCCTTTTCTGCCATTGACCTTAAAGCGCTTGAAATCTCCATTTGCCAATTGCACAAAAAGAGTGTTTCAAATCTGCTCTGTCTAAGGGAACGTTCAACTCTGTGAATTGAATGTACACAACACAAGGAAGTTACTGGGAATTCTTCTGTCTAGCCTTACATGAAAAAAACCCGTTTCCAACGAAGGCCTCTAAGTGGTCAAATTATGCACGTGCAGACTTTACAAACAGAGGGTTTCCAAACTGCTGAATGAAAAGAAAAGTTAAACTCTGAGAGGTGAACGCACACATCGCAGAGCAGTTTCTGAGAATCATTCTGTCTAGTTTTGAAACGAAGATATTTCCTTTTCTGCCTTTGGCCTCAAAGCGCTTGAAATCTCCATTTGCAAATTCCACAAAAAGAGTGTTTCAAATCTGCTCTGTGTAAATGAAAGTTCAACTCTGTGAGTTGAACACACACAGCACAAGGAAGTTACTGGGAATTCTTCTGTCTAGCAGAATAGGAAGAAATCCCGTTTCCAACGAAGGCCTCAAAGAGGTCTGAATATCCACTTGCAGACTTTACAAACAGAGTGTTTCCTAACTGCTCTATGAAAAGAAAGGTTAAACTCTGTGAGTTGAACGCACACATCACAATGGAGTTTCTGAGAATCGTTCTGTCTAGTTTCTATAGGAAGATATTTCCTATTCTACCATTGACCTCAAAGCGGCTGAAATCTCCACTTGCAAATTCCACAAAAAGAATGTTTCAAGTCTGCTCTGTGTAAAGGATCGTTCAACTCTGTGAGTTGAATACACACAACGCAAGGAAGTTACTGAGAATTCTTCTGTATAGCATAATATGAAGAAATCCCGTTTCCAACGAAGGCCACAAGATGTCAGAATATCCACTTAGAGACTTTACAAACAGAGTGTTTCCTAACTGCTCTATGAAAAGAAAGGTTAAACTCTGTGAGTTGAACGAACACATCACAACGCAGTTTGTGGGAATGATTCTGTCTAGTTTTGAAACGAAGATATTTCCTTTTCTGCCGTTGACCTTAAAGCGCTTGAAATCTACACTTGCAAATTGGACAAATAGAGTGTTTCAAATCTGCTCTGTCTAAGGGAACGTTCAACTCTGTGAGTTGAATGCACACAACACAAGGAAGTTACTGGGAATTCTTCTGTCTAGCCTTACATGAAAAAAACCCGTTTCCAATGAAGGCCTCTAAGTGGTCAAATTATCCACGTGCAGACTTTACAAACAGAGTGTTTCCAAACTGCTGAATGAAAAGAAAAGTTAAACTGTGAGAGTTGAACGCACACATCGCAGAGCAGTTTCTGAGAATGATTCTGTCTAGTTTTTATACGAAGATATTTCCTTTTCTGCCTTTGGCCCAAAAGCGCTTGAAATCTCCACTTGCAAATTCCACAAAAACAGTGTTTCAAATCTGCTGTCTCTAAATGAAAGTTCAACTCTGTCAGTTGAATACACACAACACAAGGAAGTTACTGAGAATTCTTCTGTGTAGCAGAATATGAATAAATCCCGTTTCCAACGAAGGCCTCAAAGGGGTCTGAATATCCACTTGCAGACTTTATAAACAGAGTGTTTACTAACTGCTCTATGAAAAGGAAGGTTAAACTCTGTGAGTTGAAAACACACATCACAAAGGAGTTTCTGAGAATCATTCTGTGTAGTTTTTCTACGAAGATATTTCCTTTTCTACTATTGACCTCAAAGCGGCTGAAATCTCCACTTACAAATTCCACAAAAAGAGTGTTTCAAGTCTGCTCTGTGTAAAGGATCATTCAACTCTGTGAGTTGAATAAACACAACACAAGGAAGTTACTGAGAATTCTTCTGTCTAGCAGAATATGAAGTAATCCCGTTTCCAACGAAGGCCACAAGATGTCAGAATATCCACTTACAGACTTTACAAACAGAGTGTTTCCTAACTGCTCTATGAACAGAAAGGTTAAACTCTGTGAGTTGAACGAACCCATCACAACGCAGTTTGTGGGAATGATTCTGTCTAGTTTTGAAACGAAGATATTTCCTTTTCTGCCCTTGACCTTAAAGCGCTTGAAATCTACACTTGCAAATTGCACAAATAGAGTGTTTCAAATCTGCTCTGTCTAAGGGAACGTTCAACTCTGTGAGTTGAATGCACACAACACAAGGAAGTTACTGGGAATTCTTCTGTCTAGCCTTACAGGAAAAAAACCCGTTTCCAATGAAGGCCTCTAAGTGGTCAAAATATCCACGTGCAGACTTTACAAACAGAGTGTTTCCAAACTGCTGAATGAAAAGAAAAGTTAAACTCTGAGAGTTGAACGCACACATCGCAGAGCAGTTTCTGAGAATGATTCTGTCTAGTTTTTATACGAAGATATTTCCTTTTCTGCCTTTGACCTCAAAGCGCTTGAAATCTCCATTTGCAAATTCCACAAAAAGAGAGTTTCAAATCTGCTCTGTGTAAATGAAAGTTCAACTCTGTGAGTTGAACACACACAACACAAGGGAAGTTACTGGGAATTCTTCCTTCTAGCAGAATATGAAGAAATCCCGTTTCCAACGAAAGCCTCAAGGATGTCTGAATATCCACTTGCAAACTTTACAAACAGAGTGTTTCCCAACTGCTCTATGAAAAGAAAGGTTAAACTCTGTGAGTTGAACGCACACATCACAAAGGAGTTTCTGAGAATCATTCTGTCTAGTTTTTATACGAAGATATTTCCTTTTCTACCATTGACTTCAACGCGGGTGAAATCTCCACTTGCAAATTCCACAAAAAGAGCGTTTCAAGTCTGCTCTGTGTAAAGGATCGTTCAAATCTGTGAGTTGAATACACACAACACAAGGAAGTTACTGAGAATTCTTCTGTCTAGGAGAATATGAAGAAATCCCATTTCCAACGAAGGCCACAAAATGTCAGAATATCCACTTACAGACTTTACAAACAGAGTGTTTCCTAACTGCGCTATGAACAGAAAGGTTAAACTCTGTGAGTTGAACGAACACATCACAACGCAGTTTGTGGGAATGATTCTGTTTAGTTTTGAAACGAAGATATTTCCTTTTCTGCCGTTGACCTTAAAGCGCTTGAAATCTACACTTGCAAATTGCACAAATAGAGTGTTTCAAATCTGCTCTGTCTAAGGGAACGTTCAACTCTGTGAGTTGAATGCACACAACACAAGGAAGTTACTGGGAATTCTTCTGTCTAGCCTTACATGAAAAAAACCCGTTTCCAACGAAGGCCTCTAAGTGGTCAAATTATCCACGTGCAGACTTTACAAACAGAGTGTTTCCAAACTGCTGAATGAGAAGAAAAGTTAAACTCTGAGAGTTGAACGCACACATCGCAGAGCAGTTTCTGAGAATGATTCTGTCTAGTTTTTATACGAAGATATTTCCTTTTCTGCCTTTGGCCTCAAAGCGCTTGAAATCTCCATTTGCAAATTCCACAAAAAGAGTGTTTCAAATCTGCTCAGTGTAAATGAAAGTTCAACTGTGTGAGTTGAACACACACAACACAAGGAAGTTACTGGGAATTCTTCTGTCTAGCATAATATGAAGAAATCCCGTTTCCAAAGAAGGCCTCAAAGGGGTCTGAATATCCACTTGCAGACTTTATAAACAGAGTGTTTACGAACTGCTCTATGAAAAGAAAGGTTAAACTCTGTGAGTTGAACACACACATCACAAAGGAGTTTCTGAGAATCATTCTGTCTAGTCTTTATACGAAGATATTTCCTTTTCCACCATTGACCTCAAAGCGGATGAAATCTCCACTTGCAAATTCCACAAAAAGAGTGTTTCAAGTCTGCTCTGTGTAAAGGATCGTTCAACTCTGTGAGTTGAATACACGCAACACAAGGAAGTTACTGAGAATTGTTCTGTCTAGCATAATATGAAGAAATCCCGTTTCCAACGAAGGCCTCAAGGAGGTCTGAATATCCACTTGCAGACTTTACAAACAGAGTTTTTTCTAACTGCTCTATGAAAAGAAAGGTGAAACTCTGTGAGTTGAATGCACACATCACAAAGGAGTTTATGAGAATCATTCTGTCTAGTTTTGAAACGAAGATATTTCCTTTTCTGCCATTGACCTTAAAGCGCTTGAAATCTACACTTGCAAATTGCACAAATAGAGTGTTTCAAATCTGCTCTGTCTAAGGGAACGTTCAACTCTGTGAGTTGAATGCACACAACACAAGGAAGTTACTGGGAATTCTTCTGTCTAGCCTTACATGAAAAAAACCCGTTTCCAACGAAGGCCTCTAAGTGGTCAAATTATTCACGTGCAGACGTTACAAACAGAGTGTTTCCAAACTGCTGAATGAAAAGAAAAGTTAAACTCTGAGAGTTGAACGCACACATCGCAGAGCAGTTTCTGAGAATGATTCTGTCTAGTTTTTATACGAACATATTTCCTTTTCTGCCTTTGGCCTCAAAGCGCTTGAAATCTCCATTTTCAAATTCCACAAAAAGAGTGTTTCAAATCTGCTCTGTGTAAATGAAAGTTCAACTGTGTGAGTTGAACACACACAACACAAGGAAGTTACTGGGAATTCTTCTGTCTAGACTTATATGAAAAAAACCCGTTTCCAACGAAGGCCTCAAAGAGGTCTGAATATCCACTTGCAGACTTTACAAACAGAGTGTTTCCTAACTGCTCTATGAAAAGAAAGGTTAAACTCTGTGAGTTGAACGCACACATAACAAAGGAGTTTCTGAGAATCATTCTGTCTAGTCTTTATACGAAGATATTTACTTTTCTACCATTGACCTCAAAGCGGCTGAAATCTCCACTTGCAATTTCCACAAAAAGTGTGTTTCAAGTCTGCTCTGTGTAAAGGATCATTCAACTCTGTGAGTTGAATAAACACAACACAAGGAAGTTACTGAGAATTCTTCTGTCTAGCAGAATATGAAGAAATCCCGTTTCCAACGAAGGCCAAAAGGAGGTCTGAATATCCACTTGCAGACTTTACAAACAGAGTGTTTCCTAACTGCTCTATGAAAAGAAAGGTTAAACTCTGTGAGTTGAACGCACACATCACAAAGGAGTTCATGAGAATCATTCTGTCTAGTTTTGAAACGAAGATATTTCCTTTTCTGCCATTGACCTTAAAGCGCTTGAAATCTCCACTTGCCAATTGCACAAAAAGAGTGTTTCAAATCTGCTCTGTCTAAGGGAACGTTCAACTCTGTGAGTTGAATGTACACAACGCAAGGAAGTTACTGGGAATTCTTCTGTCTAGCCTTACAGGAAAAAAAACCGTTTCCAACGAAGTCCTCTAAGTGGTCAAGTTATCCACGTGCAGACGTTATAAACAGAGTGTTTCCAAACTGCTGAATGAAAAGAAAAGTTAAACTCTGAGAGTTGAACGCACACATCGCAGAGCAGTTTCTGAGAATGATTCTGTCTAGTTTTGAAACGAAGACATTTCCTTTTCTGCCTTTGGCCTCAAAGCGCTTGAAATCTCCACTTGCAAATTCCAAAAAAAGAGTGTTTCAAATCTGCTCTGTGTAAATGAAAGTTCAACTCTGTGAGTTGAACACACACAACACAAGGAAGTTACTGGGAATTCTTCTGTCAAGCCTTATCTTGTAAAAAACCCGTTTCCAACGAAGGCCTCAAAGAGGTCTGAATATCCACTTGCAGACTTTACAAACAGAGTGTTTCCTAACTGCTCTATGAAAAGAAAGGTTAAACTCTGTGAGTTGAACGCACACATCACAAAGGAGTTTCTGAGAATCATTCTGTCTAGTTTTTATAGGAAGATATTTCCTATTCTACCATTGACCTAAAAGCGGCTGAAGTCTCCACTTGCAAATTCCACAAAAAGAGTGTTTCAAGTCTGCTCTGTGTAAAGGATCGTTCAACTCTGTGAGTTGAAAACACACAACACAAGGAAGTTTCTGAGAATTCTTCTGTCTAGCAGAATATGAAGAAATCCCGTTTCCAACGAAGGCCACAAGATGTCAGAATATCCACTTACAGAATTTACAAACAGACTGTTTCCTAAGTGCTCTATGAAAAGAAAGGTTAAACTCTGTGAGTTGAACGAACACATCACAACGCAGTTTGTGGGAATGATTCTGTCTAGTTTTTATAGGAAGATATTTCATTTTCTACCTTTGACTTCAAAGCGGCTGAAATCACCACTTGCAAATTCCACAAAAAGAGTGTTACAAGTCTGCTCTGTGTAAAGGATCGTTCAACTCTTTGAGTTGAATACACACAACACACGGAAGTTACTGAGAATTCTTCTGTCTAGCCTTACATGCAAAAAACCCGTTTCCAACGAAGGCCTCTAAGTGGTCAAAATATCCACGTGCAGACTTTACAAACAGAGTGTTTCGAAACCGCTGAATGAAAAGAAAAGTTAAACTCTGAGAGTTGAACGCACACATCACGCAGCAGTTTCTGAGAATGATTCTGTCTAGTTTTTATACGAAGATATTTCCTTTTCTGCCTTTGGCCCCAAAGCGCTTGAAATCTCCACTTGCAAATTCCACAAAAACAGTGTTTCAAATCTGCTCTCTCCAACTGAAAGTTCAACTCTGTCAGTTGAATACACACAACACAAGGAAGTTACTGAGAATTCTTCTGTCTAACCTTATATGAAAAAAACCCGTTTCCAACGAAGGCTTCAAAGAGGTCTGAATATCCACTTGCAGACTTTACAAACAGAGTGTTTCCTAACTGCTCTATGAAAAGAAAGGTTAAACTCTGTGAGTTGAACACACACATCACAAAGGAGTTTCTGAGAATCATTCTGTCTAGTCTTTATACGAAGATATTTCCTTTTCTACCATTGACCTCAAAGCGGCTGAAATCTCCACTTGCAAATTCCACCAAAAGTGTGTTTCAAGTCTGCTCTGTGTAAAGGATCGTTCAACTCTGTGAGTTGAATACACACAACACAAGGGAGTTACTGAGAATTATTCTGTCTAGCAGAATATGAAGAAATCCCGTTTCCAACGAAGGCCACAAGGATGTCAGAATATCCACTAACAGACTTTACACAGTGTTTCCTAACTGCTCTATGAACAGAAAGGTTAAACTCTGTGAGTTGAACGAACACATCACAACGCAGTTTGTGGGAATGATTCTGTCTAGTTTTGAAACGAAGATATTTCCTTTTCTGCCATTGACCTTAAAGCGCTTGAAATCTCCACTTGCCAATTGCACAAAAAGAGTGTTTCAAATCTGCTCTGTCTAAGGGAACGTTCAACTCTGTGAGTTGAATGTACACAACGCAAGGAAGTTACTGGGAATTCTTCTGTCTAGCCTTACAGGAAAAAAACCCGTTTCCAACAAAGGCCTCTAAGTGGTCAAAATATCCACGTGCAGACTTTACAAACAGAGTGTTTCCAAACTGCTGAATGAAAAGAAAAGTTAAACTCTGAGAGTTGAACGCACACATCGCAGAGCAGTTTCTGAGAATGATTCTGTCTAGTTTTTATACGAAGATATTTCCTTTTCTACCATTGACCTCAAAGCGGCTGAAATCTCCACTTGCAAATTCCACAAAAAGAGTGTTTCAAGTCCGCTCTGTGTAAAGGATCGTTCAACTCTGTGAGTTGAATACACACAACACAAGGAAGTTACTGAGAATTCTACTGTCTAGCACAGTATGAAGAAATCCCGTTTCCAACGAAGGCCTCAAAGGGGTGTGAATATCCACTTGCAGAGTTTACAAACAGAGTGTTTCCTAACTGCTCTATGAAAAGAAAGGTTAAACTCTGTGAGTTGAACGCACACATCACAATGAAGTTTCTGAGAATCATTCTGTCTATTCTTTATACGAAGATATTTCCTTTTCTACCATTGACCTCAAAGCGGCTGAAATCTCCACTTGCAAATTCCACAAAAAGAGTTTTTCAAGTCTGCTCTCTGTAAAGGATCGTTCAACTCTGTGAGTTGAATACACACAACACAAGGAAGTTACTGAGAATTATTCTGTCTAGCAGAATATGAAGAAATCCCGTTTCCAACGAAGGCCACAAGATGTCAGAATATCCACTTACAGAATTTACAAACAGACTGTTTCTTAACTGCTCTATGAAAAGAAAGGTTAAACTCTGTGAGTTGAACGAACACATGACAACGCAGTTTGTGGGAATGATTCTGTCTAGTTTTGAAACGGAGATATTTCCTTTTCTGCCATTGACCTTAAAGCGCTTAAAATCTCCACTTTCCAATTGCACAAAAAGAGTGTTTCAAATCTGCTCTGTCTAAGGGAACGTTCAACTCTGTGAGTTGAATGTACACAACACAAGGAAGTTACTGGGAATTCTTCTGTCTAGCCTTACATGAAAAAAACCCGTTTCCAACGAAGGCCTCTAAGTGGTCAAAATTTCCACGTGCAGACTTTACAAACAGAGTGTTTCCAAACTGCTGAATGAAAAGAAAAGTTAAACTCTGAGAGTTGAACGCACACATCACGCAGCAGTTTCTGAGAATGATTCTGTCTAGTTTTTATACGAAGATATTTCCTTTTCTGCCTTTGGTCTCAAAGCGCTTGAAATCTCCATTTGCAAATTCCACAAAAAGAGTGTTTCAAATCTGCTCTGTGTAAATGAAAGTTCAACTCTGTGAGTTGAACACACACAACACAAGGAAGTTACTGGGAATTCTTCTGTCTAGCATAGTATGAAGAAATCCCGTTTTCAACGAAGGCCTCAATGAGGTCTGAATATCCACTTGCAGAATTTACAAACAGAGTGTTTCCTAACTGCTCTATGAAAAGAAAGGTTAAACTCTGTGAGTTGAACGCACACATCACAAAGAAGATTCTGAGAATCATTCTGTCTAGTTTTTGTACGAAGATATTTCCTTTTCTACCATGGACCTCAAAGCGGCTGAAATGTCCACTTGCAAATTCCACAAAAAGAGTGTTTCAAGTCTGCTCTGTGTAAAGGATCGTTCAACTCTGTGAGTTGAATACACACAACACAAGGAAGATTCTGAGAATTCTTCTGTCTAGCAGAATATGAAGAAATCCCGTTTCCAACGAAGGCCACAAGATGTCAGAATATCCACCTACAGAATTTACCAACAGAGTGTTTCCTAACTGCTCTATGAAAAGAAAGGTTAAACTCTGTGAGTTGAACGAACACATCACAACGCAGTTTGTGGGAATGATTCTGTCTAGTTTTGAAACGAAGATATTTCCCTTTCTGCCATTGACCTTAAAGCGCTTGAAATCTCCACTTGCCAATTGCACAAAAAGAGTGTTTCAAATCTGCTCTGTCTAAGGGAACGTTCAACTCTGTGAGTTGAATGTACACAACACAAGGAAGTTACTGGGAATTCTTCTGTCTAGCCTTACATGAAAAAAACCCGTTTCCAACGAAGGCCTCTAAGTGGTCAAAATATCCACGTGCAGACTTTACAAACAGAGTGTTTCCAAACCGCTGAATGAAAAGAAAAGTTAAACTCTGAGAGTTGAACGCACACATCACGCAGCAGTTTCTGAGAATGATTCTGTCTAGTTTTTATACGAAGATATTTCGTTTTCTGCCTTTGGCCCCAAAGCGCTTGAAATCTCCACTTGCAAATTCCACAAAAACAGTGTTTCAAATCTGCTCTCTCTAAATGAAAGTTCAACTCTGTCAGTTCAATAAACACAACACAAGGAAGTTACTGAGAATTCTTCTGTCTAGCAGAATATGAAGAAATCCCGTTTCCAACGAAGTCCTCAAGGAGGTCTGAATATCCACTTGCAGACTTTACAAACAGAGTGTTTCCTAACTGCTCTATGAAAAGAAAGGTGAAACTCTGTGAGTTGAACACACACATCACAAAGGAGTTTCTGAGAATCATTCTGTCTAGTTTCTATAGGAAGATATTTCCTATTCTACCATTGACCTCAAAGCGGCTGAAATCTCCACTTGCAATTTCCACAAAAAGAGTGTTTCAAGTCTGCTGTGTGTAAAGGATCGTTCAACTCTGTGAGTAGAATACACACAACACAAGGAAGTTACTGAGAATTCTTCTGTCTAGCAGAATATGAAGAAATCCCGTTTCCAACGATGGCCACAAGTATGTCAGAATATCCACTTACAGACTTTACAAACAGAGTGTTTCCTAACTGCTCTATGAACAGAAAGGTTAAACCCTGTGAGTTGAACGAACACATCACAACGCAGTTTGTGGGAATGATTCTGTCTAGTTTTTATACGAAGATATTTCCTTTTCTACCATTGACCTCAAAGCGGCTGAAATCACCACTTGCCAATTGCACAAAAAGAGTGTTTCAAATCTGCTCTGTCTAAGGGAACGTTCAACTCTGTGAGTTGAATGTACACAACACAAGGAAGTTACTGGGAATTCTTCTGTCTAGCGTTACAGGAAAAAAACCCGTTTCCAACGAAGGCCTCTAAGTGGTCAAAACATCGACGTGCAGACTTTACAAACAGAGTGTTTACAAACTGCTGAATGAAAAGAAAAGTTAAACTCTGAGAGTTGAACGCACACATTGCAGAGCAGTTTCTGAGAATGATTCTGTCTAGTTTTTATACGAAGATATTTCCTTTTCTGCCTTTGGCCTCAAAGCGCTTGAAATCTCCACTGGCAAATTCCACAAAAAGAGTGTTTCAAATCTGCTCTTTGTAAATGAAAGTTCAACTCTGTGAGTTGAACACACACAACACAAGGAAGTTACTGGGAATCCTTCTGTCTAGCATAATAGGAAGAAATCCCGTTTCCAACGAAGGCCTCAAGGAGGTCTGAGTATCCACTTGCAGACTTTACAAGCAGAGTGTTTCCTAACTGCTCTATGAAAAGAAAGGTTAAACTCTGTGAGTTGAATGCACACAGCACAAAGGAGTTTCTCAGAATCATTCTGTCTAGTTTTTATAGGAAGATATTTCCTTTTCTACCTTTGACTTCAAAGCGGCTGAAATCTCCACTTGCAAATTCCACAAAAAGAGTGTTACTAGTCTGCTCTGTGTAAAGGATCGTTCAACTCTGTGAGTTGAATACACACAACACAAGGAAGTTACTGAGAATTCTTCTGTCTAGAAGAATATGAAGAAATCCCGTTTCCAACGAAGGCCACAAGATGTCAGAATATCCACTTACAGACTTTACAAACAGAGTGTTTCCTAACTGCTCTATGAACAGAAAGGTTAAACTCTGTGAGTTGAACGAACACATCACAACGCAGTTTGTGGGAATGATTCTGTCTAGTTTTGAAACGAAGATATTTCCTTTTCTGCCGTTGACCTTAAAGCGCTTGAAATCTACACTTGCAAATTGCACAAATAGAGTGTTTCAAATCTGCTCTGTCTAAGGGAACGTTCAACTCTGTGAGTTGAATGCACACAACACAAGGAAGTTACTGGGAATTCTTCTGTCTAGCCTTATATGAAAAAAACCCGTTTCCAAAGAAGGCCTCTAAGTGGTCAAATTATCCACGTGCAGACTTTACAAACAGAGTGTTTCCAAACTGCTGAATGAAAAGAAAAGTTAAACTCTGAGAGTTGAACGCACACATCGCAGAGCAGTTTCTGAGAATGATTCTGTCTAGTTTTTATACGAAGATATTTCCTTTTCTGCCTTTGGCCCCGAAGCGCTTGAAATCTCCACTTGCAAATTCCACAAAAACAGTGTTTCAAATCTGCTCTCTCTAAATGAAAGTTCAACTCTGTCAGTTGAATACACACAACACAAGGAAGTTACTGAGAATTCTTCTGTCTAGCATAATATGAAGAAATCCCGTTTCCAACGAAGGCCTCAAGGAGGTCTGAATATCCACTTGCAGACTTTACAAACAGAGTGTTTCCTAACTGCTCTATGAAAAGAAAGGTTAAACTCTGTGAGTTGAACGCACACATCACAAAGGAGTTTCTGAGGATCATTCTGTCTAGTTTCTATAGGAAGATATTTCCTATTCTACCATTGACCTCAAAGCGGCTGAAATCTCCACTTGCAAATTCCACAAATAGAGTGTTTCAAGTCTGCTCTGTGTAAAGGATCGTTCAACTCTGTGAGTTGAATACACACAACACAAAGAAGTTACTGAGAATTCTTCTGTCTAGCACAGTATGAAGAAATCCCGTTTCCAACGAAGGCCACAAGATGTCAGAATATCCACTTACAGAATTTACAAACAGACTGTTTCCTAACTGCTCTATGAAAAGAAAGGTTAAACTCTGTGAGTTGAACGAACACATCACAACGCAGTTTGTGGGAATGATTCTGTGTAGTTTTGAAACGAAGATATTTCATTTTCTGCCATTGACCTTAAAGCGCTTGAAATCTCCACTTGCAAATTGCACAAAAAGAGTGTTTCAAATCTGCTCTGTCTAAAGGAACATTCAACTCTGTGAGTTGAATGCACACAACACAAGGAAGTTACTGGGAATTCTTCTGTCTAGCCTTACATGAAAAAAACCCGTTTCCAAAGAAGGCCTCTAAGTGGTCAAAATATCCAGGTGCAGACTTTACAAACAGAGTGTTTCCAAACTGCTGAATGAAAAGAAAAGTTAAACTCTGAGAGTTGAACGCACACATCGCAGAGCAGTTTCTGAGAATGATTCTGTCTAGTTTTTATACGAAGATATTTCCTTTTCTGCCTTTGGTCCCAAAGCGCTTGAAATCTCCACTTGCAAATTCCACAAAAACAGTGTTTCAAATCTGCTCTCTCTAAATGAAACTTCAACTCTGTCAGTTGAATACACAAAACACAAGGAAGTTACTGAGAATTCTTCTGTCTAGCCTTATATGAAAAAAACCCGTTTCCAACGAAGGCCTCAAAGAGGTCTGAATATCCACTTGCAGACTTTACAAACAGAGTGTTTCCTAACTGCTCTATGAAAAGAAAGGTTAAACTCTATGAGTTGAACGCACACATCACAAAGGAGTTTCTGAGAATCATTCTGTCTAGTTTCCATAGGAAGATATTTCCTATTCTACCATTGACCTCAAAGCGGCTGAAATCTACACTTTCAAATTCCATAAGAAGAGTGTATCAAGTCTGCTCTGTGTAAAGGATCGTTCAACTCTGTGAGTTGAATACACACAACACAAGGAAGTTACTGAGAATTCTTCTGCCTAGCAGAATTTGAAGAAATCCCGATTCCAACGAAGGCCTCAAAGAGGTCTGAATATCCACTTGCAGACTTTACAAACAGAGTGTTTGCTAACTGCTCTATGAAAAGAAAAGTTAAACTCTGTGAGTTGAACGCACACATCACAAAGGAGTTTCTGAGAATCATTCTGTCTAGTTTTGAAACGAAGATATTTCCTTTTCTGCCATTGACCTTAAAGCGCTTGAAATCTCCATTTGCCAATTGCACAAAAAGAGTGTTTCAAATCTGCTCTGTCTAAGGGAACGTTCAACTCTGTGAGTTGAATGTACACAACACAAGGAAGTTACTAGGAATTCTTCTGTCTAGCCTTACATGAAAAAATCCCGTTTCCAACGAAGGCCTCTAAGTGGTCAAAATATCCACGTGCAGACTATACAAACAGAGTGTTTCCAAACCGCTGAATGAAAAGAAAAGTTAAACTCTGAGGGTTGAACGCACACATCACGCAGCAGTTTCTGAGAATGATTCTGTCTAGTTTTTATACGAAGATATTTCCTTTTCTGCCTTTGGCCCCAAAGCGCTTGAAATCTCCAATTGCAAATTCCACAAAAACAGTGTTTCAAATCTGCTCTCTCTAAATGAAAGTTCAACTCTGTCAGTTGAATACACACAACACAAGGGAAGTTACTGAGAATTCTTCTGTCTAGCATAATATGAAGAAATCCCGTTTCCAACGAAGGCCTCAAGGAGGTCTGAATATCCACTTGCAGACTTTACAAACAGAGTGTTTCCTAACTGCTCTATGAAAAGAAAGGTTAAACTCTGTGAGTTGAACGCACACATCACAAAGGAGTTTATGAGAATCATTCTGTCTAGTTTTTCTACGAAGATATTTCCTTTTCTACTATTGACCTCAAAGCGGCTGAAATCTCCACTTGCAAATTCCACAAAAAGAGTGTTTCAAGTCTGCTCTGTGTAAAGGATCGTTCAACTCTGTGAGTTGAATACACACAACACAAGGGAGTTACTGAGAATTCTTCTGTCTAGCAGAATATGAAGAAATCCCGTTTCCAACGAAGGCCACAAGATGTCAGAATATCCACTTACAGAATTTACAAACAGACTGTTTCCTAACTGCTCTATGAAAAGAAAGGTTAAACTCTGTGAGATGAACGAACACATCACAACGCAGTTTTTGGGAATGATTCTGTCTAGTTTTGAAACGAAGATATTTCCTTTTCTGCCATTGACCTTAAAGCGCTTGAAATCTCCAATTGCCAATTGCACAAAAAGAGTGTTTCAAATCTGCTCTGTCTAAGGGAACGTTCAACTCTGTGAGTTGAATGTACACAACACAAGGAAGTTACTGGGAATTCTTCTGTCTAGCCTTACAGGAAAAAAACCCATTTCCAACGAAGGCCTCTAAGTGGTCAAAATATCCACGTGCAGACTTTACAAACAGAGTGTTTCCAAACTGCTGAATGAAAAGAAAAGTTAAACTCTGAGAGTTGAAGGCACACATCGCAGAGCAGTTTCTGAGAATGATTCTGTCTAGTTTTGAAACGAAGATATTTCCTTTTCTGCCTTTGGAATCAAAGCGCTTGAAATCTCCATTTGCAAATTCCACAAAAAGAGTGTTTCAAATCTGCTCTGTGTAAATGAAAGTTCAACTCTGTGAGTTGAACACACACAACACAAGGAAGTTACTGGGAATTCTTCTGTCTAGCAGAATATGAAGTAAATCCCGTTTCCAACGAAGGCCTCAAAGGGGTCTGAATATCCACTTGCAGACTTCATAAACAGAGTGTTTACTAACTGCTCTATGAAAAGAAAGGTTAAACTCTGTGAGTTGAACACACACATCACAAAGGAGTTTCTGAGAATCATTCTGTCTAGTTTCTATAGGAAGATATTTCCTATTCTACCATTGACCTCAAAGCGGCTGAAATCTCCACTTGCAAATTCCACAAAAAGAGTGTTTCAAGTCTGCTCTGTGTAAAGGATCGTGCAACTCTGTGATTTGAATACACACAACACAAGGAAGTTACTGAGAATTCTTCTGTCTAGCAGAATATGAAGAAATCCCGTTTCCAACGAAGGCCACAAGATGTCAGATTATCCACTTACAGACATTACAAACAGAGTGTTTCCTAACTGCTCTATGAACAGAAAGGTTAAACTCTGTGAGTTGAACGAACACATCACAACGCAGTTTGTGGGAATGATTCTGTCTAGTTTTGAAACGAAGATATTTCCTTTTCTGTCATTGACCTTAAAGCGCTTGAAATCTACACTTGCAAATTGCACAAATAGAGTGTTTCAAATCTGCTCTGTCTAAGGGAACGTTCAACTCTGTGAGTTGAATGCACACAACACAAGGAAGTTACTGGGAATTCTTCTGTCTAGCCTTACATGAAAAAAACCCGTTTCCAACGAAGGCCTCTAAGTGGTCAAGTTATCCACGTGCAGACTTTACAAACACAGTGTTTCCAAACTTCTGAATGAAAAGAAAAGTTAAACTCTGAGAGTTGAACGCACACATCGCAGAGCAGTTTCTGAGAATGATTCTGTCTAGTTTTTATACGAAGATATTTCCTTTTCTGCCTTTGGCCCCAAAGCGCTTGAAATCTCCACTTGCACATTCCACAAAAACAGTGTTACAAATCTGCTCTCTCTAAATGAAAGTTCAACTCTGTCAGTTGAATACACACAACACAAGGAAGTTACTGAGAATTCTTCTGTCTAGCATAATATGAAGAAATCCCGTTTCCAACAAAGGCCTCAAAGGGGTCTGAATATCCAATTGCAGACTTTACAAACAGAGTGTTTCCTAACTGCTCTATGAAAAGAAAGGTTAAACTCTGTGAGTTGAACGCACACATCACAAAGGAGTTTATGAGAATCATTCTGTCTAGTTTTCATACGAAGATATTTCCTTTTCTACCATTGACCTCAAAGCAGCTGAAATCTCCTCTTGCAATTCCACAAAAAGAGTGTTTCCAATCTGCTCTGTGTAAAGGATCGTTCAACTCTGTGAGTTGAATGCACACAACACAAGGAAGTTACTGAGAATTCTTTTGTCTAGCAAAATATGAAGAAATCTCGTTTCCAACGAAGGCCGCTAAGAGGTCTGAATATCCACTTGCAGACTTTAGAAACAGAGTGTTTCCTAATTGCTCTATTAAAAGAAAGGTTAAACTCTGTGAGTTGAACGCACACATCACAAAGGAGTTTCTGAGAATCATTCTGTCTAGTTTTGAAACGAAGATATTTCCTTTTCTGCCATTGACCTTAAAGCGCTTGAAATCTACACTTGCAAATTGCACAAATAGAGTGTTTCAAATCTGCTCTGTCTAAGGGAACGTTCAACTCTGTGAGTTGAATGCACAAAACACAAGGAAGTTACTGGGAATTCTTCTGTCTAGCGTTACATGAAAAAAACCCGTTTCCAACGAATGCCTCTAAGTGGTCAAATTATCCACGTGCAGACTTTACAAACAGAGTGTTTCCAAACTGCTGAATGAAAAGAAAAGTTAAACTCTGAGAGTTGAACGCACACATCACAGAGCAGTTTCTGAGAATGATTCTGTCTAGTTTTGAAACGAAGATATTTCCTTTTCTGCCTTTGGCCTCAAAGCGCTTGAAATCTCCACTTGCAAATTCCACAAAAAGAGTGTTACAAATCTGCTCTGTGTAAAGGATCGTTCAACTCTGTGAGTTGAATACACACAACACAAGGAAGTTACTGAGAATTCTTCTGTCTAGCCTTATATGAAAAAACCCGTTTCCAACGAAGGCCTCAAAGAGGTCTGAATATCCACTTGCAGACTTTACAAACAGAGTGATTCCTAACTGCTCTATGAAAAGAAAGGTTAAACTCTGTGAGTTGAACACACACATCTCAAAGGAGTTTCTGAGAATCATTCTGTCTAGTTTCTATAGGAAGATATTTCCTATTCTACCATTGACCTCAAAGCGGCTGAAATCTACACTTGCAAATTCCAGAAAAAGAGGGTTTCAAGTCTGCTCTGTGTAAAGGATCGTTGAAATCTGTGAGTTGAATACACACAACACAATGAAGCTACTGAGAATTCTTCTGTCTAGCACAGTATGAAGAAATCCCGTTTCCAACGAAGGCCTCAAAGAGGTCTGAATATCCACTTGCAGAGTTTACAAACAGAGTGTTTCCTAACTGCTCTATGAAAAGAAAGGTTAAACACTGTGAGTTGAACGCACACTTCACAAAGAAGTTTCTGAGAATCATTCTGTCTAGTTTTTATACGAAGATATTTCCTTTTCTACCATTGACCTCAAAGAGGCTGAAATCACCACTTGCCAATTGCACAAAAAGAGTGTTTCAAATCTGCTCTGTCTAAGGGAACGTTGAACTCTGTGAGTTGAATGTACACAACACAAGGAAGTTCCTGGGAATTCTTCTGTCTAGCCTTACATGAAAAAAACCCGTTTCCAACGAAGGCCTCTAAGTGGTCAAGTTATCCACGTGCAGACTTTACAAACAGAGTGTTTCCAAACTTCTGAATGAAAAGAAAAGTTAAACGCTGAGAGTTGAACGCACACATCGCAGAGCAGTTTCTGAGAATGATTTCTGTCTAGTTTTTCTACGACGATATTTCCTTTTCTACTATTGACCTCAAAGCGGCTGAAATCTCCACTTGCAAATTCCACAAAAAGAGTGTTTCAAGACTGCTCTGTGTAAAGGATCGTTCAACTCTGTGAGTTGAATACACACAACACAAGGAAGTTACTGAGAATTCTTCTGTCTAGCATAGTATGAAGAAATCCCGTTTCCAACGAAGGCCTCAAAGAGGTCTGAATATCCACTTGCAGAGTTTACAAACAGAGTGTTTCCTAACTGCTCTATGAAAAGAAAGGTTAAACTCTGTGAGTTGAACGTACACATCACAAAGAAGTTTCTGAGAATCATTCTGTCTAGTTTTTATAGGAAGATATTTCCTTTTCTACCTTTGACTTCAAAGCGGCTGAAATCTCCACTTGCAAATTCCACAAAAAGAGTGTTACAAGTCTGCTCTGTGTAAAGGATCGTTCAACTCTGTGAGTTGAATACACACAACAAAAGGAAGTTACTGAGAATTCTTCTGTCCAGCCTTACATGAAAAAAACCCGTTTCCAACGAAGGCCTCTAAGTGGTCAAATTATCCACGTGCAGACTTTACAAACAGAGTGTTTCCAAACTGCTGAATGAAAAGAAAAGTTAAACTGTGAGAGTTGAACGCACACATCGCAGAGCAGTTTCTGAGAATGATTCTGTCTAGTTTTAATACGAAGATATTTCCTTTTATACCATTGACCTCAAAGCGGCTGAAATCACCACTTGCCAATTGCACAAAAAGAGTGTTTCAAATCTGCTCTGTCTAAGGGAACGTTCAACTCTGTGAGTTGAATGTACACAACACAAGGAAGTTACTGGGAATTCTTCTGTCTAGCCTTACATGAAAAAAACCCGTTTCCAACGAAGGCCTCTAAGTGGTCAAAATTTCCACGTGCAGACTTTACAAACAGAGTGTTTCCAAACTGCTGAATGAAAAGAAAAGTTAAACTCTGAGAGTTGAACGCACACATCACGCAGCAGTTTACTGAGAATGATTTCTGTGTAGTTTTTATACGAAGATATTTCCTTTTCTGCCTTTGGCCTCAAAGCGCTTGAAATCTCCACTTGCAAATTCCACAAAAAGAGTGTTTCAAATCTGCTCTGTGTAAATGAAAGTTCAACTCTGTGAGTTGAACACACACATCACAAGGAAGTTACTGGGAATTCTTCTTTCTAGCAGAATATGAAGAAATCCCGTTTCCAACGAAAGCCTCAAGGACGTCTGAATATCCACTTGCAGACTTTACAAACAGAGTGTTTCCTAACTGCTCTATGAAAAGAAAGGGTAAACTCTGTGAGTTGAACGCACACATCACAAAGGAGTTTCTGAGAATCATTCTGTCTAGTTTCTGTAGGAAGATATTTCCTATTCTACCTTTGACCTCAAAGCGGCTGAAATCTCCACTTGCAAATTCCACAAAAAGAGTGTTTCAAGTCTGCTCTCTGTAAAGGATCGTTCAACTCTGTGAGTTGAATACACACAACACAAGGAAGTTTCTGAGAATTCTTCTGTCTAGCAGAATATGAAGAAATCCCGTTTCCAACGAAGGCCACAAGATGTCAGAATATCCACTTACAGACTTTACAAACAGAGTGTTTCCTAACTGCTCTATGAACAGAAAGGTTAAACTCTGTGAGTTGAACGAACACATCACTACGCAGTTTGTGGGAATGATTCTGTCTAGTTTTGAAACGAAGATATTTCCTTTTCTGCCGTTGACCATAAAGCGCTTGAAATCTACACTTGCAAATTGCACAAATAGAGTGTTTCAAATCTGCTCTGTCTAAGGGAACGTTCAACTCTGTGAGTTGAATGCACACAACACAATGAAGTTACTGGGAATTCTTCTGTCTAGCCTTACATGAAAAAAACCCGTTTCCAACGAAGGCCTCTAAGTGGTCAAATTATCCACGTGCAGACTTTACAAACAGAGTGTTTCCAAACTGCTGAATGAAAAGCAAAGTTAAACTCTGAGAGTTGAACGCACACATCGCAGAGCAGTTTCTGAGAATGATTCTGTGTAGTTTTTATACGAAGATGTTTCCTTTTCTGCCTTTGGCCTCAAAGCGCTTGAAATCTCCATTTGCAAATTCCACAAAAAGAGTGTTTCAAATCTGCTCTGTGTAAATGAAAGTTCAACTCTGTGAGTTGAACACACACAACACAAGGAAGTTACTGGGAATTCTTCTGTCTAGCCTTACATGAAAAAAACCAGTTTCCAACGAAGGCCTCAAAGAGGTCTGAATATCCACTTGCAGACTTTACAAACAGAGTGTTTCCTAACTGCTCTATGAAAAGAAAGGTTAAAGTCTGTGAGTTGAACGCACACATCACAATGAAGTTTCTGAGAATCATTCTGTCTAGTTTTTATAGGAAGATATTTCCTATTCTACCATTGACCTCAAAGCGGCTGAAATCTCCACTTGCAAATTCCACAAAAGGAGTGTTTCAAGTCTGCTCTGTGTAAAGGATCGTTCAACTCTGTGAGTTGAAAACACACAACACAAGGAAGTTTCTGAGAATTCTTCTGTCTAGCAGAATATGAAGAAATCCCGTTTCCAACGAAGGCCAGAAGATGTCAGAATATCCACTTACAGAATTGACAAACAGACTGTTTCCTAACTGCTCTATGAAAAGAAAGGTTAAACTCTGTGAGTTGAACGCACACGTCACAATGAAGTTTCTGAGAATCATTCTGTCTAGTTTTGAAACGAAGATATTTCCTTTTCTGCCATTGACCTTAAAGCGCTTGAAATCTCCACTTGCCAATTGCACAAAAAGAGTGTTTCAAATCTACTCTGTCTAAGGGAACGTTCAACTCTGTGAGTTGAATGAACACAACACAAGGAAGTTACTGGGAATTCTTCTGTCTAGCCTTACATGAAAAAAACTCGTTTCCAACGAAGGCCTCTAAGTGGTCAAAATATCCACGTGCAGACTTTACAAACAGAGTGTTTACAAACTGCTGAATGAAAAGAAAATTAAACTCTGAGAGTTGAACGCACACATCACAGAGCAGTTTTTGAGAATGTTTCTGTCTGGTTTTTATAGGAAGATATTTCCTTTTCTGCCTTTGGCTTCAAAGCGCTTGAAACCTCCACTTGCAAATTCCACGAAAACAGTGTTTCAAATCTGATCTGTCTAAATGAAAGTTCAACTCTGTCAGTTGAATACACACAACACAAGAAGTTACTGAGAATTCTTCTGTCTAGCAGAATATGAAGAAATCCCGTTTCCAACGAAAGCCTCAAAGATGTCTGAATATCCACTTGTAGACTTTACAAACAGAGTGTTTCCTAACTGCTCTATGAAAAGAAAGGTTAAACTCTGTGAGTTGAACGCACACATCACAAAGGAGTTTCTGAGAATCATTCTGTCTAGTTTCTATAGGAAGATATTTCCTATTCTACCATAGACCTCAAAGCGGCTGAAATCTCCACTTGCAAATTCCACAAAAAGAGTGTTTCAAGACTGTTCTGTGTAAAGGATCATTCAACTCTGTGAGTTGAATACACACAACACAAGGAAGTTACTGAGAATTCTTCTGTCTAGCATAATATGAAGAAATCCCGTTTCCAACGAAGGCCTCAAAGAGGTCTGAATATCCACTTGCAGAATTTACAAACAGAGTGTTTCCTAACTGCTCTATGAACAGAAAGGTTAAACTCCGTGAGTTAAACGAACACATCACAACGCAGTTTGTGGGAATGATTCTGTCTAGTTTTGAAACGAAGATATTTCCTTTTCTGCCGTTGACCTTAAAGCGCTTGAAATCTACACTTTCAAATTGCACAAATAGAGTGTTTCAAATCTGCTCTGTCTAAGGGAACGTTCAACTCTGTGAGTTGAATGCACACAACACAAGGAAGTTACTGGGAATTCTTCTGTCTAGCCTTACAGGAAAAAAACCCGTTTGCAACGAAGGCCTCTAAGTGGTCAAAATATCCACGTGCAGACTTTACAAACAGAGTGTTTCCAAACTGCTGAATGAAAAGAAAAGTTAAACTCTGAGAGTTGAACGCACACATCGCAGAGCAGTTTCTGAGAATGATTCTGTCTAGTTTTGAAACGAAGATATTTCCTTTTCTGCCTTTGGCCTCAAAGCGCTTGAAATCTCCACTTGCAAATTCCACAAAAAGAGTGTTTCAAATCTGCTCTGTGTAAATGAAAGTTCAACTCTGTGAGTTGAACACACACAACACAAGGAAGTTACTGGGAATTTTTCTGTCTAGCATAGTATGAAGAAATCCCGTTTCCAACGAAGGCCTCAAACAGGTCTGAATATCCACTTGCAGAGTTTACAAACAGAGTGTTTCCTAACTGCTCTATGAAAAGAAAGGTTAAACTCTGTGAGTTGAACGCACACATCACCAAGAAGTTTCTGAGAATCATTCTGTCTAGTTTCTATACGAAGATATTCCCTTTTCTACCATTGACCTCAAAGCGGCTGAAATCTCCACTTGCAAATTCCACAAAAAGAGTGTTTCAAGTCTGCTCTGTGTACAGGATCGTTCAACTCTGTGAGTTGAATGCACACAACACAAGGAAGTTACTGAGAATTCTTCTGTCTACCAGAATAGGAAGAAATCCCGTTTCCAACGAAGGGCACAAGATGTCAGAATATCCACTTACAGACTTTACAAACAGAGTGTTTCCTAACTGCTCTATGAACAGAAAGGTTAAACTCTGTGAGTTGAACGAACACATCACAACGCAGTTTGTGGGAATGATTCTGTC